>NC_000008.11:142359935-142662013 GCF_000001405.40 Homo sapiens | reverse complement strand
CCCTCCTCACCTGGGCTCGCTGCTGGAGTGAGGTTTTTAGGGAGCCCAGAGCGTACTCATCTCTGAGCTGCTGGGCCCAGCTGCCTGGTGCATACCTCTTGCCTCGGTCCTGTCCCCCAGAACGCTTTATGGAGACTGCCGTGTCCTCCGAGCACTTTGTTTTCACTTCCTGACCCGTCTCAGAAGCTCAAGTGGTTGAATGTTTTAGCCTCAGAATCTTTTTCCCCAAGCCCTCTCAGGTGGAGCCCCGCTGTACCAGACACCACAGCACAGCTCTGTGAGGCTGTGTCTCTTCACTCTGTTTCTGGGGCTGCTGAGGCCCCTGGGAAGCCCTGGAGCTTGCCAGAGCAGAGCGAGAAAGTCTCTGGTCCTGTTTAAATGCCTCCGCGTTTTATCTGTGAGCACCAGGCTGGAGCCACTCCCTGTCTTCTCACAGTGCCCCTGCAAGTTGCAGCCTCAGTTTTCCAGTGGCTCGTGGGGTAGCAGGTGCTGCGTCATATGGTTTGGGACCTCTGTGGCTGCTTCCAGCCTGCTAATAGAACCTCTTTCCACCACTGCCTTCATCTTTGGGGTGGCACCCCTGAGTGCTCAGGCCTGAGGGCGCTCCTGTGTCCTCACTCGGGACAGGCAGCCTCCACTCTGGGAGCTCCCATCCCTCGGGATGCCCAGGAGAGGCCATACTTTCAGGGTGGCATGGTGAATTCAGGGGTTAGGATGGGTAGGTGGTCTTTCAGCCCCTTCTACGTTGGGGTTGGTTTACAGAACACCTGTCCTGCCTGTGCCAGCCTGGCCTTCTGCGAGCACCCCAGGCACGCTGTCCTGGAAGTTGTCTGTCTCCTGCATAGGAGGGTCTAGAGCAGACCTTGCCCTGGGCCTGTCTGTGCGTGACTTCCATATGCTTCATTCGTGCTCAGCCATGGCTGAGCATGCGATGGAGAGCACCTGGACTGCCCCTGACGTCGCAGGCCACTGTTCTTATCCAGTGGGCCAAGTGATTGATTGCTAGTGGTGGAGTTGATTGGAAGAAAGGAAGTCGCAGCCCCTGCCCACGGCTTCCCCAGCTCGCTGGGGTTGGAGGACTGTCATCAGTTGTCCCCAGTTAAAGTCCATTTGGAGGAGGTTCAGGGTCCCAGTGGCTGGATGTGCTTGTGGAGGGACACGGTTTGAGGCAGGGGTTTGCAGAAGGTGTAGACTGCATCCATTCTTGGGAGGCTGTGGCACAGGGCAGCGACAACTTGGGACAA
Organism: Homo sapiens; assembly: GCF_000001405.40. NCBI lineage: Eukaryota > Metazoa > Chordata > Mammalia > Primates > Hominidae > Homo > Homo sapiens. The sequence goes on along the minus strand of NC_000008.11, from coordinate 142,660,769 downwards.
ATCAAGACCCGTCCACACTGCACCTCAGGGACCTCACCTCACGCCCCACATAAATGTGCTTATTGGGGATCCGGGTGTGGTGGCTTCTGCCTGAAATCCCAGTACTCTGGAAGGCCACGGCAGGAGGATCACTTTAGTTCAGGAGTTTGAAACCAGCCTGGGCAACATAGGGAGACCCCATCTCTACAGAAAGTAAAAGAAAATGAGCCAGGTGTGGTGGCATGTGCCTGTAACCCCAGCTACTCAGGAGGCCGAGGCGGGAGGATCCCCAAGCCCAGGAGTTTGAGGCTGCAGTGAGTTATGGCCTCTGCACTCCAGCCTGGGTGACAGAGTGAGAGACCTAATCTCTAAAAACAAAAAATAACAAAATGTGCTTTGGGGTCAGGTGTGGAGATCAGGGTCGGGGAGGTCATGAGGTAGGTAGGGGTCAGGATGTGGACAGTCATGGGCTGGTGGGTGTGGCAGCCGTGAGGGGTGGGTGGTGGCCTGGGAGGCAGGGCCTGGGCAGGGCTTCTGCACTTCTGCTGCTTACCCAGCCCCCTCTGGGTTCGAGGACTCTCCTTGACAAGGGCTGAGCTCTCGGGCACTGCGTTGGACTCAGCTGCCTACTGGGAGGCTGGGGAGAATGGACCTGTGAGACCTTGTTTGTCCTCTTCCCTGCCCAGCTCTTGTAGACCCCAGGCCTGGCTGTCCGCAGGGCCAGGAGCTGCAGCCATGGCAGCCACCAGCCTCCCACATGAGCCCCAGCTCCCAGCCCCACACGCCCACTCCTTTGCCCATGTGGTGTCAGCTCTGGCCTCTGCTTCTACACATGGACCCTCAGACCTTGCACATCTGTTGTTTCCCTTGCAGGGCAGTGATGATGACATGAAATGAGGTGGGGTCACTCCTGTTTAGGGATGAGACTGGGGCCCAGGGAGGGGCAGGTGTGAAGTTGCTGAGGGCAGAGGGAGACCCAGGGCTACCTGCTCCTAATGACCAGCCTCACGTTCTCCACTGCTCACTCCCTGCTGTTCACCAGCTGCATGACCTTGAGCAGTGCACTCAACTGTAAACAGAGGTGAAAACACTCCTTTACCAACTGTTTTAGGGGCCACTCTTGTTTGAGGCCTTGAACCTCCTTTCAGTTCCGTGGTGGTCCTGAGCCTCTGAATCTGGGTATGGCCCCTGCTGGGTCCTGGTCTCTTAGGCAGCACGATGGCCTCCCTGCTCAAGGCCCTGCACCCAGGGGCAGATTGTGGGAGGCCCACTGGCCATGGCTGGGCCCTATCGCAGAGAGCCTGTCAGCACGGCCATTTCCACACCCAGGCTGGCTGGGAAGCAAGCTACGAGGTGCTCAAAGGCCCTCTATGTCTGCAGGTAGCCCCGTCCCACACAGGCGAGGATCGTTGGGCCTCCTTAGTAGCCAAAGGAACTGAGGTCCAGAGCAGGGAATGTGTTGCCCAGTGTCAGCATGGTCTGCTCTGGGGTCAGGCGTCTTGCCCTGGTCCTAAGCCACCCCAAGCCAAGGCATGTCCCTGGGCCCATTTCCTCTCTCGAGGTCTTGGGTTCCCTATTTCTGATGTGTGTGAAAGGAAGGCCTGTCCTCTGGGGTGACCATGAGGCTCAGTGGGAGGAGCTGCCAGGCTTGAGCTGGGACTTGGCACCTGGCCAGCCTTTTTTCTATTTCATTGTACCTTGATGGGCTGTCAGTTCTGAAGAGAAAAAATACACTAGGAATCCATTCTTCCTCCACCATTCTCCCTGGCAGAGGGAAGTGACTACACCCCTATGGTGTGGACATACTGACGCTCCTCCATGAAGCAGCAAAGTTCTGTTGTTTCAGGAGACTGTGGGCCTTGAGGATGTGGTAGTGACCTCACCAGAGGAGTTGGCAATTCCTAAGTGCTGCCTGGAGGCCTCTACAGAGACATAATGTTGGAGAACTTCTGCCACATGGCAGTGCTGGGTAAGACCCCTCTGTCCCCACCAGTGCCCTTGAGGTTATGGGTGTTGGTAGGTCTGTGGCCTCCATCTCCATGACGATGGTGTTAAGGACTGCATGTTTGTGTCCCCCCCCAAAGTTTATATGTTGAAACCCTGACCCCCAGGAGGGTGGTATTAGGAGGTGGGGCCTTTGGGAGGTGACTAGGCTTAGGTGAGATCGTGAGGGTGGGGCTCGCCGATGAGATCGAGTCCTTATAAGAAAAGGAAGGAACTAGAGCGAGGTCACTTTGTGCTGTGTGAGCATACAAGAAAACTGCCATCTTCAAGCTGGGTGCAGTGGCTCACGCCTGTAATCCCAGCACTGGAAGGCCAAGGCATTAGGATTGCATGAGTCCAGGAGTTCGAGACCAGCCTAGGCATGATAAGACCTTATTGCTAAAAAAAAAAAAAAAGGAAATAAAATAGAAAATTGCCATCTGCAAATGAGAAAGCCTTCAGCCGACACCAGACTGCCAGTGCCTTTGATATTGGACTTTCAGTCCCCAGATCTGTGAAAAATTAATTTATGTTGTTTAAGACACCTAGCCTGTGGTATTTTGTTATCGCAATCAAAACTGACTGAGACAGGCAGTAAGGAGAGAACAGAGGTTCCAGCCTGCTTCAGGTCCAGGCAGTTCTGCCATTGCCCCTAACTCCTCAGTGCCAGTCATGGGCCAGGCCCCTGGGGGACTTGGAATGAGTAAAACATGCACCTATTGTTAAGGTTCACCTGGTCCAGAAGGGGAGGCAGACCCACCTGCCCACCATGACCCGGACAGAGGCAATAAATACGGAGCACCTCATGGCCAGGGCCTGGAGGATTCCCACCATACCCTACCCAGCGCCAATAACAGAGGGACCCTGGAGTTGTGTACGCAAGATAGCAGTTCAGTGCTTGCACACATACTAGTTGAGAAGGGAAATCAGGGCTAATGAAACAGCTCAACTGTCTGGCAGAGCCAGGCTCCTTCTGCCATGATACAGTTTGGATGTTTGTCCCTTTCTAATCTTATATGGAAATTTGATCCCCAGTGTTGAAGGTGGGGCCTGGTGGGAAATGTTCCTGTTATCGGGATGGATCCTTCATGAATAGCCTGGTGCCATCTTTGTGGTAACAAGTGAGTTCTCACTTGATTAGTTTCTGTGAGAACTGTTTGTTAAAAAGAGCCTGGTGGCACCTCCCTCCCTTCTTCCTCCTGCTCTTGCTATGTGATGCTGCTGCCCTTTGCCTTCCGTCATGAGTGGAAGCTCCCTGAAGCCCCCACCAGAAGCAAATGCTGGCACCATGCTGCTTGTACAGCCTGCAGAACTGTGAGCCAAATAAACCTCTTTTCTTTATAAATTACTCAGCCTCAGGTGTTACTTTATAACCATGCAAACAGACCAAGACATGCCATGTGTATTTCATGAAGGGAGCCACAGGGTTGAAGATGTTACAGGACACCTGCTCTAATCCCCACCACTGTGTCTGCCTCCCCACCACTGTGTCTGCCTCCAGAAAGCACACCACTTCTGCTCCTGTCCCTCGAGCCAGGTCCCAGTCATATGAGTACAACTAGTTACAAGGGGTCTGGGTAGCATGATTGTAGAGGATGGGTGAGTGAGTATAGGACTCATCTAGCAGTGCAAGTCAGCCCAGGCCTTGTGCCTTCATGCCCTCTCCAGCAATTATGTCTGAGCTCCTCCAGTTTCTGTAAGGAGAGAGCAGAGTTTCCAGCCTGCTTCAGGTCCGTGAAGTTCTGTGTGCTGCGCGGATGTGGCAGTGACTTCACTAGAGGAGTTGGCAATTCCTAAGCCCTCCCCAGAGGCTTCCACAGAGACATAATGTTGGAGAACTTCTGCCTCATGGCAGTGCTGGGCACAAGATAGATTTATGAGGTGAGCTGTGGGTGTGAGGGATGGAGGCAGGCAACAACTCTTAGTGGGCTTCACCTGTAGAGTGGGGAGTCTACACTGAGAGGCAAGCCCAGAACACCTGGTATTGCTGATTCCCCTCCCACCAAACGCTCAGCTCCCAAAGTTGGGGAGATACAGCGTTGTCCCCACCCCAAACGGCAGAGCCACTGGAGAAGCAGGCCATAGAACAGAGAGCTCCACATTCCTCCCCACAGGAACTGACTTCATTTGTAAGGATGTGAAGTTCAAGCCTAAGGGTGCTCTCAAAAACAGTGGAAGTGATGGAGAAAGGCAACTGTGGTAAATCAGTAGATTTATTGGAGATATATGCCAAAAATATAGTCTGGCTGGTAAAAGTATCACAAACACTAACTTCAGGAACTATCCCTTCAAAGGAGCCCAAATTTGATTGGATTAACCTGTGAAGCAGTTTAAACAGAACAATCAGCTGATCATTAGTGGAGCTTAACAGCTGGATGTGGTCAGGGAAAACAACAAAGAGCTTTGCAACACTTTCAAACCACTGTCATCCAGGGTGACTGAGGGCATAACCTAGGCTGTGCTCCTGAGGAGAAAAACTGAGATGCAGTCAGAGGCTCTGGGATGTGGGGTGGGAAATGGATGCCACTAAAATAGTCTAGCTGGTCACTAAGCAAAGAAAGTAGGAAAATAGTCTGAGATTGGGTTGGCTAGTATCCAGAATTGCTACAATAGGTTACCTAAGATGTCCACTCTTCAACAGATAATTATGAGGCATGCAAAGAAACAGGAAAGTATGGCCTATACACTGGGGAAAAAGGCAGGTAATAGAAACTACCTATGTAGAGTAAGATGCTGGATTTAAAAGAAAAAGGTTTCAAAGTGGCCATCATAAATATGGTCTGAGAACTAAAGGACATGATTGAAGAACTAAAGGTGGTAAAACTAAAGGAAGGGGTGAGCCAATATTGCCTCAAATGGAGATTAAGAAGGTAGAATTAGCGCAGATCCACAGTAGATTCTGATAAAATGTAAATGGTGATCCCTAGAACAACCACTAAAGAAATAATTTAGAAAATAGAGTGAAAAAATCATTAAATTAAAACGCTACATTGGAAAATACCCAGTGTAAAAGCAGCAAAGGAGGAAGAGAGGACCCAAGAAGACAGGAGGCAGAACGCGCTTAGTGGGACCTGTGCTGTCCACATTCTGTGGCACTTATCTAATCTTCCTGACACCTGGCTGGTCACTAGTGCCATCCCCATTGTACAGATGAGCAGTTGAGGCTCAGGAGCAGCAGGGATGGTCAGGGACACAGTTTGGAGTCCGGAGCCGTTTTACTCCACAGCCTGGGATCTCACTGCATCCCTTCCCCTGCCTGTTGCCTGTGATTCCCCGCTTTTCTTGGCCTCTGGAGACATCTGCCTTGGCTGTGTCTGCCAGCCTCCTGCTGTGCTGAGGTGGATGTGCCTAGGGTGCTGCTGTGTCCTGCTTTCCCTGGGCAGTCCTGGTGGCACCTGTTGTCCTGGAACAATTGCTAATAACACCCCTTTCACTCTCAAGAATGTCTGATTCGTGTGGGGCCACTCTGCAGGGCCCAACCTTCACACAGTGCCTAACACATGGTGTCTGTGGGGTGTCAGCTCTTCAGGGGCCCCAGGCCAGCGGTCACAGCAAGGTCACCACTAGAGGACATTGAATGGTGCCACCTCTGAAGTCAGTGCTGGTCCCCAGGGTCTCTGTGTGGGCAGTAACCTGGAGCAGCCCTTGCTGGGGAAGGAGAACTGGCACTACTAGGACCCATCTCAAGGGGGCATGCAAAGGCAGAGAGGGATCCAGCCTGGGGGTGGTCACCTGAGGGCAGCCCCCATGGTTCCAGCTGTGGCTCAAGAAGCCCTTGAAGCCGCCATAGGAGGCTGAGCAGGGGAGGCCTCCTCAAAGCCACCTTGGGGCAGGCAGAGCCTCAGAAGGGACCCCGAGGCTGGCAGGGCAAGGAGCTTCCGCAGCTGACCTCCAGAAGTGCAGCTCTCTGCTGAGAGAGGCACTTAGTTGGGAGGCCTAGGTCTTCTGCTTGCTCTTGGCCTCATCTTCACTGAGGAGGGCCTGGGGCAGCTCAAGGCTCTTGGCTGCAGCAAATCAGCACCCAGGAGGCTGTGCCCCTTGACCCTTGAGCTGGGGAGTGGCTGGGGGCTTGGGCAGGGCGCCTGGGCAGGACAGCATTAAGCAGGTGGCACCTGCACTGGCTGTGCCTGACTCTGGGGTGGGGAGGACTCCAGATGCCCAGTGAGAGCTGAGCCAGCCAGGGAGGTCAGGTGGGCTCTGCCAGCTGAGGAGGGCTGGTGGGAGTCTGTGCTCCTGAGCCCTGGGTACAGCCCTCTTCTTTGAATTGCCTGTTCTGGGGTAGCCCTGGGGGTAGGGTGACAGGATCCCACCAAGACACAGGGACCACATTGGCCTCCAGCCTGGGAGCCTCACAAACATTCCTTGCTCAGCAGAATCAGGCTGGACCCTTAGCAAGGAGTGGCTGGAGTCTGGCTGCAGAGGGAAGACATCAGCAGGGAGGGAGCCAGGGCCTGTCACATCTTTCCTCTGGCCATTGTCCTGGTCTTTGTAAGCCCAGAATCTCCCCTTCCCTGAAGGGAGGCCAGCACCCCAGGAGGGCAGCAGGTGTGCTGTGAGGGTTGGAGTAGTGTGAGAGGTCAGGGTACACTAGAATGGCCATGGACACCATGTGGGGGTGCTCTGGGCTGGGCCACAGAACAGTGTCCTTCCTGCTGCTCCTCCCCTGCAGCTTCCCCCGACCTTGTGGTTTATTTGGTTTGATACCAATCAGCAGACCCTGCAGGGTGGAGGCTCCCAGGCCTCTCAGTCCCACCACTCTCATGTGCCAGTCAGCCCTACTGTAACTGCCCAATGAGTACTTCTTGCCCACTGCCAAGATAGAGCCAGTTTACCAAGACAGGGGAATTGCAGTAGAGAAAGAGTTGAATATACATAGAGCCAGCTAAATGGGAGAGTGGAGTTTTCTTATTACTTAAATCAGCCTCCCCTAAAATTCAGAGGTGAGAATTTTTCAAGGACAGTTTGGTGGGCAGGGCCTAGGGAATGGATGCTGCTGATTGGCTAGGGATGCAATCATAGGGGTGTAGAAAAGGTCCTTGTGCACTGAGTCCACTTTTGGGTGAGAGCTACCAAGGAGCTGCTGGTCTGCTGGTCCCGGTAGAGCCATCTGGTGTCAGGAATGCAAAAGTGTGGCCAGGCACAGTGGCCCACACTTGTAATCCTAGCACTTTGGGAGGCTGAGGCAGGAGGAATGCTTGAGCCCAGGAGCTCGAGACCAGTCTGGGCAACATAGTGAGACCTCTTCTCTACAAAACATTAAAAAAAAAATAGCCAGGAGTGGTGGCACGTCCCTGTGGTCTCAGGTACTTGGGAGGCTGAGGCAGGAAGACTGCTTGAGCCCAGGAGGTCAAGGCCACACTGTGCCATGATTCTGCCACTGCACTCCAGCCTGGGTGACAGAATGAGACCCTGTCTGAAAATACATCTTAAAAGTCCAATCCTAGGTTCTACAATAGTGATGTTATCTGCAGGAGTAATTGGGGAAGTTGAAAATCTTGTAACCTCTGGGACAAGAGTAATTGTTTATCCCTACATCTTAGCAGAATCCAGGCCCCTCTCATCCTCTTAACTTGGTGGCCTTTCATTAGTATTACGAGGGTGGCTTAGTCGTGGGAAGGGCTGTTATCATTTAAATTACAAACTAAATTTCTCCCAAAGTTAGCTTGGCCCACTCCCAGAAGTGATCAAGGGCAGTTTGGAGGTTAAAGGCAAGATGGAGTCAGTTAGGTCAGATCTCTTGCACTTAAAATTTTTGCAGAGGTCTCTTCACCATGGTCTGCCTGCTGATGGATGTGGCCCAAGCCAGGCCTGTGGGGAGCCGCTGCATATCCCTCTGCACCGTGGGGTACCTGGCCAGTCTGGGCCAGTACTGGGGCCTTCACAGAGGGGTGTAAAAAATGAATGAACATCATCAATTTTTGGAACCCTAGAAATGACGTTGAGCCTAGAAGGAAATGTGGCTGTGTGGCATAACCGTGCAGCATGCAGCTGCAGCTTCCACTTCTCCAGCTATAGGTCACCTCTCTTTCTCTTTTTTCTTGTTCTGTAAATTGATTATGTGAAAGGAAAATACACTGGGGCTCCCAAATCACTAAGCTAAAGGGAAAAGTCAAGCTGAGAACTGCTTAGAGCAGTTATTACTTAAATCAGCCTCCCCTAAAATTCAGAGGTGAGGATTTTTCAAGTTCGGTGGGGAGGGGCCTATGGAATGAGCCCCTCCCTGTCTCCTATTCAAAGTCACCCCTCTGCTCATTGAGATAAATGTATATCTGATTCCCTTCTTTGGAGAGGCTAATCAGAAACTCAAAAGAATGCAACCATTTGTCTCTTATCTACCTATGACCTGGAAGCCCCTGCCCCACTTTGAGTTGTCCCGCCTTTCCAGACTGAGCCAATGTTTATCTTACATATGTTGATTGATGTCTCATATCTCCCTAAAATGTAGAAAACCAAACTGTGGTCTGACCACCTTGGGCACATGTCAGGACCTCCTGAGGCTGTGTCATGGGCGTGTGTCCTCAACCTTGGCAAAATAAACTTTCTAAATTAACTGAAACTTGTCTCAGATTTTCTGGGTTCATATTTTGGTAATCACAAAGGGATTCTGAGTGGAGGTGCCTCTGACCTTTGAAAAAATCTCCTATGAGTGCTTAGTACCAGCTTGAGTTATCTTTATGGCTCAAACCAATAGGGCAATTTACTGAGGCCTGGAAGCACCCCCTCCAAAAAATCCCTGATCTCCCAAAATTTGGTTGAGATTTAATGTTTATGCTGTACAACTCCCACCACCCCCCCTTTTTTTGGAGTTTTACTTGTTTCCAACACAAGACAGGCAAGTTTTTTCCTGCTTCTATGATGATGGGAGGCAGGTAACTCCTTTATGGAGTTTGAGCTCACTTCCAACAGGGAAGATGAGGTTTTTTTTCCTGCTTCTAGGATGGTGGAGAGCAGTCTTCAGCCTGAGATCCATCCCTAGGTAAGTAACTGAATTGAGGTTTGTCTTGGCTAAAGTTAAAATTAACAGCCAGCTGGTCTTAATTTCTGCTTACTGTTAGAGCACTCAGTAATGATATAAGTTGTGCAATTGTTTGTTTTGCTTTGCTCTTTGTTGTTTTGTTGTTTGTTTCTGTTTTTGTTGTTTCAGTCTTTTTCCCATTGGGTTTGACCAATTCTATCTGACTTGATCAAATCTGAAGGAAAGTTTCAAATTATGGGGAACAAGGCCTCTGAAGTGGCTAAATTCCCACCAAAAAAAAAAAAAAAAAAAGATTGATTTTTGATTTTCATTACTTAAGGGGCTTTATTTACATAACAAGACCACTTTTTGCTAGCCAGGCCAAACTGAAAGCAATGGCTGTTACCCCACAGTGCAGTTCAATGCCTAGGGTTCTGCCTTCCTTTTTTTTTTTTTTCCAGCATGACAGCTGGGTTTGGTTCCTAAATCAAGTCCTTTCTGGTTTGATACTTGGTACTTCTGAAATAGCAGCAATTTGTCCTAGCTGCAATATGGTAATGAGATTTTAAAACTTTTTTTTTAAAGGAGCTCAATGGTTGAAAGTCAGATAAATTAAAGTTAACATCCAAAATGTGTGTATGTGTTTGTTTTTAAAGGACCTTCATGTTTTTGTTTTTGTTTTTTTCCTCTCTTAGAACCTTGTCTTTTTTTTGAACAAAGGTTTTTTTCTTCTCAGTTGACTCAATTCTAGTTTCTTCATTTACTTCTGCTGTCTCTCCTTTCTCTTGCACCCTCTGCTGCACGGGGGACCTAAAATAGTTTATATTATTTATAAATAGTGTGGAGTTCCTTAAAGAAACTCCTTAAAGAAAATGGAGAAGGTGCTAGACTCCCTTTGGGGGAGAAACCTCTGTTTTTCCTTATGGAACCCCAAGAATTTAAACAGACAAGTTTGTTTCAGTCCTTAAACCACTTAATTTTGTATTGTGTACCTGATTTTTTTAACTAAAATAGTTATTGCAACAGAGACTACCCTTGTTTTTTAAGGAAGACTGTAGTTTAGACACTTAGAAATGTGTTTGTATTAGTCCATTTTCACGCTCCTGATAAAGACATGCCCGAAACTGGGCAATTTACAAAAGAAAGAGGTTTCATGGACTTACAGTTTGGCATCGCTGGGGAGCCCTCATGATGATGGTGGAAGGCAAGGAGGAGCAAGTCACATCTTACATGGATGGCAGCAGGCAAAGAGAGTTTGTGCAGAGAAACTCCCATCTTTAAAACCATCAGATCTCTGCAGACTTATTCACTATCATGAAAACAAGACAGGAAAGACTGACTTTATGATTCAATTACCTCCCACTGGGTTCCTCCAACGACATGTGGGAATTGTGGGAGTTACAATTCAAGGTGAGATTTTGGTAGGACACAGAGCCAAACCATATCATTCCACCCCCGGCCCCTCCCAAATCTCATGTCCTCACATTTTGAAACCAATCATGCCTTTCCAACAGTCTCCCAGAGTCTTAACTCACTTCAGCATTAACTCAAAACTCCACAGTCCAAAGTCTCATCTGAGACAAAGCAAGTCCCTTCTGCCTATGAGCCTGTAAAATCAAAAGCAAGTGAGTTACTTCCTAGATACAATGGGGGTACATGCATTGGGTAAATACAGCCATTTCAAATGGGAGAAATTGGCCAAAACAAAGGGGCCACAGGCCCCATGCAAGTCTGAAATCCAGCAGTGCAGTCAAATCTTAAAGCTCCAAAATGATCTCCTTTGACTCCATGTTTCACATCCAGGTCACACTGGTGCAAGAGGTGGTTTCCTGTGGTCTTGGGCAGCTCCGCCCCTGTGGTTTTACAGGGAACAGCTTTCCTCCTGGCTGCTTTCACAGACTGGTATTGAGTGTCTGTGTCTTTTCCAGGCACACGGTGCAAGCTGTTTGTGGATCTACCATTCTGGGGTTTAGAGGTCAGTGGCCATCTTCTCACAGCTCCACTAGGCAGTGCCCCAGTGGGGACTGTGTGTGGGGGCTCCCACCCCACATTTTCGTTCCACACTGTGCTAGCAGAGGTTCTCCATGAGGGTCCTGCCCCTGCAGCAAACTTCTTCCTGGACATCCAGTCGTTTCCATACACCCTCTGAAACCTAGGTGGAGGTTCCCAAACTTCAATTCTGGACTTCTGTGCACTCACAGGGTCAACAGCATGTGGAAGCTGCCAAGGCTTGGGGCTTGCATCCTCTGAAGCAGTTTACAAAATAAAGAGGTTTAATGGAGTTACAGTTCCACGTAGCTGGGAGTGCCTCACAATCATGGGGGAATGGAACGAGGAGCAAGTCACGTCTTACATGGATAGCAGCAGGCAAAGAGAAAGATAACATGTGCAGGGGAACTTCTCTTCAAAAAACCATCAGGTCTTGTGAGACTTACTTACTCTCAGGAGAAAAGCATGGGAAAGACTTTCCCCCATGATACAATTACCTCCCACTGGGTCCCTCCCACAACACGTGGGAATTCACGATGAGTTTTGGGTGGGGACACAGCCAAACCCTATCATTCTGCCCTTGGCCCCTCCCAAATCTCATGTCCTTACATTTCAAAACCAATCATGCCTTCCTAACAGTCTCCCGCAGTCTTAATTCATTTCAACATTAACTCAAAAGTCAACAGTCCAGTCTCTTCTGAGACAAGGAAAGTTCCTCCCACCTACGAGCCTGTAAAATCAAAAGCAAGTTAGTTACTTCCTAGATACAATGGGGGTACATGCATTGGGTAAATACAGCCATTTCAAATGGGAGAAATTGGCTGAAACAGGCCCTATGCAAGTTTGAAATCCAGCGGGGTGGTCAAATCTTAAAGCTCCAAAATGATCTCCTTTGACTCCATTTCTCACATCCAGGTCATGCTGATGCAAGAGGTGGGTTCCCATGGTCTTGGGCAGCTCCACCCTTGTGGCTTTGCAGGGTACAGCCTCCCTCCCAGCTGCCTTCATGGGCTGGTGTTGAGTGTCTGTGGCTTTTCCAGGTGCACAGTGCAAGCTGTCAGTGGATCTACCATTCTGGGGTCTGGAGGATGGTGGCCCTCTTCTCACAGGTCCACTAGTGGTGATGCCCCAGTAGGGACTCTGCATGGGGGCTCTGACCCCACATTTCCCTTCCACACTGCCCTAGCAGAGGGTCTCCTGAGGGCCCCACCCCTGCAGCAAACTTCTGCCTGGGCATCCAGGCATTTCCATACATCTGAAATGTAGGCAGAGGTTCCCAAACTTCAATTCTTGACTTCTGTGGACTCACAGGCTCAACACCATGTGGAAACTGCCAAGGCTTGGGACTTGCACACTCTGAAGCCATGACCTGAGCTCTATGTTGGCCCCTCTCAGCCATGGCTGGAGTGGCTGGGATGCAGGGCACCAAGTCCCTAGGCTGCACACAGTATGGCAACCCTGGGCCTGGCCCATGAAACCACTTTTTCCCCTAGGCCTTTGGGCATGTGATGGGAGGGGCTGCTGTGAAGACCTCTGACATGCCCTGGAGACATTTTCCCCATTGTCTTGGGGATTAACATTCAGCTCCTTGTTACTTATGCAAATTTCTGCAGCTGGCTTGAATTTCTCCTCAGAAAATGGCATTTTCTTTTCTATCACATTGTCAGGTTGCAAATTTTCCAAACTTTTATGCTCTCTTTCCCTTATAAAACTGAACGCCTTTAACAGCACCCAAGTCACCTCTTGAATGCTTTGCTGCTTAGAAATTTCTTCTGCCAGATATCCTAAATCATCTCTCTCAAGTTCAGAATTCGTCACATCTCCAGGGCAGGGGCAGAATGCCACCAGTCTCTTTGCTAAAATATAACAAGAGTCACTTTACTCCAGTTCCCAACTAGCTCCTCATTTTCATCTGAGACCACCTCAGCCTGGACTTTATTGTCCGTATTACTATCAGCATTTTGGGCAAAGCCATTCAGCAAGTGTCTAGGAAGTTCCAAACTTTCCCACGTTTCCCTGGCTGCTTCTGAGCCCTCCAAACTGTTCCAACCCCTGCCTTTTACGCAGTCCAAAGTTGCTTCCACATTTTCAGGTATCTTTTCAGCAGTGTCCCACTCTACTGGTACCAATTTACTGTATTAGTCCATTTTCATGCTGCTGATAAAGACATACCCCAGACTGGGCAATTTATAAATGGAAGAAGTTTAATGGACTTACAGCTCCACATGGCTGGGGAGGCCTCACAATCATGGTGGGAGACAAGGAGGAGCAAGTCATGTGTGACATGGATGGCATCAGGCAAAGAGAGAGAGCTTGTGCAGGGAAACTCCCATTTTTAAAACCATCAAATCTCATGAGAGTTACTATCACAAGAACAGCATGGGAAAGACGTGCCTCATGATTCAATTACCTCCCACCAGGTTCCTCCCATAACATGTGGGAATTGTGGAAGTTGCAATTCAAGATGAGATTTGGGTGAGGACATAGCCAAACCTATCAAAATTTGGTTGAGATTTAACATTTATTTTGCTGTACAACTTCCGCTGCCTCCCCTTCATTTTTTCTTAATGAGGAAATTTTTTTTCATTAAGAAAAAAAATTTTAAGTGCACTGTAAAAGCATCATATGGTTTAGTCTCATAGTAATTCTCCCTTTGTGGAGACCCAGGATTCAGTGTGGGCTCTGTCTAGAGCTCAGAGATCCAGTTAAGAACGTAGGTAATCTTTAAACAAAAGTTGTCTCCTTACACAATCATATGATAGATTTCTATAAATTTTATGTTTGATTTGGCATGCATCTTTAATCTCCCCTTAGCACCACCAGGCTTTTTCTGCCTATACCTTGAGATGTAAATTCTGCCGTCTGATTTTTCGTCTAAGAGTCATTTCCTTCAATATGCAGACTTAGGGCTATTTAATTGACAACTGCCAGGGTAATAAAACAGGTTATCAAGAGCTTGCAAGTCTAAGATAAAGGAAAAAAAGGAGGTCTTAGGAATCTACAAGATGTACTTCTATTGGTATGACTAATATGACTATTTATGTGTTGTATACACAATGTTTCACTACTGAAAATATATAAAAGAGCTCTGATTAACTGGCTTAAGAAAATAAAAGCACTTGAATCAAATACTTTATCAGGAAAAAAATACTAATCAAACCCTTTTTGAAGTTTATGTAACTTAAGTAAAATCTTTAATAAATAAGCTAGCTTTAAAATTATTGGTAAAGTAATATTAGAAATGTCTTGAGAATTGCCAGCATACATTTTTGTTTGCATTTTTAAAGCAATTTTATACTTCTCCCTGCCAAATACTGTAAGGTGTCAAGATTTGGCATAGGGGTTGCAAAACTATAAACCAAGCCCAAAACAATGATTTTTTGCTTGTGTAATCTTTAATAAGACACTGATATTGATTTAATAAAAACAGCTACATCTTGAATTTAGCAAGATTACCATTAACTTCTAATCTTGTGGTTTTAGGTGGTCTAGTCCACAGCCAGTAGGGTTTGTTATCATCTTTGTTTTAAAGCTAAACTATAAGTTCCTCCCAATGTTAGTTTGACCTACACTCAGGAATGAATAAGGACAGCTTGGAGGTTCAAGGCAAGATGGAGTCAGTTAGGTCAAATCTTTTTCACTGTGTTAGTAATAATTTTGCAGTGGCAGTTCTGTAACTTTAAATGATGACTATTGTAGTTTTCATAAATAATTTAGGTGAACAATTAAAATAATTAGGTAAATGTAATGGGATAAATACTTGTAGGCAAACTCATCTAAAGTTAAATTAAATAATAGATATTTCATTATTTGGGTATTTTCCAATAAATATATTTATAGGAAAACATTCTTTCTAAAAAAAAGTGTGTGCTTTTAAAAAAAGGTGAGCAATTTTTGTCTCATTCAAAGCTTATTTAAAGGTCATATATAAAACAAGGTAAAAGAAACCAGGAAATAGATGTAAAGAAAGTTATAAAAATAAAAGGGTTTTACTTTGGTAAGAAAGCTTAAAGAGAAGTAATTTTATATGAGACAGAATCCTGTATGATCAATTTAGTCCTACAGTAAAATGAGTGGTTGTTTATGAAAGAGGGATATTCAGGTCAACCCAAAAAGTCCAAGCATGTCATGAATGGTCTGTGTAAGTCACAGTAAGAGGATGTATATATATATTTTTTTTTTCTGAGATGGAGTCTTGCTCTGTCACCCAGGCTGGAGTGCAGTGGCGCGATCTTGGCTCACTGCAAGCTCCGCCTCCCGGGTTCATGCCATTTTCCCACCTCAGCCTCCCGAGTAGCTGGGACTACAGGCACCCACCACCATGCCCAGCTAATTTTTTTGTATTTTTAGTAGAGACGGGGTTTCACTGTGTTAACCAGGATGGTCTCGATCTCCTGACCTCGTGATCCGCCCATCTCGGCCTCCCAAAGTGCTAGGATTGCAGGCATGAGCCATCGTGCCCAGCCTAAGAGGGTGTATTTTTTTAAAAACCAAAAACTTTTATGCAATCAAGTTGTTACACTATTATTGTTTTGGTTTGCTTAGAAAAAAATGAGATTAATGTTTTTTAAAATTAAATTTATTACATCCATGTATCTCTCTGTGTGCGCATTTAAAGTACTTGTGACATTGAGTTTCAGGGCTTTGACTCCTGGATCTAAAAAGAACACCAAGTCCTGCTAAATTTTAAACACTGACAGGAACTAAATCTCCATCTTCAGATCCAGTAGAAGATGCCATTCAAAATAAACTGCATTCCTGAGACATAGGGCTAGAAATTAAAGCTATTCAACTCCTCAAGGCCCAGGGACTATCATGAAGAGGTGGGTGTGTGAGATTATAAGGGCTGATTTTGAGAGATAAAATAAGTTCAGTTTCTCTATAAATAAATCATTAATGTCAAAAGTACACTGATGCAAGACCAGCACATGGACCCCTGTGTCAGATTAACAAGGTTTTCTGGAAGCATTAACTAACTCCTTAATAAATTAAGGCTATAAAGTTTATAAAAGGCTTATGAAAATTCTATCTTATGGTCAAGATTAAAATTTTATAAGTTGTTTATAAAATTTTGAAAAACAAATGTAATTGGCTTCCTGTTGTTTTTATTAGGGTTTATTGTTTGGAATATTAAGTTTTCTCTGAAAGAAGGAAGGTTTTCACCTTTTTTGAAATCGAGTTAGCACTTTGGTTAAATGAATGACTTATTGTACAATAACCTGTGATATCAAGTGTTTTAAACCTTTGACATTTGACAAACTTTCCAAAATCAAATTATAAATTATGTCTTTTTCTGACCTAATTAATCCTTTAATATATTAAGTTCCATACAGTCCAAAAATGACATAATTTGTCTTATTTGGTATAAAAATTATATAGGAAGTGTTGTCAAATATGAAATGGTGTTTGGGTTTCTTTGGGCTGTGTTTGTATAAATATGTTATTGGTATGTGTTCCCAAATCATAGGAAACTTCTATAATTCTGATAAGACTTAGTGTACATTATCAGTAATAATTATAATTATTATGTTAAATTATCATGTGCCACAGAGGTAACAAATTTTCTTGTCAATGGTGCTTTTGACTGTGGCTGCCCTAAAACCTTTTGTCATTCACAGACAATTGTTGTCTTATTTTGGTCCTTCTTAGAAGGTGATTTTGTAAAAAAGCTATAAAACTGCAACAGCTGTTCTTGCATACAAGTTTTTAATAGCTTTGGAGATGGTGACATCAGAATAAAAGGAAAACTTTCAGGACCTATGGAGAACTGAAATGTTCAGGAATATCAAGCAGAACAGGAATTAACTACAGCAACTGAACTATTACAAGACTGAAGTAATCATTTTGACTTTTCACTTAAAATGTTGTTAATCATTTGTTTTGCTTTTTCAGAACCAGGGAAACTTTTCTTTTGAGTGATTAACAGCATTTAACAATTTAGTATATTCCTATGAACAAAATTTATAACATATTTCTTTTTCCTCTACCTGATTTCTCCAGAATTTGGAAGCTATTTGTGGCAATACAGTTATTTACATAAGTACAATAAGAATCTCTTTTTATGTATAAGAGGACACACTTGGAGAAACTGGTTACTTTACCAAGGCTTTGACTGGAATGGTGTGCTTTCCTTTAAGGAATCAAACTTGACTTACAGAGCCAATAAAAGCCCCTTGGGAAAACTGGCCTCATGTTTGTCTACACAGCCCCTGTACAGGGTTCCTGACCTGTGGTAAGTAAAGAATGTCACTTTCTGACAGGCCCACCAGCCCCAAGTTTTATCTTGGAACCTCAAGAGAAGAGGATCCCCCAACTCATAGATATTTGGTGATATGAATCCATGGCTGCACTCAGCTTTAAAAAAGTCTTATTTGAGACAGAGTTCCATCAAAGCCAATTTAAAAGCCTATGTAGGCTGGGCATGGTGGCTCATGCCTGTAATCCCAGCACTTTGGGAGGCCGAAGTGGGTGGATCACCTGAGGTCAGGAGTTGGAGATGAGCCTGGCCAACATGGTAAAACCCCATCTCTACTAAAAATACAAAAATTAGCCAGGTGTGGTGGCATGCACCTGTAATCCCAGGTACTCAGGAGGCTGAGGCAGGAGAATCACTTGAACCTGGGTGGCGGAAGTTGCAGTGAGCTGAGTTCATGTCAGTGCACTCCAGCCTGGGTGACAAAGGAAAACTCCATCAAAAAAAAAAGCCTATGTAAAAAATAATTATTCTTGCTGCACTGAATACAAATAATTAGGCCAAGTATAATAAAGCAAACTAGTCCTGCCATGATTTGTGTTTATTAAAAATGGGAAACTGGAGAAAGAAAAATTATGGGCAAAACCTATAATACACCTGTTGTTAGACTCTAGTCTTACCTAATGTTTTACAATTTTTATTATTTTCTACAGTTTTGACTGAATTCTAATTTTTCTTGGCTACAACGCTTCAAAATAATGTTTTCGATTTTTTCTTCTGTATTTTCCCCCCATTTTTCCTGATTTGGAGTCACTGAAAACTAAGCTGTGCTTTCATAAAGCCCTGTGAACTGAAGCCAGGCAACTTAAACTTCAGAAGAAAACAACAGCAACTATTTACGCCACTTTCATACCTGCCTACTAATGTATGGGCTTCAGAGTAATGTGGCCTATATTGATTTTTCCCAGATTGTTCTTTTGTTTGTTGTTGTTTTTCTCCCTTCTTCCCCCTATTTTCTTTTCATAGGACAAGAGATTTCACAACCTTCTAAAAATGAGCTTTTCTAATAATTCCGGACCTAACTGTACAGGAATAAAACATCCTAGCCATGAAAGACCAGACAAAAACCTGAGACCAGAGACTCATTTTCTTCTAAGATGCTTTCTCCAAAAGATTTTAAAAAAGAAAAGGGGGAAAATGTGAAAGGAACATATCTTGGGGCCCCAAAATCACTAAGCTAAAAGGAAAAGTCAAGCTGGGAACTGCTTCGGGCAAACCTGCCTCCCATTTTATTCAAAGTCATCCCTCTGCTCACTGAGATAGATGCATATCTGATTGCCTCCTTTGGAAAGGCTAATCAGAAACTCAAAAGAATGTAACCATTTGTCTATTATCTACCTAAGACCTGGAAGTCCCCTCCCTGCTTCCAGTTGTCCCGCCTTTCCAGACCGAACCAATGTTCATCTTGCACATGTTGGTTGATGTCTCATGTCTCCCTAAAATGTATAAAACCAAACTGTGGTCTGACCACCTTGGGCACATGTCGTCAGGACCTCCTGAGCCTGTATCATGGGTGTGTGTCCTCAACCTTGGCAAAATAAACTTTCTAAATTAACTGAGACCTGTCTCAGGTTTTTGAGGTTCACAATTAATAGTCAATGACATGAGAGAGAAGCCCTCCTCCTCTCCCGGTTGTGGACCTTTCTGTATTATCTTGCACCCAACTCAGACCAGAAGGCACAGAAGACCCCATGACTCTTCTACCCTCTGTGTTCAATATGCCTCTCCCGAAAGGAACACAGCCCCACCTAACTGGATGTGTGGGCCTGTGTGGACAGTGTTGAAGCCCCACTAAGCTTCCCAGACGTTATCTATATAAATGACCCCTAAACCTCTCCACTTGGGAGCACCAACTTCCATTCTTTGGAATCTGTGTACCCAGGTGGCCTTTCTCAAGCATTGTGTGCAAATAAATTACATTTAACCATATTCCATATTTCCTGATCTTTTTAAGGTTGACAGGAGCCACCGGCACCCTCACGTAGCCGCATCGTCACCCTAGACAAGCTGACTGCAGGCTTGGCTCAGAGGTCAGCTCTGCTGGACACAGGGAGGGGCAGGCAGAGGCTGGGTCTGATGTGCAGCTGCAGGGCCAGTGGAAAGGGGCTGCCTCACGAGGAACTGTTTTCTCCCCACTTCCCTTCTGAGGTCCTGGGATGAGCCTTGAGCAGATGCCCCCATTCCACCAGCCTCCCCTTCTTCTCACACCCATTTCTCTTCCTCCTGCCCAGGTCTCAGATGCCAAAGGCTTTGCTGCCTGCAGAGGGCAGGGGAGGTGTCCAGGGCTTTGCAGGCCATAAGGATGGCCCAGATGCCGGCCCTTCCCTGGGTGGGAGAGCCACCTGCCCACCTTTCCCCAAGGCTACTGCCCAGGCTCTCCCTTGGCTGGCAGCCTCCTCCCAGACACGAGTGGGCCAGGTGGTCCTCTCTCTTAAGGGGGTGGCCAAAGCCCAGATCTTGCCCATGTGGTGCTGCAGTTCCCCTGGGGTCCCTGAGGGAAGCCAGGGACTCTGTGGGCTCCAAGCCCTGGGCTTGGATGCCATGCCGTCCTTACAGCCATCTGCAGGGCAGGAAGGCCTGGCCAGGCTGGGGATGGGGAGAAATCTGGACTTGGGGGTGGTGGTGGCAGCTGCTGTCACCTCTTCATTGCAGGTGGGGGCTGAGCTCAGTGGGCAGGGGCCGCTGAAGACACACAGCTAGGGAGAGGGGACGCTAGAACTGAGCCCAAATCTGTGGGACCAGGAGCTGGGTTCATCCTCCCGTGACCCTGACTCTTGGTGAGGAGACACCCTGAACTGGGCAGGGTGGCAACCATGACAGGCATGGGGAGGTGGCAGGTCCCCAGGCTCACCTGCTCCTTTGCACAGAGGGGCCTCTGGCCTGTGGACAGGGTTGCCCTCCCAAGGCTCAGCCCTGCCACCTGCAACCCACTTTACCCAGAATAAGTAAGTAACACTGCCCATTTTTCAGGGCAATAAATTTTAATAAAGAGTTGTATTTTCCCCTGCAAGACACAGTGTGAAGGCTGTCTCTTCAGTGACAGGGTTCACTGCAACTCAGTCTCACTTCCATCATGAGCTGTCTCATGAGGTCTCTCATAAACCTCTCTCTCTCTCTCTCTCCCTGGTTCCAAAAATGAAGCCGCCAGCTCTCACCGTACCTTGCTGTTGAACTGAATGACAGACATTATTCAAAACCCCCACCCCAGGGCTCAAGATTAGGGGAGCAGGACAGAATTCAGGGCAGCTTCTAAGAGGGAGGAGCCCCAGCTGGGAGGCCTTGGAGGATTCTTGTGTGACAGGGGGCATACCGGGGGTCTCTGAGGCCCCTCATGGGTGCTGAATGCTCTGGCCTCCCCAGGGCTCAGCCCAGCCCCTGCTCTGTGGGACCCTGGGGCCAGGGTCTCCCTCTGGCAAGTGGTCTCAGGCCTTCTGCCCACCACCCTTGCCAGTGGCCTCATCACAGTTTATTCCTAAAACCAGAGTCTGCTCCTCACTGGACCTAAAGCCTCAAACTTCAGCACCCCTCCCGTGCCCCATGACCCCTTCAGCCTACACACAAGCTTTCTGTTTGTGGTGGGGTCCCTGCCCCTCACAGAGGGTCACCAATGAGGGTCGCTTATGTAAGAGCAGGGCTGTGTCCACGGCTTGCAAAGGACAGAAGTCGAAAGAACTGCTTTATTGCAGCTCAACAAGGGCTTATGGGGGTTTCTTACTGACTGAATTTTATTTGCTGACATTAAATGGTGCAGTGGGCTGGTGAGCCTGGCTTCCCGGTTCATAAATGGGATCAAAATGTCACTATGATTCCGTTAAAACCTTTAAAAAGGATGGTTGTGTCACCCAGATCTAGTTTGTAAACCTGCTCCAGCTGCTGTGTGTCTCTTGGGGCCAAGTGGCCCGCCCTGTCCTCCCTTTTCTCTGCTGGTGCTGGCCCTCCATCCCCAGTCTGCTGCTCCACCATGAGCGCTGGGCTGAGCCAGTGTTGAAGCTGTAGACATAAATCTATAGGCCGTTTGAGTATTGAAAACCAAGCAGTGCTGAGTGGAAGAAGCCTGTCTGTCCATCCACCCATTCCCCTGTCTGTCTGTCCACCCATCCGGCTGTCCATCTGTCCACCCATCTGCCTGTCTGTCTGTCACCCATCCCCCTGTCCGTCCATCCACCTATCCCCCTGTCCGTCCATCCACCCATCTGCCTGTCCGTACATCCATCCATCCCCCTGTCCGTCCATCCACCCATCTGCCTGTCTGTCCATCCACCTGTCCCCCTGTCAGTCCATCCACCCATCTGCCTGTCCGTTCAGCACCCATACACCTGTCCATCTGGCACTCTGGCCCTTACTGGCTGGCCTGCTGTGACTGCTCCCTCCTGGACCTACTGGGCCAGGTCTCCCCACTCCACAGGAAGTGGGGCCAGGCCTCTTCCTGGTGATCTCAGTACCAGAGTTCACAATGTGCTCCTTGTCAGTCTCCCCCTGACTTCATACCCGCTTTGCCTGACATCCCCACTTTAGAGGTGGAGGATAGGGTCCCTGAGAGGGGGAGCAGATTGGTGGGGCTGCAGGTGTGAATGACCCTCGGAGCAGGCCAGCTGAGATCCTGGTTCCTCCCCTAGTGTGTGGAGCCCTCCTCTCCTGCTGTCTGGATTCGGACTCTGCTCCCTGGGGCCCAGGGCTCCTGCACCCTTCTTCAGGGCAGCCTGTGACGGAGGGTCTTCTCACCTCATTCCAGAGTGGGGCTGAGGCCTGGAGGAGCGGGTCCCGTGTTCGCTCTCCTGGGAACCCATTGTAGAGGTGGGCAGTTCGGCCTCCTAACTCACTCATGGTCCACCCACTGCCTGCCAAATGCCACAAGGGCCGCAGCAAGACTGAGCCCCAGAAAGTGTCTGAGCTGGAGAAAAAGCTGTGGGGCCTCGGGGTGGGTTCAGGGCCTTTCGGTCACGAAGCCACTGCCCAGGGCCTCAGCCACATGGCCACTGGGGTCATGGCCACCGGGGGACGCTTCCTGTGAAGCGACTCACCTCCCCAGACAGCCAGGACGTTTCCGGAGTCAGCGTTCTCTCTCGGCACCCCATTGGTCTGCACAGACGTTTCCGTTTCCGGCGCCACGTTCTCTCCCGGCACCCCCTTGGTCCCCACAGCTCAGCATGACTGATGTGTTTCCAGAGCCGTCAGCCCAGGTGGGCTCTCTAGGCTCAGCCCATCTCCGCTCCAGGAATTAGGCATCCTTGGCCCCCAGGCCCAGGTGGGAAATGAAGCCATCCACGTGTGATTCTGGGATGGCTGTGGCAGCGTGGGCAGACACAGCCGGTTTCGGGGGTGTGGGGGCGGACGCTGGTAATGGAGGCCTCCTGGGGCGAGCGGGCTTCTCCAGGTTGGGGCTCCGCCGGCTGGGCCCGCGCAGTCCCCAGGCTGTGCCCTCAAAGTGGGGGAATGAGGGAGGACAGCGGGAATCAGCCCAAGGCCATGCGGAAACAAAACCCCTGGAAAAGGGCACGGCTTAGTCTGTTGGGAAAAACCGAGAATCCTAACAGGGGCTTTGCGCCAGTTTGATTGGGGCAGCAGTGGTGCTGGACCATGCCCTCCAAAGGCTTTACTTTGTAGAGATTCATAACAGCCTTCGCCAGGGAATGATGTGAGGGGTGGGTTCGCTCTCGAAGCTGCAGGGGAGACAGGCCACTGGAGCAGAAGGCAGGGAGCGTCGATCACACTCGGCGGCGGAGGGAGCCTCGCCCAGGCCCTGCTTCCGCCTGTGCTCAGTTTCCCATAGTAAAATACCTTCCAGTAAGGCTTTGGAGGGGCTGCTCCACCCGCCAAAAGCCTCCAGGGCTCAGGCTGGGCGCGAAAGCTCATGCCTGTAGTCCCAGCACTTTGGGAGTCTGGGGTGGGTGGATCACTTGAGCCCAGCAGTTCAAGACCAGCCTGGGCAACATAATGAGACTCCATCTCTACAAAAAAATTTAAAAATTAGCCAGGCGTGGTCACTCACACCTGTGGTCCCAGCTGGGCCATGGGGAGACTGAGATGGGAGGATCACTTGAGCCCAGCAGGTGAAGGCCGCAAGATCGCACCACTGCACTGCAGCCTGGGCATCAGAGTGAGACTCTGTCTCAAAAACAAACAAACAAAACAAAACAAAAAAACCAGCCTCCAGGCTCCTCACTGTCTCCCTCCAGCTCACAGCGACCACCCACGAGGGCGCATGGGGGAAGGGTGGCAGGGGGAGGCTCTCCCCCACACTGTTGCCCCCCACACCTGGAAAGGGCTCCCCAAAGGTGCCCAGCCCAGGACGTCCTCCCACTGTTGTTGGCACGTCAGGGGCTCTGTGCTGCTCTATGCTGACGTACAGCCCCAAGCTCAAAGCCCTCCTTCCACTGAGGAGGGCCGGGGTACCTGGGAGGTGAGTCAGCCTGGCGTGGTGAGTCAGTGGCCTGCGTCATGCCTCGATAGCTGCCGCACCTGCAGAACAGCCGCCGTGGGAGGGGAGGGAGGGAAAAAGCCCAGCCCCTCTGAGCTGAGCTGGGGCTTCTCTGCTGCGCAGCCAGCTGGAGGAATTGTGCTCAGCTGGGGCCCTGGTGAGCAGGCGATTTGGGGTGTGTGTGTGTGTGTGTGTGTGTGTGTGTGTGTGTGTGTGTGTGTGTGTGTGTGTGTTGGCACCCCACAGGCCTCAGACAGAGGAAGCTGGGGCCCAGAGCCAGGAAGATGATGAGAAGGGTTTGAGGCTCTGCTGTGGGCTGGGTGCTGGGCCACGGGTTCCCAGTTCTCCCGCAGCCTCCTTCCCCTCCACACTGTCCCTGCCTAATTGGCCCCCCAATCCTCTGGAGCACTGGCAGCCCCAGCACCTCCTCCCAGTCAGTGCTCTCCACCGCCCTGCAGGGGGGACAGGTAGTTATACCCCAGGAACAGAGAGGAGCAGGGCCTTGCCCAAGGTCACACAGCACCTACCTCTAGGATGCTGGGTCTCTGCTGGGGACAAAGTCAGACTCCCGGTTGGGCACGGTGGCTCACACCTGTAATCCCAGCACTTTGGGAGACCAAGGCAGGCAGATGACTTGAGGTCAGGAGTTCAAGACCCGCCTGGCTGACATGGTGAAACCCTGTCTCTACTAAAAATACAAAAATTAGCTGGGCGTGGTGGCGGATGCCTGTAATCCCAGCTACTTAGGAGGCTGAGGCAGGAGAATTGCTTGAATCCGGGAGGCAGAGGTTGCAGTGAACCAAGATCACACCAGTGCACTCCAGCCTGGGCAACAGAGTGAGACTCCATCTCAAAAAAAAAAAAAAAGTCAGACTCTCCTGCCTGAAATGGAGGAGCAGAGTCCTGTCCTGTCCCCCACTGCCTAGGTGGGGGGACCAAGGCTGACGCTTGTGGTCGGTCCTGGCCTCCCAACACATGGTTCCTACACCCGCCGAAGCCTAGGGCAGAGCTGCCTCCCTGCCCACTCTCCTCCGGCCTGCGGGGTGCCAGGGATGTTGGGAGGGTGTCTTGGTCCGTTTGTGCCCTGATGACAAATTCCTGCGGCTGGGCAATTACTAAACAGCAGAGATATATTTCTCAAAGCTCTGGAGGCAGGAAGTCCAAGGTCTAGGCACCAGGTCTGGTCTGGGGAGGGACTTCCTGCTGCGCCCTCCCATGGCAGAAGGCAGAGGGCAGGGTGGGGGCACTGCGTAGAGCCTCATAAGGGCCTTGGTCCCGCAGGAGAGCGGCCTCACGGACTCATCACCTCTCAATCCTGTCATGGTGGTAACACCTGGGTTTTGGAGGGGCCACATTTGCACCATAGCAGATGTGGAGAGGGCAAGGCCAGGTGGTGGGCTGTGGGGTGTCCCCACAACAGCCCCTTTCGCAGGGGACTCGGGACACTCCAGGGACCCCTGGCTTCACTCTGGGTGATGCTGTGCTGGTGTGTCCCACTCTCTGGCCCTTTGGCAGAGGGGTTGCTGGGCAGTGCCCTAGCCCTTGAATCTGGCTGGTGCCTACCCTGCCTGAGAAATTTCATGCCCCCAAAGTCCACACCTGGCACAGTAGGTTGGAGCTCAGGGATCGCCACAGGCCTCCAACTCCGGATGCCCTTGTGGAGTGGCCTCAGCCTGGACTGCTCTTCCCGGCCAAAGAGCAGACTGGAGCTCCGGACCCTGGGAGGAGCCAGCCTGGGGCTGCCACAGGTCTCTGACAGCATCAGTGGGTGCAAATGCCCATCACGTCAGTGTCTCCTGGGACTGCCAGGGGATGCCAGGAACTGGGCCTGGGGATGCTAGCCTCTGCACACACTCCCTCTCTGGCAGCCTGGCTGTCCCCTTCTGGCCCTACTGCCCTGGGCACACTGCTCCGCACCTCGACCCCCTGTGTCAGATGCAGAGCCAGGGATTCACCCTGGGGGAGCAGCTGTGGCCCAGACTGCCCAGGGCTGGGCGGGAGCTGGGTAGGGGATGTGCCCGTGGGCAGGAGTTGACCTTCTAGCTGTGGACCAGCCCCGGGCAGCCAGTGGGCCGGTGGGAGGCAGAGGCCAGAGGGTGGGAGGCCATGGCGGCTCCCGGTGTCCGAGATCACTGGCTGCCCCTTAGGCAGAGGCCAGATGGCCAGGTGGGGCTGTCGCCTCCTTGGTCACAGCCCCTTCCAGGATAGCCTCTCAGCTGGAGGCAGGGGCTGTGCTGCCGGGTGTGGACCGTGCCGATGGGTGGGTGGCACAGACCCCCTTCCACACAGACCTGGGCTTCCTGTGTTTTCTCTCGGGGAGCAAACAGTGCCCTCTGCTGGACTCTTTAGGGATTGCAGGTGCCCCGACCCAGAAAGCAGGTTCCTCCGGGATCAGCCCAGAAGCAGGGCAGCCAGGGGCCGGGCAGGCGTGGATCTGGGCAGTGAAGGTGTGTGTGAGCCACAGGCACTGTGTGACCTGTGGGATGGCAGCGGGGCCAGGGCCAGAGGATCCAAGAGGGCCTCTGGAAGGCTGGGTGCAGTGGCCCTGCAGGAAGGTGAGATGCAAATTTCGGAGGAAAGGAGGGGAGTGGAGGAAGCAAGGAAGCCCCTGGCAGGGGCTGGGGTGGGGCCTGGGGCCTCTGTGGCAGGGGCTAGGGTGGGGCCTGGGGCAGCAAGGGGCCAGCAGGGCTGGGGGAGCCGCATTTCCTTGGGGCTCCCAAAGGCCCCAGTCTCACTGGAGCAGGGGCCTGGGTCCAAATCCTGGGGAGGTGGGTTCTTGGGGAGAGCCCAGGATATGCAGGGAAGGGCAGGCATTAGAGGTTGCGCCACAGGACGGGCTGGGTGGACAGGGGCCCGGCGCTGGGCAGGGGCTCACTGAGGCCTCACGGGGGACAGGGAGGAGGGCCTGTGCAGCCTGCTTTCTTCCTCTTCGCCTTTCTGTCCTTGTTCCCAGGGACAGCTCAGAAAAGCTCGCCTCTCCTTCCATACCTCCGATGGCCCCCCTCCCATACCTTCTGCTGTCCCCTCCCATGGCCACCCCAGGTCCCTGTCATCTCCCAGAACACTCCACCTTCAAATCTTCCCTTCTCCCTCTGGCTCCTCGCCGCCCCCAGGGAGACCTCAGTGCCCAAGCACGGACCCCTCGGTGTCAACAGGAAAGTTGTTCCTTCCTGGGCTCACGCCAGGCTAATTCCTCTGGGGTGCCAGAGTGCCAGGCACAGGGCAGGCAGTGTGTTTCCTACATGATGGGCAGGATGAATGGAGGCCATGGCTGCAGGGACGGATGCTGGGAGGGCACACCTGAGTGCCGGCAGCAAGTGTGGAATGTGGACATGTATGGGCCAACAGAGGCCCAAAGACCAGAACTCCAGCCTAATAACGGATGCTTCTTTCTGGCAGCTTGGACAGGAGGACCAGACCCGGTCCTGGCCCCAAACCTACTCCAACCCCAGGCACGCACTGAGCCCTGGCCCCGTCCCCTGTGGACCGTATGGAGGGTGAGACCATGGGATGGGTGTCTGCAGGTGTGAGCTTTGCTCCTAACCCAGAGAAGTCAAGAGCTGTCTTCTTGCCTCCTCCCCCACGGTGACTCAGTGCAGTCCCTGGTCACACTCCTCTCCTCTCGCCCCCACCACAGCTCCACACTGACTGAGGGTGCAGGTCCTCTGGGTGACAGGCAGCAGTCCTGGGGGTGGACCGGGGAGCTGACTCATTGTAGTGGGAGGAGAGGTGTCACAGCTGAAGTCCCCGGAGTTTGGACCCCCAGCCTGTCCAGGTAGCTCCTGGGAGAGCACCCAGGGCTACAACTTCCCAGCAGTGGGGAGGTCCCCTGGGCACCAGAACAAAGACCCCTTTACTCCAGGCTCCACCCTCAGAGGCCATGGGTTCCTGGACTTTGGTCTTTCTCAGTCACCAGCTAGTGCCAGTGGCCTCTACTGCAGGGGTCAGGAGGCTGTCCTGAGACATGGCAAGAAGGACTGGCAGGGTGTTGAGAGGTCCCAGGGTGGGATGGCCCCAGAACGCCCTGCTGGCGGTGGCCCTCAGGGGAAGCAAATTTCTGCCTTGCCCTGTACCCATTCAGACAGCCCCTGCATCAAGGGGCCCTGTGGAGACACTGGCTGAGCCCAGGGACTGGGACCTTGCAGAGAAGAGGCATAGATCTTCCCTCTCCGGGGTTACTGGAGCTGGGCCATGGTCCTGGATGGGGCAGAGTCCTGGTGTTGGAGGGGGCGGGGCCATGATGCTGGATGAGGCGGGGCCATGGTGCTGGATGGGGTGGCCCCTCTCCCCGCAACCACAGCAGCAGCCTTCTCCTTCCAGTGCCCTCTACGATGCTGTCCCCTGACTCCGGCACCATGGTGCTACCTCCTCTGGCATCACAATTCTGCCTCACCAGTACCACAGCCTCGCCTGCAGGGCCATGGCCCCAGAGAGTGGCCACTGCCTCACTGGCTATGAGTGTGGGTGGGGCCTCCTTCATCACACTCAGAGAAGAGGGATCCTGGGCTTCACCGGATGAACCTGGCAAGGGGTGGGGGTGGGTTGACCACCAGAGAGAGGTGGCCCCCACTGTACCACATCCCTGCAGTGCCCCCCGACAAGCCTCTGAGGGGAGGCCCCCCGACAAGCCTCTGAGGGGAGGCCCCCCCATCCTCCCCATTTTCCGTGAGGAGCCTGAGTGAGCAAGGGGCGGAGGCGACCCTTACCCCAGAGCGAGGTGGCTGCGTCTCCCCGCCCTCCCTGCACTCCCCTTTCGCTCGTGGTTCTCAGGGGCATTTGTCCTGGGGCCACCAGGGGAGAGGGGTCTGGCCCTCAGACTGTCCAGAAACGCCTGGTGGGGTGGGCCCCTGCCACCTGCCCCTTGCCCACACGGGGCAGGGCTGTCGCCTGCGCCCCTGGCAGCTCCAGCGCCCCGGCGGCCCTGGGCGAGCCCTGTCCCAGGTGCTGAAGGAGAGGCGCTGATCCCTCGGCTGTTTTGCTGCTCACTGATGCCCCCGCAAGGGCCAGGGAGGGTCAGGAACGACTTGGGTCTGAGAGTGCCCCTGGGCCCCCCTGGGGAGCTGGTGTGTGTGTGTGTGTGTGTGTGTGTGTGTGTCCCAGTCGACAACCAGTGAGGAACTGAGGCCTCTGCCAGACGCTGTGTGAATAAGCTTAGAAGCAGACGCCTCCTCAGTGGAACCCTCAGATGACCCAGCCCAGCTGGCACCTCTACTGTAGCTCAGAGCCACCCTGAGCTGAGCCCCTTCTGAGTTCCTGATCACAGAGACCAAGTGAGGGTACAAACAGTTCCTGCTGTCTGGCACTCCTTGGTTCTGGGAAATTTGTTGCACTGACTGGCATGGGATCGGGTAGGCCACCCTCCACCTCCAGGGGCATTCACTCAGTGGTTTCATGCCCCAGAGCCCCCTGTGAGACCAACTGAAGCTGGCTTCTGGCTAAGAACAAAGCCTTGCCGAGCTCTTCCCCCCTCCCGGTTCTGCTTCTCCTGAGAGACTCCCTTAGTAAAGCTCTTGAACAAAAGGCCCCATTGTATGCTCTCCTTCCAGGGAGTCTGACCTGAGACAGTGGCTGTTCTTGGCAGGGTTGACCATCGCTCTGCAGGATCCTGGATGATGAGAGTGGTCTCCCTCTGGGGTCTGCCTCTGAAATGGTGCTGAGAGATGGTTCCTCGTGGGTGTCTCATGTTTCTGCACATGGCCAAGTTTGTTCTGCTCAGGGCTGGACCCAGCACTCCCCTCGCAGAAATGGAAGTGGGGTAGGGGTGGGGGGCGAGTAGCATCGAGCCATCGAGCCAGGCCCTGAGCAGAATAAACATGGTCAACGTGGTTGAAGACCCAGGCCCTCCACCCTTGTTCTGCCAGAGCAAGAGGTGGGCTTTCCTTGGGAGGAGGCTGAGAGAGCGAGTGTGGGGACAGGTGGAGAAGGGGACTTGCTTCCCAACTTGTATCACAGCTGGAATCAAGGGACCTGGGTCCCTGCTCTCACCAGGCTGGGAGCACCAATGCCAGCAGAGGGTGGGAGTCCTGGGTGCTAGAGACACTGGAAGGAGGCTACTGTTGATGGGGCTCCTTCGGGGCACCCACCTAGACCCCAGTCTTCTTCTCTGTGAGGTGGCTGGAAGGTCCCTGCCCAGCTCCCCACTCCCTGGTGTCCCAGTTCTCAGGGTGTTTGCCCCTCCCTGAGGCTGAGCCATCCCTGGACCCCTGCAGCTCTCAGCACTTCCTATATCCGGCAAAGTTCACCTGCAAACAAACCAGGAACTCCTCAACATCAAGGTGTGATGAGTCACCTATGGACTTCCCCAATGCCCCCTGTCACCAAAGGAAGTCTCCAATAAAGCATTGTTGAGCAAAAAAAGATAAATCAACATGAGGGCTCCTTGCTAAGCAAACTAAGAGTGAGCAAGGAATCCGACTCACTAGCTGAGGGTCTGGCAGAGGAGCTTGACTCCCTGGGACCTCACACCTTAGAGTCATCCCATCTCTGATCCCAGGGATGTATTCCTTTCAGAGCCTCTTGACCCTTGCCTGGACAGAGAGGAAAGGAACAGAGTCTTCCGGGCTTGCACAGCTGCCCACTGGCCCATCACCTCCCCATCCACTCCTCAGGAGTCGCTCAGGTTTTGTCCTGAGACCCCAGCAGCACCAGTGACCTCTCGTTCTGGGCTCCAGAGTCTCTGGTGCACACTTCTAGAGCCCCTGGAGGGCTGTGCCCTAAAGATCTGCTCATGTCAGATTCTAGGAGGACTGCAGTTTGGGCTTATCCATTCTTGGGCCTTAGGAGGGTGGATGGGTGGGTGGGGCAGAAGCTGGGTGGGGGATGAATTTCTAGATGGGAGAGTGGAAGGTTAGGGGTAGGTAAGATGGGTAGATGGGAGAATGATTACACTGATCATGGTATTAACAGTTACACAGATGATGAGTATGGCCACAATGGGAAGTTGGGCCTGGAGCGTATTGGTGTTGAAAGTGACGGGGGTTGTAGTTTCATTGTAATGGGGTGATGATAAAGATAAAAGTGAGGGCAATGAGGATTATGTTAATGAAGATGATGATGGGAAAGATGACCATGCTAGCGCTGACGATGATAATGATGATGATCGTGTTGAGGTGGAGGTGATATTAATGGTAGCAATGATGGTGACGGTGTTGTAATGAAGGTCATGAGAATGACAGTGGTAAAAATGGTGATAATCATGATAGTGTTGTTGAACTCATGAGGATGATGGTGATGATGGTTGTGATGGTGATGCTGCTGCTGCTAATAATAATGGTGTTGATATCACTATCAATTATAGTGATAGTAATGACTGTGATGATGACAGTGATAGTGATGATGATGGTGATGATGGCAATCATGATGATAGTGGTGGTGGTGTTGATGGTGATGGTGATGATAGTAATGGTGATGGTTATGATGGTGAAGATGATATTATCCATCATAGTGTTAATGATGGTGGTGGTGATGATGATGATGGTTGTGATGGTGAAGACAATGATTATATTATTATCCATCATGGTGATGATGATGGTGGTGATGATGATGGTGATGGTGATGATGATGGTGATGGTGGTGATGATGATGGTGATAGTGATGATGAAGATAATGATGGTGATGGTGATGATGGCAATGGTGATGATAATGGTGATGGTGGTGATGGTGATGATGATGATGGTGATAGTGATGATGGTGAAGATAATGATGGTCATGGTGATGACGATGATGGTGATGGTGGTGATGGTGATATCACTATCAATAATAATGATAGTAATGATTATGATAATGGCGATGCCGATGCTCATATGATGGTAATAGTTATGATGGTGAAGACAATGATGATATCATTATCTGGGATAGTGATGATGATGGTGAGAGTAATGACAGTAATAACCATCATGGTGATGTCAAAGGTGATAGGTTGGGGGTGGTAATTGAGGGCATTTGTGTCAGTGTTGGAATTGGTGGTGGTGGTGACATTTGGTTTTGGTGGAGGCAATGAGGGCGTTGGCCAGGTGGGTGTCATGGGTGGTAATGATGGTAGTGACTATTGACTGTCAGGCTCTGAGGCCACAAGTGGACTGACAGCTCTTCCTAAAACTGGCTTAGCTGACTGTCTACAGATTTAGACCATGCCTTCTTCGGGGCTGTTGTGGGCTGGCAGGGGACATTCCCTTTAGTTTCTGAAAGGCTGCCTTCCATGGAGGCTGTGGAATGGACTCAGGCCCCTCCCTATCAGCCCAGAAAGAGAGACCAGGGCTGAGGGCCGGTATGACCCATTGCCAAGGCAGTTTTCGTCTCTCCGGCCTCTTGTAGGCATTTGTGGGAGAGAGAGTGTTGTTTTCTCCAGAGTCAGGATGGAGTGGAGATGACAACCCCATTCCTGGATGTTCCACTTGTCCTCAGATTGTACCCTGGGCAGGTGACATGGCTTAATGTTCCCAGTGTCCATTGAAGAAATCTGAGGCCAGAGAGGGAAAGTGACCAGGTTGAGCTCAAAGCTGAGTCCCTGCTCCTGAGACCTCCCTTTCCCAGGGACCTCTCTGTCTGGGGCAAGCCCACCTTGTGTGGCAGGCTCTTCCCTAATTGAGGAGTCACACTCCTGGATTCTGTGCCCACTTCTGCCCCCTCCTCTCTGGGGGCCCCTCCCTGCCTCAGCAGGCTCACCTGTAAGGGGGAGGGGGTCCAATACCTGTACAGTGCTTCTGCACGATGCCTTTTCTTGGCGGGTCCAGCCAAACCTGAAGAAAGGAGGGTGGGAGAGAAGGAGAGAGAGGGAGAAGGAGTCAGAAAAAAGTATAATGAGTCATTGGTTCAGCTGGTAGGTGGCTTGGGCTTCCAAGCAGATAGTCGCAGAGAACAAGATTCTGTGCCAGTCTCCAGTAGGACGGCATCTGCCCCTCCCATTGATGAATAAAGCCATGCAGTAATGTCACTCGGCACTGTCCATAAGCATGCCACTCTGCTGACTAATTCTTTTTAATTAGAAACAAGAAGGGCAAAAAAGTGTTGTCCTTGGGAAGCTTGACAAGCGTGGGTTTCAGAGGCTGAGCTGCTGCTGCCCACCACTGCTCCTGGACTCTTGGGTTCCCTCACCATCCTGGAAGTAGAGCTCAGCCAGGGCTAAGTCTCAGATTCAGGCTGGGTGGTTCTGGGTCCCCCTAACTTGGCAAGAGGCTCAGCAAAGCAGCCTGGGAGTGGGGCAGCTGCTGTTCTCGCCCCTGGTGAGGTAGATGGGTATGACACCTGCACCTGCCCCCCAGCAGGCTCACTGAGTATCCCCGGTGGGGGCTGGGCCAGGTGCTGGTCATTCAGGCATGAGCAGGGCATGGTCTATGCCCTCAAGGTGCTCCCGGGCTGGTGGCACAATGAGCATTCAGGGGTGCCCCAGGTCTGTGGGAGCCCAGGGCAGGAAATGTGTCTGAGTCAGAGGGCATCCTCCATGCAGGAACTTGGAGCTGGCCCTTGGCGGACACAGGAGGAGCCTCAGGAACAGACATGGTCTGCAGCACCCTTGAAGTGTTCCTCATCGCCCCCATAACCTCCTGCCAGTCTGCCTGTGCCATATGCCTGCTTGGGCTGGGAGAGGCTTGAGGGCTGTGGAGTTTTCTCAATAGGAGACCCAGCCCAGGGCCAGTGCAAACCCATACCCAATGATAATCATTGTAATAACAGCCGAAGAGTGACGTGGAACAAGCGCTTTGTGTGCCAGGCTCTGCCTGACCTAATCCTTGCTGTCCGACTGCCAGGTGGGCGCTGTCACCACTGCGATGATTACTGCAGCACAGGCAGGTTCTTGATTGTTGCTCAGCAACTTCACACCGAGAAGATTGAGAGTCAGAAGTCAGAACACAAAATGGCTATTTCAGCAAACACTTCGAAATTCATCAGACCCCTCAGCACTGGTAGCCCCAGAAAGAGAAACTTCTCTCTTTAGTGACAGCTTGTTTGAAGAAATGGGCTAGAAGCAAGTCTCCTCCAAGGCCAAGCTTGAAAAGCCTTCAGTGTGGCGGGGTCTTCCACACCCAGCTCTGGGTGCAGGAGCTGCTCACCAGCTGGGGTTTCATCTGATCTTTGAAACGAAGTGGAATCTTCCAGAGGCTTGGTGACAGAGCATCATCATTCTGATTGCTGGCTCAACTAAGCCATCCCATGAGCCATGCACTCTGGGAGACCCTCCACATGGCTGGGTGAGGAGATGGGGCTGCAGGGACTCACAGCCTAATCCATTGCCTCTGGAAAGCTAGGCAGCCAATATGATTTTCAGGGATTCCCTATTACAGGAAACAAGGTCTGAATTGGGATATCCTGTCCTTTCTGTGCCTTAGGAAAGTGGATTGAAAAACTTGCCCACAGACACTTAGCCAATAATGACTATGACCGGAATCTGAACCCAATACCTTACACTCAAAGCCTTACCCTCATCAGTAAAATCCATTGTCAGCCAGAAAGCAACCTGGAGTTGGGGTGCTCACATAATGAAGGTGGTGGTAGTGAGGGGGAAGTGGCAAGCACTGTGGTGTGGTGATGGTGACTGAGATGTTGATGATGGGAATAACAATGAGTAGTGGTAACAGTGGGAGGTCATGGTTATGAAGCGCTGACAGTGGAAGGTCACAGTTATGAAGGTGGTGACAGTGGGAGGTCATGGTTATGGGGGTGGTGACAGTGGGAGGTCATGGTTATGAAGGTGGTGACAGTGGGAGGTCATGGTTATGGTGTGGTGATAATGGGAGGTCACAGTTATAGGGGTGGTGACTGTGGGAGGTCATGGTTATGGGGTGTTGACAGTGGGAGGTCATGGTTATGGGGTGGTGACAGTGGGAGGTCATGGTTATGAAGGTGGTGACAGTGGGAGGTCATGGTTTTGAAGGTGGTGACAGTGGGAGGTCATGGTTATGGGGTGGTGACAGTGGGAGGTCATGGTTATGAAGGTGGTGACAGTGGGAGGTCATGGTTTTGAAGGTGGTGACAGTGGGAGGTCATGGTTATGGGGAGGTGACAGTGGGAGGTCATGGCTATGGCTGTGGGGTGGTGACTGTGGGAGGTCACGTTTGTGGTGTGGTGACAGTGGGAGGTCACGATTATGGGTTGATGGCAGTGGACACAGTGATGATGGAAATCTTTGGTGGTGCTGGCTATGACAGTTGCATTGATTAATAGTTGAAGTGGTGGTTTTGCTGGTGGTGGTAGGACTGCCTGGGGTAGTGGGGGAGAAAATGAGGTTGGTAGAGGTGGAGATGATGATAGGAAGTTTACCAGTAAGATGGTGGGTGTGGTGGGGATGTAACGGAGTTCCTGGATGGAAATGTTGGTGAAGAATGAACGTGGGGTGCTGCTCGTGGTTTGGTGTAGTGTGGAGAGTGTGGTTATGATGCTGTGGTGGAAGGGGCTGCGGTGGGGTGGTGGTGATGGGAGGCCATGGTGATGATGGTAGATGGGTGGTGATGGTGCTGATGGCAATTAAGATGATAATGGTGGCGGTGGTGGTGATCACAATGGTGGTGATAGTGCGAGGAGGCCATGCTGTTGATGGCAGTTGAGGGGGTGATGGTGGTGGTAGTGGTGATAGTTGTGGTGGTGGGAGAGTTGGTGGTTTTGATGGTGGTGATGGAGGTGATGACTGACAGTGGGGTTGGAGGAAGTGGTTGTGACAATAATTATGGCAATTCATGTGGGAACATTCAGCATTCAGGTCAGAGCCTGAGCCCCTTGTGGGAGAGCAGTAGACCTTGGTGAGCACGCCTCTGGGTGAGAATGGCATCTAGAATCTGGCCCACCCCTCCCACGGCCAGTAGCAGGGTTCCTGGGAGATTCATGGCTCCTGGAGCAGCTCCTGCTTATGAAAATTGGGCAACAGTGCACTCACCAGTGGCTATGTGCATACCTTAGCCTTCCGCCTCTGGCAAGGGTGGGCTCCTAGGGCTCCTGAGGCTGAACTGGGGGCCCTGGGGTCTCCGTGTCTCCATCCTGTGTTTTGGGGGACAGGCAACGCCTGGGCACTGAGAAGCCGCTTGGCTGCCCCCGGTTGCCCATCTCACCTCCTTCTCTCTGTCAGTCTCTGGGTCTCTGTCCCGCATATGGAAAACCTGACTTCCCAGGGCCGAGCTCAGTGTCTGGGGGAGCCTGACCTCCACCCTGAGGATCCCCAGATCTCCCAGGCCTGTGCAGACCCTGGAACGGGGCATCTCAGATCTGAGGGAGACCGTGGGTGCCAGGCAGGCCCTGGGGAGAGACTGAGGGCTCTAGGAAGGAGGAGCTCCCTGGGATGAGGGGCGGGGCTGTCAGGGCAGGGGAGGCCTGGGTGGAAGCCAAGCCACTCAGGTGCTTGTTCTCAGCTCCCTCAGGCAGGGAGGGCAGGAGGAGGGCTGAGGCTTTAGTCCTGGAGGTTTTGGAAAGGAAAGGGGCACATTCAGGTGGGGTTCAGTCTCCAGGAGTGGGTCTGGGGCCTGCAGAGGCTGCTGAGGGGTGTGGAGAGGCCCACATTTCTGGAGCTCAGTGGGGCATGCTTGTGGGGTGGGGTGCGGATCCAAGGGTGAAGCTGGAGGGGTATGCACCCCTCCCGCCCTGTGCCTTCTCCCTGACCGCCAGCTCTGGGGACAGGGTGTCTGTGGCGGTGAGACAACTGCCCCCATATTGGCCCTCACCTGCTCCCCCTCTCCTCTTGGGATCCACAGTCTGTGGGCCCAGCCTCCGTCTGGATGCCCTGAAAGGGCCTGGCCTCCCCTCTCCACTCCTCCTCTTTCTGGGGTGAGGAGAACGGCCACTGTCCTTAGGGAGGGCCGAGGGCTGGAGCCACAGAGGGACAGAAAGGGTTAGAGACCGACAGAGGGGGACAGAGCGGGACAGAGAGGCAGGACAAAGACGAGGCAGGGGCAGGGAGAGACAGGGCGGGGGGAGAGGTAGAGAGATGGAGAGACAGGGACCACTGAAAGAGGGAGACAGGGACGGCTGGAGACCGCGCGAGGCGGGGCGCGGCCAGCAGGTGGCGTGCAGGCCTCAAGGCGTCCGCTAAGCCCTGGACCCAGTACGGAGGGAGGGCTGGCAGGACCAGGCCCAGGAGAACAGCCCAAGCTGCCAAAGGCCGGGGAGCCTGAGGACGGCCTGGGGGTCCCAGAGCCCTTCCTTCAGACACCTGCACGTGGATCCAGGCTTGCCAGCTGTGAGCAGAGCAGCCCCTGCCCGGCTCGGTGCCCTGACCCAGCCTGAACTCGCAGCCCAGTTTCCTCTGCTGCCCCTGAGGCACCCTGCTCTTCTCTTGGGCGGGCCCCACCCTCAGGTGCTGCCTCTCCACTGGGGATCTGATCCCCAGTCTGACTTGGCCCAGGAAGGAACAAATGCATTTTTAGAGGACTCTGTGACATTTGAGTTTCATAGTCCCTGGAGTGGGGAGCAGAGGGCAGGCTTGGTGCACCCCCTCCTCTGTGATCTCAGCAATTCCTGACCCTTTGGGGCCTCAGAGGTCACTGGCCTGGGAGAGGGAAAAAGGGAGAGGAGAAGGCCCCTCCTGGTACCCTTTCCAGGGACAGTGAGAGAAGTCCAGTGGCTAGGGCGGGTGCTGACCCCACCCTGACCTTCCCTGACCCACCCACCACCCAGGCTGCTCAGAGGCTCAGCGCCAGCGTGCAGTGACCAGGCGGTGTCAGAGAGATGGATGCGCTTCTGCCAGCTGCCTCTCCACCCCTGGGCTCCCCCGGCCTGCCCAGGGCTCTGCAGCCCCCTCAGCCTGCCATGCCCTCCCAAGCCCCAGATCTGCCACCGGATGCACCTTAGGACCAAGATGCAACAGAGGGACATGGGCTCACATGGCCCTGGTCCTGCCCATGCAGACCACCCAGGCTTCTCACCAGTTGAGCCTCCCCAACTGGCTGCCCCACGGTCAGCTCAGAGGGTTTCCTGAGGACACCGGCCCGGCTCTTGGGAGCAGCAGATGGCAGCAGGCTGAGGACTGGCGGCCTCAGGGCCAGGAGAGCCTGAGTACAAATCGCAGCTCGGTCATTCACTATGGCCCGGGTTCCCCGGCATACCCCTTGCCTTCTCTGTGCCTCAGTTTCCTCATCTGTAAAGTGGGGTGACACTGATCACCCTCCCGGCTGTTCTGAGACTCAGCAAGGTGCCCGGCACACAGCAGGGCCCTCCTTGTCTCACCACAGGACCTCTGCTGCCACCTGCTTTTCCAGAAACACACAGCACAGTGGGCTCCCCACCCCCACCCTAGGACCAGGAAGGAGACCCTGGTAGGAGGGACCAGTGGCATAATGGCTGGGGCCCAGCACAAAATGAAAACAGAGGCCCTTTGTCCAAAAATGAATCAAAATCGCACAGTGCTAAACCCGGCACGGCTCCTCTGAGCTCAGGGACCAGCGTGACCACCCAAGCCGCCAGCCCTGTGTCCCATCACACTCCCCACTGCTGAGCCTCATGAGTGAGCTGGGGGTGCTCAGGGCAGATGCGGGCACCCATGGTGTCTGGGGATGTGGTGCTGGGACCTGGCGAGGAGGAGGCTCTGCCCTCTGGGTCTCAGCATCTCCCTCATCTCCTAGGGAAGGCAAGACCTTGGAGAGAAGCTGACCCAACTCCCAGCACCTGCTGGCGCTCAGTAGGCAATGACTGTCCCCATCTGTGAGCCCCGAGCCATGTCCAGTGCAGAGCCAACTCCCTCTGCCTCAGGAAGGGTCCCTGGGAATTTGTGGGAGCCTAAAGGGCCACTAGGCAGGGCCGGGACCTCTTGGGACAGGGGTGCCTCCCGCCGCCCTCTGCTGCCTGCCCCTCCCGTGGTGCTGTGCCCTCGTGAGGCCCAGGGCCTGGGAGCAGGGGATGGTGATGCCAAATCCCAGGAGCACAGCAGCCTGCGGTGTCATACGGGAGCCAAGGCAGGGCTGCATGACCCCTGGCTCCTGACCTCCCAGCCGGGGTCCCAGGTTGTCCAATCCTGGTAGGGCTGGGGCTGGGCGGGGGGCCCTTCAGGCCAGCACCTCAGAGAGCAGGCGGGCGGGCGGGTGGTGCAGAGTCTGCATGCGTGAGGAGCTCCTGGGCGCGTCACAGCCGCGCTATTCTCAGCGTCTCTCCTTTTATGGCTCCGGAAGTGAGCTGGGGTTGCTGGCAGCCTGGCTGGCACTGGGGAGAGATTGAAATGGAGATGCAGAGAACAGCAGGAAAGCGCAGCCATCAGGGTGGGGGCAGCGTACAGTCCTGGACGCCACCCCCTCCCTGGCACGGGCATCCTGAACCCCCAGCTCTGGGGGCGTCTGGCCTGGCCAGCTGGCAGTGAATCCTTCGTCCTGATTTTGGGGCAGCCACCCTCAGGGTTCCTGCAGCACAATCTGGGCCAGGTGGGCGTCCAGGGAGGTGTGGGGTGGGCACACGGCCTGGCTGGGGACCCAGTGTGGGGGAGCGCCAGGCTCCAGCCCCCCCAGGCCGGACTCCAGTGGCTCCTTACAAGTCCCCCTCATGCTCGTCCCCAGGTCCGTGATGGCAACCTGACACTGGGGACCCCCAGCTCCCCCTCAGCCCTGGCCCCCTAAACAGCTCTTAAACCCAGCAAAGCCACTCCCCATCTGCCTGTCCCTCTCTGCCCCCACTGTCCTCCCTTTTCCATCCTCCCCACCAGCTCCAGGCTGGCATCCTGGCCAAGGTGAGGCAGGCCCCAGACCTATCCCTCCCCTATCTCCCCTGCCTCCAGGCTCTGCCCTCTTTGGAAAGAACCCAGATGCCCCCCTGCTCCTCCTTGGCCCCCCACACCACCCTCTTCACAGATGCCCTTCCTCACCTGCCCACTGCTGGCCTCCACACCTCGGGGGTCAGAGCATCTCCAATGGAGCCAGAACCAGGTTCCGTGTGCCCAGGGCAAGCTCAGGGCACACCCCAGTAGGTGTGCAAGAGACGGGTACCCTGGCCCACCCACTCACACACACACTCACATACACACACAGTCACACACACACTCGTACACTCACACACATGCACACACACACACAGAGACATGCAGGAAGACTGCATTTGTGCTCAGGGGCTCCTCTGGTAGCACACACAGGGGAGGCCAAGGCACGCAGAAGACTCAATCAACATGGAACGAGGAGGTCAGGAAGGCTTCCTGGAGGCGGTGACGTTGGGCCCAGGTTCAGACAACACTTACAGCAAAGCCGACTCTTTATGCTTAGGCGTTAACACCAGGACGTTTGTCAATTGCACAGAGGGTGGTGGGCAGTGGAGTGGACGGGGCATTCTGGGTGGAGGGAGGCTGGTGATCCAGGGCCCATGGGCTCCTCCTCACCCTCTGCCACACCACCCAAGCTGAGAGGGACCTCAGCCTCCATTCAGTCCACTCTGCCCCTGTGGACAAGGACGTGGGGCCAGAGAGGTTGAGCGGCTTGCATGAAGTCACACAGTGCCTTGTGGAGATGCACGATGAGCGGTGCCTGGTTCTTCATCCCGTGCTCAGACCAGGCTGGAGGCACCCGCTGTGAGGCGCCTCCTGAGCTCAGCCCCGCCTGCTGTTCCTGCCAGCACACCTGTCTCCCCATGTGCACCCAGGATCTGCTCCTGCAGTGCCCAGATGGCCCTCCTCCCATGTCCCAGCGTGGGCAGTGCCAGTCAGAGGGGACCAGCCTGACCCCCCAGCAAGAGCACCCGGAAGGAAAGAGCTGGCGGTGTTCTTTGCAGAGCTCTGGGTGGGGCGACTTGCTGGTGCTGATGGGTGGCAAAGCCTGCAGGGGGCATGGTGATGCCCAACCCCTTATTTTATGGGGTGCTCTGCACCTCTTTGCACTCCACCCCCTCCCAGGGTCATGCCTCCATCTGGCTTAGTACCTGCCAAGCCTGTCTCGGGCACTTTTGTTGACGGAATGACTGATCACCGCACCGACGGGGCAGGGCGGAGCTGGAGCTTCCTGGGAGCACTGCCTCAGTGAGGAAACTGAGGCCAGAGAGGGCGTGGAGGCTTAGGGAACTCACCTACAGTCACACAGGAAATGGAAGTGTCCATGGGACACCTCTGGGAGGTTGGAGGTCTCCCCAAGACCCCAGAGACCCCAGACACACTTCCTGCCGTGGCTCTGGCCTTCCTTGCTGTGTGGCTCAGGCTAATCCCTGGCCCTCTCTGGACCTCGATTTCCCCTTCCGTGCATGGCTGGGGTGGCGGTGGTGAGGAGCGCATGTCCCTTGTCTGCCCATGGTCGGTGGAGGCCTGGGCTCTCGTGACCCCACCGGCCCTGAAGGGACGCCTGTGCAGCTAGGCCAGACTGGCTGGAAAAATACAGAACTTTCCTTGGAGGCTGGACTGGGAGGCGCTGAGGCAGGAGGCAGGAAGGAGGAAGGAGGAAGGAGGAGGGTCTGGTGTGTGGGGGCCCGGAACGAACAGGCTGCTTGTTCCAGGGACAGGGACGCAGCAGCACAGAGCCTGCCAACAGGAGAAGAGGAAGGAAGGAGCAGTTGTGGGGGGGGGGGGATGGTGGGGGTGGGGGGCAGAAAGAATGTTCCCGCAGCCCCAGGGGCTGGGGAGGCTGCAGAGGCTGCAGAGGGAGGGGGTGTCGGAGGCCCCTAGGCCCACCCGCCCTGCACCCATCTCCCACTGGCCCCCAGGCCATCAGCTTCCATCTTCTGCACCAGTGCCAGAGCCAGCCCACTCCTTGGGGCCCCTCTCATCCCTCAGGGTCTTTCCCAGCCCTTGTTGCCACCTTGGGAACACCAAGCACTGTGCCCATCACCGATGGGGGTCTCCTAAGAACCCTGCCCCATTCCACCCTGGTCCCCTCCAGGGCTCTCACAGAGGCTGTCGGGCTGCAGCAGCTATGAGGCTGGAGGTCGGGCAGCTGGGTTGATGGACGACGGCCTCAACTCTGTCACTTGCCCGCTCAGCAGCCTGGGGCAGGTCCTCCCACCCCTAAGGACCCCTGTGGAACCTGAGGCGAGAGCATCTACCTGGGTGGCCAAGCAGGAGCAGCTGCGCCCCGGCCTCTCCTCTGCCCCTCTACTTTCCCACCTCAGTCCTTTGTGCCTCCTTGGTCTTTTCCCCAGGCTCAGTCCTGGCCTGCTGTGCACCCCCCCATGCTCTGGAGGTGGACTGGGACCCTCATCCTCAGCTCTGCTCTCTGCCTACCCTGGCCCGTCCCCACTGCAGGTGGCCCTCAGGACGGAGACAGCAGGGCCCTGGTGTCCTCCAGCTGCCTGGACCCATATCCGCCAACTGCCCCTGCAACTCGCCACCAGGTCTGTGCCACCACTGCAGGAGCGACACTGGGGGCGGACGCTGGCCAGGCCTCAGAGAACAGAGGAGGTGGGCAGGGCGAAGAAGCCCCCAGAACCTCTCCTGAGGAGCTGAGGGCGGGGCCCCGGCCACTTCTCAGGCTCCAGACTGGCACTGACGAGAGGCTCCGGCAGGAACGGCTGGGAGAAACCTCGCCAGACCAGGTGGCACGAGGCCAGGGATGAGGCTCCTGGAGCCCCGGAGCTCCCGGCCACCCCTCGAGGCCTTGGCATTGCCACCCACTTTACGGATGGAAAGCTGAGGCTCAGGTGAGCAACTGTCCAATGTTTCCTGACTAGAAAGGAATGGAACAGGAACCATTCCAGCCCTCAGACCCCTCGCCAGTGTCTGCTCTGGACCAGGCCCTGCTTACACTCAGGTGTTCACCTATGGGCACCACCTGTAGGGTGGTGCAGGGACTCAGCCAGGCCAGGCAGCTGGGACAGCCTTGCCCTGTGCCTGCGAGGAAGAGGCAACAGGAAAAGAGGATACCTGGGGTGGGAGTCCAGCCTGGGAGCCCAGCGAGGTCAGAGGTCAGCAGCTCCTGCAGCCTGTGGAGCCCTGGGCTGGACAGCAAGGGACACCCGGTGGGAGCAGGTGGCTGAGAGGCTGGCCTCCAGGTCTGGCCATGCAGCCTGGGCAAGCAATGGGCACCCTGAGGGCATAGGGCAGCCTGGTTCTTCTCTTCCAGCCCCACCGGGCAGTAGATGGTGACAGATGAGGCCACAAGGCTGGGGAGTGGTCACATGTGGGGGGCGGGTGCCCGAACCAACCCCTGGGACTGCCTCATTCCTTCTCTGCTGCCGGCTCCTCACTCCACGCAGCCCACACAGAAGGGCAGCAGGAGCCCCGGAATGTGTGCAAAGGGTGGGGTGGGCAGGTGTGTGTGGCCAGCAGTGGGCAGGTGAGGAAGGGCCTTTATGAAGACAGTGATGTGGGGGGCCAAGGCAGAGTTGGGGGCCCTCTGGGTTGTTTCCAAAGAGGACAGAGCCTGGAGGCAGGGGAGATGGGGGAGGTGTGTGCCTCTGCGTGTGCCCATGTGTTTGCGCATGTGTGTGAGTGGGGGTGGGTGTGAGCTCTGGCCTGAAGGGGCCTGTGGTTGCCTCTCCCTGCTGAGCAGCGCTAACTGCCGGCACCCGAGATCAGCAGGGCCAGCCTGGGGGAGCAGCAGGATGCCCCAGGTCAGCAGCTGCCCTGTGAACGCTCCTGGCAACCCAGAAAGGCCCTGCCGGAGTGGGTCAGCCAGGGCTGAGACAGTCTGGGGCTGCGGGGAGAGAGCTGACTCCCTTTGCTCTGATCAGGCAGGAGCAGAGGCGGCTGGGCACCCCAGAAGGAGAAGGGAG
This sequence comes from Homo sapiens, assembly GCF_000001405.40. Lineage (NCBI taxonomy): Eukaryota > Metazoa > Chordata > Mammalia > Primates > Hominidae > Homo > Homo sapiens. Next base: position 142,617,608 of record NC_000008.11, on the reverse strand, counting down.
GCCCAAGGCACAGGGTGGCCCCTGCCTTTCAGAGCAGGTACCCGCACGCCTCTGGGAACCTAGGTGGTGGGGGCTCAGGAACCAGCACTAAGAGGTCCTTCGAGGCTGTCGTGAGCCTGGTGGAGATCTCAACCGTGAACAGAACCTGGGGGTCATGGGCTACCCCACCCTCCCCTGCAGGACCCCTCCTCTCAGGCAGGTGGGGCCTCAGAGTGGTCAGACCTGCGCAGCAGCAGACCAGGTTGGCTTTGAGAGTGGGGATCCCCCAGGTGCTCCCAATCTCCTTGTGCAGGTCTAGCCCCCACCCCCTTCCCCTGTTCCTTCCCCCACCTGCATCCCCAAGCCATGCTGCTCCAGTGGCTGTCAGGGACGGGCACGGGGTGGGGGTGGGCTGGAGAGAGGAGCAGGGCAGGCCCCTGTCAGGAGAGGCCCCCGCCCCAGGTGGATGGGAGTCAGCCTGGCCTCCTTTCCCGAGGCTGCAGTGCGGGGGTTTGGTGAGGGCTTCTGGGGCGATAATTGGGCAGCGATTAAGCGTTCCTGGCAGCTGCGGCTGTTGCCTGTCACCGGTCAGCTCAGGCCTGCATTCACAGCCTCTGCAGACCCTGCTGGAGGGGGTTGGGGAGGGGAAGACGGGGCTCCGCGTGGCACCCCCGACGCTGCCTGCCCTCGTGCCATCCAGGGCAGGCACTGTGCTCTCCCACCGGTCTCGGCTTGGCCACTTCTGGCTTGCTGTTTAGCAGGTGACAGGGGTGGTGATGGGCCACGGGGCATTGAGCAGAGGACGCCAGGATTCCTCACCAAGGGCCTGGCTCCTGCCCAGCCCTGCCTTGCTCACCGGGCCACCTTGGGCACTCACCCTTCTCCAGGCCTGGCTCCCTCCACACAGGTGAGGGAACTGAGGCAGCGGCACCACCTATGACCTTGGCTCACGTGTCCCCAGTCCTGCCTCCTTGTCAGCTTGCTGATGCCTTGGGTGGGGGTGGCAGCTGGAGGCCACTGCTGGCCAGAGGCCTAAGAGCTGTGCCCTGGCGGGGACGTCAGAGGCCACACGGGCTTGTAAACCCTGGCGGGGCTGGCCCCTGGTCATTGAAGTGCTGGCTCTCACAATGGACACACATGCACGGTCAGTGCCCAGCACCCAGACAACACCTACAGGCTCAGGCTGGCCCCAACCCGGACATGTGGCCCTCGGTGACCGCTGGCTGCACTCACCCAAGGCTGCTGGCGTCTGCCCGTCCCGCATGTGCCCACCCAGCTCCTCTCCCTGGGATTCCGCAGTGGAGAAGCGGGAAGGTCCCTGTGCTGGAGACTTCTCTGCCTGGCTCCCCCTCCCAGCTCCGCGGTGCCCCTCCGCCCTCCCTTCTCTGTCCGCCCACTTACCTTTAATTAGAAATGCCAGGAGAGCCATTTTTGGGGAGTTTTTTTGCCAGAAAGACATTCCCCCCCAGGGGCGGAAGGAAGGAGGAGACAGACTGGCTCTGAGGCTGGGAGAGGGCTCCCCGGGAGAGCCGGTTGGGGGGGGGCTCAGAGGGTTGGCAGGGAGGGGGGATTCCAGCAAGTGGGCACCTGTGTGCCCTTGAGTGCCTGAATAAGACAGGGGATGCTGGGGGGAGCTGAGGGCTGTGAGTGGGGGGTATGAGTGTGTATGTGGGAGCTATGAGTGGGGGGTATGAGTGTGTATGTGGGAGCTATGAGTGGGGGGTATGAGTGTGTGTGGGGGCTGTGAGTGAGGGCATGAGTGTGTGGGGTGGGGTTAGAGTGGGGGCTATGAGTGTGTATGTGGGGGTGTGAGTGTGCAGCATGTGTGTGTCTGAGAGAGGGAAAGGGCAGCTGGCAGCAGGAACAAGATGTCTTGATTGTCAGCGATGATGTCCTCATGGCCCTCTGGCTGTGGGGAATGGTGTGTGTCACCCCTGCCTGGGTAACATCAGAGGACCTGAGACCCATGCCTATCCAGCCAGCACTGGAGTAACTCAGGAAGGGCGTCCCTACCCCCGCCAGGTTGCCAGGGAGGCAGAAGGGACCTCCCTCCCGAGGGAGTCTCGGCTTCCGGAGCCCCGCTCCTTATATGGTGCTTGGCTTCCCTCTGCCTCTCCTGATGGCACTGTGCTGCCAGCACCGGCCCCCCTCCCTCTCCCTCCTCGCCTCTCCTCCCTCCCCTTCTCCTTTCCCTCCTTCCACCTCCCTCCCTGTCTCCCTCTCTCCTCCCCTCTTCCATCCCCTTAGAAGTCTTGGAGCCTCTGGCCAGGTTCTTGATATAGCCAGGGTCTTCAGGGCCCAATTCCCTTCACTGGGGGCTAAATGTCCCCTCCATGTCCTCCAAACCCCAGCCCCCCAGGTAGCAGCTGCCAGATTTCCCTGGAAACACAGAAAAGTATTGGGCCTCACCAGAGACCTGCGTATGGGGGCATGGGGCAGCCCTGTCCAGTCACTGCCACGTGGGCCCCTGTCACCCATGCACACCAACGCCAGGGCCAGGCAGAGCGAGCCTCTGCCTGGCTGTGCGTCCCTCACACAGAGCCCAAGACCTGGACTCAGGACCCGGGCAGGAGTGAGTGGGAGCTCAAAGCCACATCTGGGAGCTCACATGGAGACTTGCTGAGCCCCTGGGCACAGAGGCTGATGGTGAGGGTCCTTCCCGGGCTCAGCTGCACATCCTGCAGAGCTGGGTGGGCGGGGTCAGGGGCAGTGAGGACCCAGGAGAGCAGTGGCCAGCGCCAGCCCCCTCCAGCCCCGCAAAGAGAGAGGCGAGTGGAGAGGAGGAAGGCCACCTTGGGACCCTGGGAGGCAGCAGATGACAGCCCGCCCAGCGCCCGGGAGGGGGCGTGGGAGGGGCGCCCAGTGCCCGGCTCAGTCCCTCGGTCCCCGCAGGCTGAATGAGCCCCGCCGTCCGGGGTGGGAGGTACGGAGCGGAGGGATTAGTCATCCTGGCCCCGCCATGTGTGCAGGGGGTGGGACCTCCCGTCCCTTGCCGCCCGGGAGCCGAGTGGGCGCAGGGCGGGGCCTGCAGGGGCGCGGGCGGGGCGCTGGCGGGGAGCCTGCGGCTGGGCCAATGAGAAACCGGGCTCGGCGAGCCGGCCGCCCACGGGCCTCGCTGGCTGCATAAAGAGCCGGCGGCCAGGACTCAGCGCAGAGCTCGGGCGCGGCGTCCTCCCTCCGCAGCAGCCGAGCCGGACCTGCCTCCCCGGGCGTGCTCCGCCGGCCCCGCCGCCGGCCCGCAGCGACAGACAGGCGCTCCCCGCAGCTCCGCACGGGACCCAGGCCGCCGGACCCCAGCGCCGGACCACCCTCTGTCCGCCCCGAGGAGTTTGCCGCCTGCCGGAGCACCTGCGCACAGATGGAGCTGGACCACCGGACCAGCGGCGGGCTCCACGCCTACCCCGGGCCGCGGGGCGGGCAGGTGGCCAAGCCCAACGTGATCCTGCAGATCGGGAAGTGCCGGGCCGAGATGCTGGAGCACGTGCGGCGGACGCACCGGCACCTGCTGGCCGAGGTGTCCAAGCAGGTGGAGCGCGAGCTGAAGGGGCTGCACCGGTCGGTCGGGAAGCTGGAGAGCAACCTGGACGGCTACGTGCCCACGAGCGACTCGCAGCGCTGGAAGAAGTCCATCAAGGCCTGCCTGTGCCGCTGCCAGGAGACCATCGCCAACCTGGAGCGCTGGGTCAAGCGCGAGATGCACGTGTGGCGCGAGGTGTTCTACCGCCTGGAGCGCTGGGCCGACCGCCTGGAGTCCACGGGCGGCAAGTACCCGGTGGGCAGCGAGTCAGCCCGCCACACCGTTTCCGTGGGCGTGGGGGGTCCCGAGAGCTACTGCCACGAGGCAGACGGCTACGACTACACCGTCAGCCCCTACGCCATCACCCCGCCCCCAGCCGCTGGCGAGCTGCCCGGGCAGGAGCCCGCCGAGGCCCAGCAGTACCAGCCGTGGGTCCCCGGCGAGGACGGGCAGCCCAGCCCCGGCGTGGACACGCAGATCTTCGAGGACCCTCGAGAGTTCCTGAGCCACCTAGAGGAGTACTTGCGGCAGGTGGGCGGCTCTGAGGAGTACTGGCTGTCCCAGATCCAGAATCACATGAACGGGCCGGCCAAGAAGTGGTGGGAGTTCAAGCAGGGCTCCGTGAAGAACTGGGTGGAGTTCAAGAAGGAGTTCCTGCAGTACAGCGAGGGCACGCTGTCCCGAGAGGCCATCCAGCGCGAGCTGGACCTGCCGCAGAAGCAGGGCGAGCCGCTGGACCAGTTCCTGTGGCGCAAGCGGGACCTGTACCAGACGCTCTACGTGGACGCGGACGAGGAGGAGATCATCCAGTACGTGGTGGGCACCCTGCAGCCCAAGCTCAAGCGTTTCCTGCGCCACCCCCTGCCCAAGACCCTGGAGCAGCTCATCCAGAGGGGCATGGAGGTGCAGGATGACCTGGAGCAGGCGGCCGAGCCGGCCGGCCCCCACCTCCCGGTGGAGGATGAGGCGGAGACCCTCACGCCCGCCCCCAACAGCGAGTCCGTGGCCAGTGACCGGACCCAGCCCGAGTAGAGGGCATCCCGGAGCCCCCAGCCTGCCCACTACATCCAGCCTGTGGCTTTGCCCACCAGGACTTTTGAGCTGGGGCTGACTCCTGCAGGGGAAGCCCTGGTCCAGCTGGGTGCCCCCTCGAGCTCCGGGCGGACTCGCACACACTCGTGTCATCCAGATGTGAGCACCGCACCCAGCGGCAAAGAGCCCTCCCCCCTGCAGGGCTCCACCCATCACCCTCCCTCCGTCTGTCTTTCCGGCCTGGACCCCACCCTCCACACTCTCAGGCCATCACAGAACACCCCAGCTTCCTCATTCTGCTACAACACCCAGGCCCTCTGGACATCCAGAAAACCAAGTGTCCGGATGGCAGGGGCCAGCGGCCACCAAGCTCATGGGACACCCAGAGCAGAAGCTAGGGCAGAGCCAATGCTGAGGGAGCCTCGACTTCCGGCGCCGCCGCCCTCTCCCGGCATCCGCAGAGCCAGCTGACGCCCTCCCTGCCTCCCAGGGCAGCTGGCCAGCCTCGGGCAGCGCGGCCCCCTCCTCCCAGGGGAGAGTAGAAGTCGCACACGCAGCAGAGCAGACCTGATGTCCCGGTGCTTCCTGGCCCCTCAGGTGAGCCCCTGCCCCAAGGCAGTACCGGCTGTGGGGCATCTGAGAGCTGGCGGGATCCGGAGGCTGTTTTCTAGGAGAGCCCACTGAGGCTTGGGCCCCCAGCAAGTTAGCCAAAGGGATGGGGTGGGGCTGGCATCATGGAAGGGGGCATTGGGGAGAGTGGGCCGGGTGGGAGGCAGGGGCAGTTTGCTGAGCCAGCTCTCACATGGACCCGCGCTTTCTCTCCCCCAGCTCCAGTGATTCACGCCCGCCTGGAGAAGAATCAGAGCTCAGCTCATGACTCACCCATGGCAGGCGGAGGGTCCCAGAGGGGCTGAGTCCTCAAATCCGGCTGAGGCAGCAGCTGGCACCATCAGAGCCAGGAGAGTGACAACAGGTAACGGAGCACCACCCTTCCACCCAGACCCCACCATCAGCTGTCCCGGCCAAATGAGCTCCTCCCCAGACCCCAGACACCCTGCGGCCCAGGCCACTCCCCAGTGTTCGGGCTCGCTGGGAGGCTCTGACGGGGTCGGGGGGCCTCTGCCTTGGAAGACCAGCGCCATCCACCGGCCCCAGCCCCTCCCCATGGAGCCCTGGCTACTGTCCTGCGTGGTCCTTCACTGCCCACTCTCCTGTTCTTTCAGGTCTCAAGGTTCCCACAAAGTCTTTGCTGCTGTGCTGGGCACCACCCACCCCTCACCTTGCAGGCTGCCTGCGTGGGAGGCGAAGTCCCAGGACAGCCCAGAGGGGGGCTACAGAGAGGAGTCGGCTGCAGCAGAGGGCAGGAGCCCCAGCTTAGCCCTGAGCGCCAGCGCGAGGACCAGGGCCTGCCACTAAGCCCGCCCCGCTGGCCGCCAGCTGCCCGTCCCCAGAGCCACTGCAGCAGGAGTCGGGCCCTGCCTCCCTCCCAGCAGGGAAACCCCGCCCGCTGCCAGGCCATCCTCTCTGCCAGAGGCTTTCATGAGCCCCAAGGCTGGGGCCACAGCTCCTACCCCTGCCCAGCAGCCCTGAGCTCAGCTGCAGGAAGGACATCCCAGAAGCCATGGCTCCTGGGGCGCTTCCAGGCATTCTGCCCTGCCCCGACACCAGAACCCTGGTGCTGGTGGGCCACTAGCGTCTGCAGCCTAAGCAGGTGCTGGCTCAGGGTTCATCGTTCTGCCTTGTCCACTGGGGGACCAGCCCTGCAGACCACTCTGACAAGTCTTCAGCCCACACCCTGCCAGCCCCACAGATTTTATTTTTGCACATAAGCCATAACCAATCCTCAAGGCTGGCACAGGCTTTGGGGAAGCCCTGGAGCCTGTGAAGACCCTGGAAACCTCATGAGGCTGTGGCCAACCCCTGCCCCTTGCCCCACACAGACCAGGCCTTAAATGTCGGTCCAGGCCCTGTGCACCTTACCCCAGAGACAGACTCTTTTTGTAAGATTTTGTTAATAAAACACTGAAACTTCCTGGAGTGTTCATGTTGTTTCTTCTGTGTGCTTGGGCTGGGCAGGGGTGGAGCTGCAGACACAGGTCCCCCGGCCCAGAGGGTCACCCTGGAGACCCCATGGGTGTAGTGAGAGGTCTCCGGGGGCTCGGGGGAGCACCAACAGGGCAGCCTCCATCAGGGTCCTGGATCCTCAGGGGGAAGCACCCTCAGGGATCCACACTGCAGCCCCACTACAGCCCCACTGCAGCCCACTAGGCCTAGCTCAGCCCTGCCTCCAGGCCCGAGGTGGCCATCAGTGAGGGTGACTGCTGACTGGGGCAGCCCTGTTCATGCTGAGCTCATGCCTGCCCCTCTGTAAGTCCTACTGGCACGTGGGGTGTACAGCTGGGTGCATGGGGGGATTACAACTAGGGCTTGGCCCACACAGCCATCTCAGGCTCCGGAGCCCTGTGGACCTAGTCAGTGCAGACCCCAGCTGGGAGGGGACCCTGGCCATTCCTGGTTGCCAGATCATGAACTTGGTCTCTCTGAGCCTCAGTTTCCTCATCTGCAAAGCAGGGCATCTATCCTCAGAGCATCTGTGCTGAAGAACTTGGAAACAAGGGTAACTTGATGCCCTGCGGGACATCAGCCTCCCCCGCCTTTGTGGGGACACTGGATTCCGAGGGGCTGCGGGAGGTCAGCCTCCACTGCCTTTTTGGGGACACTGGATTCCAAGAGGCTGTGGGAGGTCAGCCTCCCCTGCCTTTATGGGGGCACTGGATTCCGAGGGGCTGTGGGAGGTCAGGCTCCCCTGCCTTTGTGGAGACACGATTCCTAGGGGTTGTGGGACATCAGCCTCCCCCACCTTTGTGAGGACACTGGATTCCGAGGGGCTGCGGGAGGTCAGCCTCCCCTGCCTTTGTGGGGACACTGGATTCCGAGGGGCTGCGGGACGTCAGCCTCCCCTGCCTTTGTGGGGACACTGGATTCCGAGGGGCTGCGGGACGTCAGCCTCCCCTGCCTTTGTGGGGACACTGGATTCCGAGGGGCTGCGGGACGTCAGCCTCCCCTGACTTTGTGGGGACACTGGATTCCGAGGGGCTGCGGGAGGTCAGCCTCCCCTGACTTTGGGGGGACTCTGGATTTCGAGGGGCTGTGAGAGGTCAGCCTCCCCTGCCTTTGTGGGGACACTGGATTCTGAGGGGCTGCGGGACGTCAGCCTCCTCTGCCTTTGGGGGGGCACTGGATTCTGAGGGGAAAAAAGAGATGGCCTGGGTTAGGGATCAGCCCCTACCCATCAGTGTTCAATGAGAAACAGGACTGACAGGAGACAGGAAATTCATTGCAAGGAATTGTTTTACTCAACGTACGGGCTGCTGAGCCAGTCCAAAATCTACAGGGCAGGCCAGAACCTTGGGGAAGGGGCTGAAACAGGCACGTGAGGGTGTTATTTCGTCTGCATCTGGGAAGCCTTAGCTCTGCTTTTATGGCCTTTCAAGGGACTCAACCAGGCCACCCAGGTTCCCAAGGATGCTCTTCCTGAAAGCACCTACGACAGACCTTCGGCACAACACCTCTGTTAAGATTTGATTGAGTGACTGAGAGCAGTACCCCGGCAAGGTTGACCCTCACAACCATCATGGTCATTTGCTGCCGGAAGTTTCCCACCCCTCTGGTGGGGTTGCCCTGCTCCTGGGGATCCCGGGCCAAGCTGCGGGGTCAGCTGGTGGGTGGTGTCAGCTGAGCCCTGCTGGGAGGCCGGGTGCATTGCACCTGCAGGGTTCTGGCACTGAGCTCACTGCTCCTGCAGCAGCGAGGGGCCCTGGGAGAGCAGGAAACAAGAGGAGACTAAGCAGAGAGAGCCACCTGCTGCCAGGAAATGTCGTCACCCATGGCGCAGGGCGCTGAGCAGGGCTCTTCACGGTGAAAGGGCCGCCTCCGCCCCACTCTTCCCTTGCATTTCTTTTAAATAACAAAGCCGCTGGAAGAACCGGAGAGGAAATTGGCAGGAACAGGAAGCTGGGCACCACGGTGCTGCCTGAAAGCAGTCATTTGTCTTGGAGTACTACTTCTCACATGAAAAGCTGGAAGCTGTTGATGCTTTTCCCTTTTAGTAAAAAGTTACTCCCTGTAATTGTGGAACAGGCCATCAGAACTCTTCAGTTAACTGGAGGTGCAGCTGTGTCACTCTGTTCCCAAGGAAAGAGGCCGGAGGCTGGAGGGGTGGGTGGTCGGGGGCAGAGGGGCCCAGACCCTGTGCAGCTGTCTCTCAGCCTGAAGAACAGGTCCCAGAACAGGGTGTTCCCTGCCATCGGCCCCTCTCCACCCCTCACTGCTCCTGCCCATCTAGTTATCACAGACCACTCAGTCTCACCCCTTCACTGTAGCGTGGAGAAACTGAGGCACAGAGACGGTCCTTGCTTGCCTCAGTTTGGGGAAAAGAATTGAGTCTGGGGGTAGGAACACCCAGGAAGCCCCTAGAGGTTCTTCCCGCAGACCCAGTTTGGTGGGAGGCCTCTGAGCCAGGGAGCCCGGGTCAGATCCCCATAGGGGCAAGCGCCTTTCCATAAAATCCCGCCGGTCTCACGGAGCTGGTGTATGGGGGAGAGGGCAGACACCTGGGCCCCTCTGTTGCCTTCAAGGCTCAACCGAGTTTAAGTCTCTCAGTCCCAGCAGGGTCACTGTTGAGGGCTGGTGGTGCCACTGGGGGTTGCAGGGAAAGTGATGGGCTTGGGAGAGTGTATGAGTCACTATAAAGCAAGGTTGATATAACAGAGGCCCTGCAAATGTGGGGGGCAGTCTCCTGTCAGGGAAGCATGCAGCTGGCGGCTGGGTGCACCTGTTCATTCCAGACCTTCTGGATTTCTTGACACTCCAGGCTGCTACCCAGAAGGGGCAAGAGACGGCCAGGGGCATGCCACGATTGTAAAGCTGAGCCCAGGAACACCACGGCCCCATGTTGCCTCTGCCCCTGCCCAGTGCCAAAAGCCTGGACGCATATGGGAAGGAGGAAGGAAGGATCTAGGTAGGCAGCCAGTGAACAGAAGCCGCAATGCGTTTGGGAAGGAGGGAGGAAGGATCTAGATGGGCAACCAGTGGACAGAAGCCACACTGGAAATTGTTTAGGGTGGTGTGTGTGCAGAGTGTGACCTCGGCCAAAGATGGCCTGGCCTCTCCCCTGGGCTCCTGGGAGGTCACCACTAGGCCCTGAACGTCCGACCTGGTGAGAATGTCCTAGTCCACCTGCGGCCTCAGGCCACACCTATGGTCCTATGTGACTTCAGTGGAGGCTTTGGGCTATGTGGCATCAGCTCTGCCTCCAGAAGGGCTGGAGACGGCTCAGCCATGTGGGCGCCAACCAGGACCACGAGACAAACCCCAAGGCAGGAGCTACCTTGGTTGTTGATGTTCCATGTGCCTTGACCCACATCACTAAGGGAGGGACGGGGCCTAGCTCTGTCCATGACCCCAGGGGAGGACAACCCGGAGCTCTGTGTCTGGACCCTCCTGGGCTCTGTCCCAGGCACCTCTTTCCATTCTGGTTTTATTTGTTATATTTTTTGAGACAGGGTCTCTCTCTGTCACTCAGGCTGCAGTACAGGGCTACAGTCACAGCTCACTGCAGCCTCGACCTCCCAGTTCATGCCATCCACCCACATCAGCCTTGCAAGTAGCTGGGACCACAGGCATGCACCACCACAACCGGCTAACTTCTCCCTCCCCTCCCCTCCCCTCCCCTCCCCCCTGCCCTCCACTCCCCTCCCTCCCCACCCTCCACTCCCCTCCCTGCCACCCTCCACTCCCCTCCCCGCCACCCTCCACTCCCCTCCCCTCTCTTCCCCTCCCTTCCCTTCACTTCCCCACCCTTCCCTCCCCTCCCTTCACTTCCCCACCCTTCCCTCCCTTCCCCTCCCCTCTCCTCCCCTCCCCTCCACTCCCCTCCCCTTCCCTCCCCTCCCCTTCCCTTTTCTTTTCTTTCTGAGATGGTGTCTTGCCATGTTTCCCAGGCTAGTCTTGAACTCTTGGGCTCAAGGGATCCTCCCGCCAGGCTGATTTTAATCTACATCTTTTCCCCGTAGGAATCCACAGTCACGGGTATAATGGCTTCCAGGGGCACTGGGGCCCTCCTAGAGAATCACATCTGAGGTGGCCCCCAGGAGCCTGGGCTTCTATAGTTGGTGTCGGAAGTGAGGGTGGCGCAGTCCTGTGGGCTGTTCCCAGCCTCCCAGGTGTCAGGGCTCTTTTCTAGTTGCCAAGGGTCTTTCAACTCCAGGGAGAGTTCAGGTTAGTACAGAAACTTCATAAAGAATCAAACCTGAAATAGTATTATTTTTGTCAAGAAATTACATATGTTTTATATTTTACAGCATTTTAACACTGAAAAGAATTTGGCCAATTGGAAGCCATGGAGCACCCCACATGATGCCAACGGCGAGTGTCCAGCGATCTCCCGCTCTTCGGCGAGTGTCCAGCGATCTCCTGCTCTTTGGCCCTCTGTCTCCATCTCTCTGGGCGGAGCTGGGGGAGGAACAACAGGAGGGGGCAGGTGAGACAGGTCAAAGCTGCGTGACTCCTGTGGCTGTTGGGTGAGGAAGGGGTGAAGAGGGTGGACAAGGGGTGAAAGGCCCTTCATAAGGAGGAAGAGGAAGTTCAACAAAGAGAAACGCCAGGCATCCAGGGGCCAAGGAACCCTTCCCTTTCTGCCTTGGTTCCCGTGGGGCTGAGGTCCCAGGGTCGAGGTGGGAATCAGGAGGCTCATGCCAGGTGACATTAGAGGGCATGTTGGGGCTCAGTGCAGCCTGGTCCTGGGCTCCCCACCCCAGCCCTGCTCCCATCTTGCCCTTCCCCATAAAGTCTGTGAGGTCCAGAGGGCCCATGCTCTCCTCCAGAGGACAGACACACTCCAGGGCCTGCCCCAGTGGCCCTGCTCCCAGTCCAGGTCCCTCCCACAAGGGCACCTGAGTCTTGGGGTGGCCATCTCTCAGTGGAGAGGTGGCTGAGGGTGGTTCTTTGTGGGGATGCAGGCTGGGTGTTCACAGCCCCTCCCCATAGAGCCACCCCCAGGTGGTGGGGTTGGGAGGGGGAGGTGACAGGGAGGGCAGGTGCTGACTCTGCTATTTCAGTGCTGTTGGAGTGCTGAGCACCTGTGCCTACACACTCCCTTCCCAGAAGAATCCCGTCCAAAGACTGGACTTTGGACTTTTGAGTTGATGTGGGAATGTGTTAGGACTTTGGGGCTATTGGGATGGAATGAGAGCATTTTGTATGTGAGAAGAATGGGAGTTTTGGGGGCCCTAGGTGGAATGCTATGGTTTAAATGTCCCCACCAAAACTCATTTTGGAATTTAATAATTGCCTTGTGGCAGTGTTGAGAGGTGGGACCTGTGAGAGGTGACTAGGTCATGAGGGCTCTGCTCTCATGGATGGATTAATGTTGCTATCTCAGGAGTGTGTGAGTTATCGTGGGAGTGGCTTTGTTATAAAAGTGAGCTGTCTTGTGTGCACTCTCTTGCCCTCCCGCTTTCTGCCATGGAAGAACACAGCAAGCAGGGCCACACCAGATGCTGGCGCCATGCTGCTGGACTTTGCAGCCTCCAGAACCATGAGCCGAAGAAACTTTTCTTTATAAATTATCTGGTGTGTGGTATTGTTATAGCAGCAGAGAACAGACTAAGACACACGTATATGAACCTGCTGGGGTTCCCCATATGAAGAGGCTCCCCTATGACAGGGCACCCCTTACAACAATGCTCCCTTATGCTGTGGCCCCCGCCCACAGCCCCACGTTTCAGATATGAAAACAGGCTTGAATGGTGCAAGGGACCTGCCCACAATTGCCATGGAACCAGCCAGACTCCCTCTCCCCATGCCTGGTGCCCAGGAGAGGCTTACGATGATGACTTTGAATGGGTATTGTCGAACCCTCCTGTGTCCGACTCCAAGCCCTGTGTTTATTCTACTTCTGGGCCACCTCCTTTTAGACAAGGTTCCTTGTCTAAAGGTTTCTTCCTGGTTTTGGGCGATGGGAAGGGGGCCACTGAATTTGCCACGGCTCTGTTCTGTTGAGGGTCAGAGAGAAGGTGGTTCCTTTGTTCCTTTGCCTGACCTGGGGTGAAGGTAGGGCTCCTATCCAGAAGCAATCTGCTTCCTATCTTATCCAGAAGCAATCTGCTTCCTATCCTATCCAGAAGCAATCTGCTTCCCAGTCTCATGGATGCCTAGCCCTGGCCACCCATGGAGACTCCCATTGGCCACGCATGGCCCCTGCTTCCAATCAGTCACTGTCTCCTGGCCCTGGCAACGCAGTGACCCTCACCCCTAATTACAGACACGGGCAGGATGGTGTAGCTTCCTCCCAGCACTCCTGGGGACTCCCCATACACACATTTGCAGGGATCCCAGCTGGCACCCTACTTTTGTAGGTAGCAGGTGACATACGATATAGTCCATTTCTTCCAGGAATGAGGCCAGCATCCCACCCAGCTCCGGCTATGGGGTGCCCAGATGTAGCAGCCACGGGACAGGTTCCCCGGCCCTCCCTCGACCACCACCTCTCTCTGGGATGGGCCTTGGGGCTGCAGTGGCACTCCTGGTATGAGTGGGGAAACTGAGGCCCAGGAGAGGCAGAAAATTACCAGCGTGAACAAGATTGCCTCCTCGGCCTGTCTGTGCATGCCTGGGCTGTGCTGTGGGCCCTTGGTGGGCAGCGGGCAGTAAGGTGTCCTTTCTCAGCCCCATCCTCGAGGGTCCTCTCCCTTCTGTGTAGCCCTAAGTGGGCATCGCTCTGCCCGCCCAGGTTGGCAGTCTGTCTTTACCCACTCCAATACTGGCCCAGATGACCACAGATGACCCAGTACTGACCCTGGCCACCTCATGGGGACCCTGGTGAGAGCAACTTGGTCCGAGGGTGGGGCAGAAGCCAGACCACGGGTGCTGCCGAGTGCCCTTCCCAGAAGCTGTGCTGGGAACCTGCGTTGGAACACCAGGGTTGGCTCTCCCCAGGACCTTGTGCCCCCACCCTCCAGCCTTGCTCTTATCTCCGGGCCACGGCCCATCCTCTACTGTACGCCGACTCTGACATCCTGGGCACTTCAACTGAGAAAGTCCAAAGCAGCTGTCCTGGGGGTCCTGGTCCTGCCCGTCCCCATCTCCTAAGGGTCTGGCCACCCCACAAGGCCACTGGGCCAAGCTCCTCTATTTCTGTAATTGCCATGGGAGCAGCTGGGGTGTGCCAGCCTCACACTGTCCCCTACCCTGACTGCACTTCCTCCCCACCCTGCCTCTTCCCAAGGCCACCATGGGGCTAAGTTAATATTCAGTGCTCACTTATCGCCACCAGCTGGGCACAGTGGCTCACGCCTGCAATCCCAGCACTTAGGGAAGCTGAGGTGGAAGGATGGCTTGAAGCCAGGAATTCGAGACCAGCCTGGGCAACATAGGGAGACCCTGTCTCTACAAAAAGTAAATATATATAAAAAGGTCGGGTGTGGTGGCTCACGCCTGCCATCCCAGCACTGTTGGAGGCTGAGGCTGATGCCGGAGGATTGCTTGAGCCCAGGAGTTTGAGACCAGCCTAGGCAACATGGTGAGACCCCATCTCTACAAAAATACAAAATAAAATTAGCCAGGTATGGTGGCGTGCACCTGTAGTCCCAGCTACACTACTTGGGAGGCTGAGGCAGGAGAATCACCTGAGCCTGGGAAGTTGAGGCTGTAGTAAGCCCTGTTCTCACCACTGCACTCCAGCCTGAGCAACAGGAATGAGACCCTGTCTCAAATTAAAAAAAAAAAGAAAGAAAGAAATTACACCAGGGTGAAATACTTTCCATGGCAGGGGACTCTGATCGTGCTCCTTTCCGACAGAGCACCTCGATTCTCCTGGAATTTCAGGTCGTCCCTTTCTCTCACCCTCCTCACCGTCCTCTGTGCAGGGCTCCATCCCACGCAACATTCCACTGGGGGCACCTTTGTGTTTGTTTTCTGTTTGCTTGTTTCCTGGAAACCTCCCTCCTGGAATAAAAACATCTTTAAAAGCTAAAACTGATGACTGAGGAGCTCCTGGGCCCGCGCCCCTCTGCGGCCGGCCACCACCTCTGGGTAAAGCCCACATTTCCAGCTGTCAGGCCTCCCGGCTCTGCCCTCCCCTGCCCCACCGCTGGGGCGAGGAGCTCCCTCCTGGGCTGCTGCTGTCTCCCCTTTCCCCCCAGCCCTGCCTCTCCCTCTGCCCCCTTCCCACTCTCCCTAGCCCCCTCTGGTCCCTCCAGAATCCCTTAAAAGCAAAGCTCCCAGGGAGGATTGGGTGGGTTCCCCTGGTCCCCCACCCTCATCCCTTGCCCCCAGCCTAGCCAGCCTGGCACCCACCCTGGCCTGGCCTTGACTGCTGTTTCCCACTGCCACCTCTGTCCTCCCTCTGACCACCTTCTTCCCCGAGCCCTGGGCCTCAGGCACAGGCCCTGCCTCCGTGACCTCTGAGCTCAGCCTCCTCCTCAGCTCAGCCCTGGACAGAACCGGGGCTGGCGGGTATCCCCTTCTCCAGCGTCTGGTCCTGAGTCCCTTCCCATGTCCATGGCTGGGTCCCACTGACACCTGGCTCTGACCCTGAGGGAAAGTGTTGGGCCGGGAGGAGCCACATTGGGAGCTGGGGCTCAGCCAGAAAGAGCAGGGTCCGTCCGGCCGCTGTCCTTTCTCTGAGCTGCAACCCTGTACGCAGCCTTGGCCTGCGGCCAGTTACAGGGGTCCATCTGGCTGCTGTCCTTTCTCTGAGCCACCACCTGGTACACAGCCTTGACCTGGGGCCAGTTATAGGGTGCTGCGGGATGCTCCACGGGCAGCGTCTTGCTCCAAGGCTGCCCTCAGAGACAGCAGTTACTCAGCCCAGGTTGTCCACCAGGGGTGGGGAAGCCCTGCGGATGGTTCCCAGCTATTCCTCCAGCTTGAAGGGAGGGCAAGGTGGCCCTCAAGGCGATCTCTGGCACCACCTTGCCTGCCTCTGGATGGCCCCCTGGAACCCATGAAGCTGCTCCACCCCTCTTCCGGGAATGGCCATTGTCCGTGAGCTCCTGTTCACCCTCTGAAGCCTTGCCCTTATCTCTCCTCCCTGCACCCCACCCCTGGTGTCACTGCTGTGCCTTGGGCATCCCTGACTCTTCCCATCTGTCTTGACGCTGCCTGACGCTCCCTGAGGACAGAGGCCCTGTGTCGGCCCCACACCTGTCCCTCCCTGGCAGCGTCCCTCTCGTGCACAGCTGTTGAGGGGTGCCGCAGCAGGCTGCCCCTCCCTGGGGGCCCAGGTCCCGGGCTCCTGCTAGTTCGTCTGGTGTCTTCCCTGCCAAGAGTCTGGGCTGTGAAGGAGGCTATTTTTAGCTTCTCTTATCCCCCATAATTATCTTGCCTGTTTTGCCGTGGTGTATGGTGCAGTCCTGCTGGAAAATGTCAGTATGTCTCTCCACACTCAGGGGACCTGGGGATGATGGGACCTACGCCCTGGGAGTGGGTGTGGTGGACGAGGGTGGTGGTCCGGGAGCCTCCTTGGTTCACATGCTCTCCCTGGACATGGGGCCCGGCCTCCTCCTCATTCCCAGATGAAGCGAGAGGCTTGTGGTCCACTCAGACCCCTCCATCTCCTGGGGCCCTGTCCATGGTAGGAAGGAAGCCTGGGCACCCCGGCCTCTCCTTGAAGCCTGGAGCCTGCAAGGAGCCCCTAAGTGGGGTTTGCCCCTTTCAGCACCTGCAGGGAAATCCGCTGCTGTCCAGGGCTTCCCTATCAAGGACAGACGGGGCGTGGGTGGCGGATTCTAAGCCGTTTCTGATGTGGAGGGAGGCACCTGTGGGAAGGGGCCCTGGGGTGAGGCAGGCTTTGCAGCCAGAGGCAGGAAGAAGGGTCTGCCTGAGGTTGCCCAGCAGCGGCAGCTGGCAGAGCAGAGGCCGGGACCTGCTCAGGATTCTGGGGCCGCCAAACCATATGCCCCCCTGAAGTCTGCCTGGGATGCTGTCTGGTACCCAGGGACTCCCCTGCTTCCCCGCTCAAGTCTGCCTGGGGAGCCGTCCGGTACCTGGGGACCCCCCTTCTTCCAGGCCTCCTTTGGCTCCCCTTGGCTTGGCCTTCAAGGTCCATCACCAACGGCCCCTCCCTCCACCGTGGCAGCCTGGAATCACTCTTCCTCCAGCACCTGAGGCCCCAAGAAGGGACCCTGACAGGCTCCCCAGCGGCTTTTCTCAGCACAGCTTCCTCTGACCAGTGTCTCCCCCTACAGCCCAATCCTCCACCCTCTGCAGGTAGAGCCTGAGCTGCTTCCTCCAGGAAGCCCCACTGATGCTTGCTCCCATCCAGGTGAGCCCCAAGGAAGTCAGCCCTGGACACGTCACTTGCTTCACAGCTGGGCGTGTATCCTCGGTCTCCCCGAGACTGCAGACACAGGAGGAGGCTGAGGCCCCACCCCGACATGCCCACACCCACCCCCAGCCACCCCAGGACAGACTCGGTCTCCTGCTGTGCCTGTCTCCTCTGTGGCAGAGCCCTTCGCCCTCCACCTGGCGAAGCTCCCTTATCTGCCCTGTGGTAGGCAGTATGCCCCTCCAAAATGTCAGCATCCTCACATTAGGCTCCCAGGCACGGGGAACTCGAGCTACTCCTCAGCGGACCTTGACATGTGGAGGTTGTCCTGGATCATCTGTGTGGCCCAGGGTGACTGCAGGATTCGTGGAGAGGGAGGTGCGTCAGAGAGGGTGTGGACGTGAAGCAGGGCAGGTGCTGCCAGGCGACCGCCGCTGGACCTGCCGCAGCTGCAAGAAGACGCTCCCCTCAAACCTCCCAGGGAAACGCAGGCTGTGGACACCTCGATTTCAGCCTAGTGAGCCCCAGGGCTGGGCTCCTGACCCACAGAACCGTGAGACGAGAAAGGCGTGCTGTCTGAGCCACTGCATTTGTGGTTGCTTGCTCGGTGGCAGCGGGGGACCAGCACAACCTCACGCTGCCTGCTCTGTGCCGGATTCCCCAGCGTCCCTGCATGGTGTAGATTCCCAGGCCCGCCTGGCTGTGGCCCTTCCCCTTCACCTGACTGTGTGGCCCCTCTGAGCCTCACCTCCTCACTGGTGGAACAGGAAGGTGAGGGTGTCTCCCCCTGGGGCTGATGTGGGGCTGACACATGGGTCAGATAAGGTCCCACGTGATCAGCTCCTCCCGTGGGACGGCCGTGGAGAGGGGCAGGTGAGTGCTAGGTGGGCAGAGCTGCCTATCTGCTCCCCTCTCTAGAGCTGAGACCCACGGGACTAGCCAGGGACTCCCTGTTGGAGTCTGGCAGCCCTGCCTAGGCCCCTTGTGTGCCGGCCTTGGGGGCTGCCTCCTTGGCCTCTGTGTCTCCCGCCCTGTGCAGTGGCTGGCGCCTGCCAGTGCTGTTTACGTGAGTGGTGATGGGGGCTGTGCCTGCTGGGGCCTCCTCAGCCTGGGCCGGGGCCATCCCTCCACAGCTCTTTCCCTGACTGCTCATTTTGTGAGGTTGTTGTTTTTTATTTGGTGTCTCTCCATTTCCATTCTTCTCCCCTCCCCCACCATCCAGGCGTTGCTATGGGAACTGGGCTGAGGTCCTTGCAGCAACCTTGATCTACGGGTTTCAGGCCTGGGCAGGGGCGCAGGTTTGTTGGCCGGGAGAGGGGGGTGCTTGGGAAGGGTCCTTGCGGTCTTGCAGTTGGAATCACAGGGTCCAGAGGAGGGAGAGCTGTCAGACACCCATCCCTGCCCTGCATCCAGCGTCCCCACTCAGGGCACAGCCCTGTCACTACCACCCTCTGCTGTCACTGCTGTGGGCCTCAGCTCCTGTTATCTTTGGCTGGGTTGCCTCCATCACGATGGCCTGGGCTGTGTCCCCGCTGCCTCCCCTTTGACCTCCCCTTTGACCTCTGCGGGAGGGAGCTGGCCACACAGCCTCCCCATGCCAGGCCTCCGCCTCCCCACAGTGAAACGGGGTGGTCGGAGCTACTGCCCATGACGTGGTCAGATTCACACGGTGACACCGGGGACTGGCTCCCCACAGATGCTGGATGCAGGTCCCTGCAGGGCCCTCGGCTTCGCCTCCTCTTACCTCAGTTTCCCCATCTCTGCAATGGCAGCACTTGGGCCATTGTCAAGTCACCAAAGCCACCTGCAGGTAAGCAAAGGGGAGAGAGGATGGGGGCAGGGGCCGAGTGGAGTTGGCACTAAGCCACAGCGGCAGCCTGGAGCAGTGCATCCTCGCACTGACAGCAGCCCCCGCCTGCCACCGGCCTCCTGTCCACCCCTACCCGGGAGCTCCATGCCCGGAGTCCCAGTGAGCCGTGTGGGTGGCGAGGAGAGTCTCTGGCTGGGCTTCCGAGGCTGCAGCACTCCTCCCTCCTCAGCCCCCACACCGCCCGTCGCCTGGCCAGGGGTGCGGAGCTTAGGAATGCGGCTAAGGGGCAGGCAGGGCAGGCTGGGGGTGGGAGGGCTCTGAGGGCCAGAGGCATGGTCTGCAGAGAGGGGCTCTAAAGAGGGTCCTCACCCCATCAGGCGGGCTCCAGAGACGTGCTTCCCTCTCAGACCCCACTCCAGCCCTGACAGGATACTGATGGCGCCCAGCCAGAGGCTGGAATGCTTCCTGCGTGGGGAAATGTTGGGTTAAATATTGGGATATATTGGGTGGATATATTGTGTTAAATAAAATATATGATTCAAATTAGTTTCACCTCTTTCTCTTCATTTTTTATCATGGCCACCTCAGGCTGGCAGCGGTGCTGTCCGAGTCTGCAGGAGGGAGGGGCAGGGATGCCAGCCAGCCGGGCTGAGCTTTCTTCCTGGGTGCAGGGCTGGGTTAGGGTCCAGGTGAACCCCAGAGGAGGAGGGCGGGGGCTGCATTTGCTGATCTTGATCTTGCTGGGGAGGGCCAAGTACAGGGTGCCCCTGGTGCACTGAGGAGCCCGGGCATCCCCAGCCAGCTTCCTCCCCTCTTGAGCAGGTGGCGGGGTGACCCAGAGGCCCTTCACTCTGGAGCAGGGTCAGCTGGGAGGCCTGTGAGGCCCGAGGCAGCCTGTGGCAGAAAGGCAGAGGAGGCGCTCTTCCATCTAGGTCACTTCGGGGAGCCAGCGGCAGCGTCGGCCACCCCCTCTTCCGGCAACTGGGCTTCCGGAGCCCAGGGCCAACTCCATGCTTATCCTATCAAAAATAGTGACTGAGCCTCGGGGCTGGCAAGGAGCTGAGTGACGAGCTGCCTCTGCGGCTGCCCCGTACCCCTGGTCTCCATTCCCCCATAGTAGGCACCCCAGCTCCCAGATCCTGCTGCAGGCCTGTCCTGAGACAGCCTGTCCTTCCCTTGGCTGTCCCGCGACAGCCAAGTCCTCCTGCCTGCAGCCTGAACCACCTCCTGGGGGTGGCTCCTCCTGCTCCGGCCATGGCTCTCTCCTGGGTCCGTCTCCCCAGCAGTCCTGGCAGGCGGCTGCCCTCCCCCCGAAGCTTGAATTAAAGATGCGGAGGCTGCTCGGCCTGAGTCCTTCCAGGAGGAAGGCAAAATCTGCATTCCTATCTATCCAGCCAAACGCCGCCTGGAGCTGATCAGTCAGGCCCAACTCTCGCCAAACCCTGGGGGCCTGCCCTGTGCCTCAGGCATCCTCTGCACGCAGGAGTCCACGCAGCCCCACACTTTGGGCCTCTGTTGGCCTGGGCACCCTGATGGACAGTCCAGAGCTGGCTGTCAGGGAAAATGGTCCTGGGGTCCTCTCCCCACGGTGGCTGGGCCCTTTTTGTTCCACTGAACCCCGCTCTTTCTCAGGGTTAGGCCAAAGGACCAGGAGGGGCTTGGCCCCAGCTGCTTGCAGCCCCCTACCCTGGAGGATGACCCTTCAGCTCAGAGAGCACCCCCCTGCACCTGAGCATGAGAGGGCAACGAGGGGCTCAGGCCCTCAGGGGCTCTCTGGGTCAGGCCTCATTAGAGGACCTTCGTTCAGGGTGTCCAGTGGTGCCTGGGTCCTGGACACCGGACACTGGCTCTGTTGGATGCTGGTGCCCAGGGGTCCATAGGGGACTTCCTGCCTCAGATGCCTCGGGGCCTGCCCAGTGACAGTGCACAGTCCCCAAGCCTGCTTCTGTCCCCAGGTGCATTGTTCAGAGCACCCCACCAGGGGCTGCCATGCCCGCCATGTCCCAGGCATCCCAGTGGCCAAGGCCGGTCTCCATGCCGGGCAGAGTTGAAGGGCCAAAGAGCTTGGGCAGACCAGAGAGGGCATTAGCGTCCTGGCCACCCACTGTCAAGGGGCCCCTGTCTTCCATTGACTGGGAGATCTCTCCTCGTCCACCGTGGTAGAAAATCCATTATCCGGTGACTGCACCTGCCCATGGAGTGCCCGTGCAAGAGCCCGGGGTGTGCGTTTGGCTATGGCCCGGTGGCAGCTCCCTTCTGCATCCCACCTGGGAATTCATTTCGGCTTTCTTCGTCCCTACATATGTGGGGTGCTTTGAGATTTCCAGTTGTAACATTTTACTGGTTCCCTCATCAGTGAGGTAACATTTTGAACACGTGTGTGTTTTATATTTGTAGGTATGAAATGTGCACGCTTGGACCAGAGACCCCAGAGTGCCTTCTCACCTTCCACCCTAGCAGCCTTCTCCCCACCTAGGCTCACAGTCCTCCTGCTGCCTCGGGCTCCCCTAGGGCAGGGGCTACCAGGCTGGGGCCCTCAGCCTGCCCTGCCCTCCCCTCTCATGGACCTGCAGCGCCTGCCTCGGCCCCATTAGCTATGCCCTCATAGCGCCCTGGTGTCGCTCCTCTGGGCACGGAGGGGCCTTGGGTACCAGAGGCGGCCCTGCTCCTTGCCCTGCCTTTGCTCTCCTTCAATGCTGGGGTCAGGGTCATCACCCCAGCACCCTGCACGCTCCCATCCCTGTCCTAGACAGCCCCCGTCCTGGAGTCCCCACCCTGGAATTTCTCCTCCATCTAGTACTCCAGTCTGCAATTCCATTTCCAGGCGCCTTGAGGTCACTTGCTTCTCTCCCAGGGTAGCCTTCGGCCATGCCTTCACCTATCTTCCACCTTTACATTCCCCAGGAGGGGTCAGGAGGGGTCCCTGCCCTTGGGAACTTGTGGGTCAGCCAGAAGAACAGGGCCAGTAATGATAACAGGAAAAACCCACAGTGCTTACTTAGGATGAGCTGAGGGGTCCTGGGTGATCACCCATTGAATGCCCCCACCCTTAAGGCCACCTTCACCCTCACGTCCCAGCTGGTGAGTGCAACCCGGTCCTGGTGCCAGCAGCCCCCATGGAAGCCCCTTGTCAGTGGCGTCTGGGTGCTGGGGTCCCTGGAGGGCCCATGCAGGCTCTGCAGAGAACCGAGGGCTGGCCAGGCGAGTCCATGGCCCGAGCACGAGCCTGGCACCCCCCGGCATTGGTGCTACCTTCTTAAGGGAGGTTGGGGATGCACAGGGCTGAGGGCACCTGCCCTGCAGTGTGTTGAGAGGAGGGCCGCTTGGCTGGCCAAGGGCGCCTGGGGTGGGGGTGCAGGAGGCCAGGGGAAGATGAGCAGGCTGCAGCCTTTGACCAGGGAGCTGAGGACCAGAGGGAGTGGGATGCAGGGGATGGGGCCCGGACCTTCAGGCAGGAGCTCCCCTCCCATCCCCAGCACTGGGGCTGGCGGGCGTGGCTAAGCAGGGTCACCTAGGTCCTTCTCCTGGAAGAGAGGTCTTTCCTGCCCTGCCCTGCTCCACTCTCCCTCCACCTTTGCCTGTGTGGGAAATGAAGGAAAGCAGAGAGGAATCTGAGACCAGAAAAGGGCAGAGGACCAGACTGCCTGTTGGTTTCCTGTGCAGGCTCTGTCCCAGCCACCCCTGCCCTGGAGCTTGTGGTCTGACCTTTGGGCTCAGACTCTGCCGTGGATACACCTGGTCTCGCCTCCACTAGACAGGCACTGGGGCCACCACTTCCCTGCCCTCACCCAACAGGGTCTGGGCCAAACCTGGTGGACAGACCCACAGGGGTGGGTGTCGATCCCAGGGCTGGTGTTGGGGAAAAGGCCAGGAAGCCACCCCCGGGAGCCTCTGAGTGGGCTCCTTTTCATCCCCACCATCTTCTCTAAGCACCTGCCCAGGAAGGGATTGACAGAAATGGACAGGGGAGGTGCATTTAACTCAGGGGCCCGCCTTCCAGGACAGGCACCTGTGCGGATGCCTCAAATCTGGGCAGTGGCGGCGGGGGGCCTGTCTTGTTTACAAATGGAGAAATGGTCATCTGCTGGATGCCAGATCCAGCTTCACAAAGACGGACTCAGGGAGAAATACACAGTCATGCCTGTCCCCTGGTGGGTGCCCGGTGGGAGCCACCTCCTCCTGGCAGGGCGGCAAGATGGGTGGGGGCTCTCCTGGGCTGGGTGCCCACTGCAGGACAGGGAGGCCAGCCTCAGAGAGGGCCTCCCAGGTGGCGGCCCGTTACACAACCGCAGGCCCCTCCACACACCTACAAAGCCCCAGGAGCCACTTGGGGGAAAGACCCAGGCTTCCACTGTAGCCCTCCACACACCATCGGTGACCCCGGGTGGACAACCAACCTTTTTTAGACCTCTGCCTCCCATCTGCCGAGATAGGATGGTGTGGTGAGGCTGTGGCCTGGGCCTGCCTTGGTGATGTCTGTGACTGAGAAGAAGGGTGAATTTACCTGCACAAAGGTGCAGGGGTAGCCAAGAGCAGAAGAAAGCTGGTGGATGGTCCTGGCTGAGGAGTCCCCCAGCCAGGGGAAGGGGCAGCAGCCTCTGGTTGAAGCCACTTGCCGGCCCAAAGCCTAGTGGGAAGCCCTGCTCTAGCCCCTCCCAGCCCACTTACCTCCTCAGAGCCAGGCCAGGCACCCCTGCCCTCCTGCCCACCCTTCAGGTGGTGAGAAGTCAGCTTGCCTCATGCCCCATTGCCCAGGGAAGAGATGTGAGAGGAAAAACTTTTCTAAAAAGTAAAAATCCTGATCCATTCAAATATGAAGTGGACGCTTGTCAAGGAGGTTCTTTAACCCATTAATTCATGAAGTAGCCAGTAGGGAATTAAAACCAGCTCATAATTTTAAAACTCACCAAAAAAAAAAAAAAAAAATCTGTAGGCCCATATGTTTTCACTGGATAATTCTACCCAATGTTTAAAGAGTGAATGCCAATTCTACACAATCTGTTCCAGGAAAAAGAAAAGGAAGGAAACGCACCCCATTTCATTTTATGATGCTAATATCACCCCAATGTCAAAACCAAAGATGGTACAAAAGAAAAGAAAGAAAATGAAAGAAAGCTGCAGACTGATAACCCTCATGAGTATAGAAGCAAAAATCCCTAACACAATGCTAGCAAATAGAATGCAATGGCAGGTAAAAGTAATCAAATGCTGTGACCAAGCGGGGCTCACTCAGGATGCAAGGCTGGCTCGATTTGAAATTCAGGCAATGAAACCCACCATATTAACAGGCTATATAATAACGTTAAAGCAATTGATGCCCCAACATTTTTTGATAAAAATTCTTAGAAAAAAATAGGAATAGAGGAGAAATTCTCAAGTTGACAAAGGGCATCTACAAACAAAAAAACAAAAACAAAAACAAACAAACAAAAAAAACTTACAGCAAACATCATGCCATTGGTGAAAGACTGGGTATTTTCCTTCGGAGATCAGAAACTCTTATTTATCATAGTAATGGAAGTTCTAGCCACTAAAATGAGGCAAGAATAATAAATCATAGGCATACAGATTGAGAAGGAAGATGTAAAACTGTCTGTGTCAGCTGGGCGCAGTGGCTTATGCCTGTAATCCCAGCACCTTTGGAGGCTGAGACAGGCGGACCACCTGAGGTCAGGGGTTCAAGACCAGCCTGGCCAACATGGTGAAACCCCGTCTCTGCTAAAAATACAAAAAAAAAAAAAAATTAATCAGGCATGGTGGCACGTGCCTGTAATCCCAGCTACTTGGGAGGCTGAAGCAGGAGAATCACTTGAACCTGAAGATGGAGGTTGCAGTGAGCCGAGATCGCACCACTGCACTCCAGCTTGGGCAACAGAGTGAGACTTCATCTCAAAAACAAACAAACAAACAAACAAACACACAAACAACCCAAAAAACTGTCTGTGTCTGCAGATGACACAATTATCTGTGCAGAAAATAATAAAGAATCTACATAAAACTCCTAGAGCTGACAGGCAGTTTCAGCAAGGTTGCTGGATACAAAAATCAACATCTACAAATAAATTGTACTGCTAAATGCTAGAAGGGAAAAACAGAAACGAAAATACAATACAAGTTATGATTGCTGAAACAAAAATGAAATGCTTGGCTGCAAAGCTAGTAAAGCATGGCCACGACGAAAGCCTTGTGGAGGAAATCCCAGAAGATGAGGTGAATGCAGACAAATACCAGATTCATGGATTGGGGGACTTAACACACCATAGAGGTCAATGCTTCCCAAAGTGATATTCAGGTTTGAAGAAATTCCTCTCAGAATCCTAGCAAGATTTTCTTTCTTTCTTTTTTTGTAGGTACAGACAAGGTGATTCTAAAATTTGTATGGAAAGGCAAAAGAACTAGAGTAGCTAAAACAATTTTGGAAAAGCGGAATAAAGTGGAAGGAACACGTCTACCCAATTTAAAGACTTATTAAATAGCTGCAGCCATGATGACTGTATGGTATTGGTGGAAGGAAGGACACAGAAATGGAATAGTATGGAAAACCCAGAAATGACTCATACTGCACAGCCCAGTCCAGTCCTGCCTGCCCAGGAAGGGGGCAAAATGGGGAGTGGCAAACACAACTACAGACCAAACCTCTCCCTCCTCTCCCCTGGGGCCCCCTTGAATCCCACTACACCGCACTGTGCGGGCAGCCCCTCCTGGGCGTCCCCACACCTGGCTGGATTCTCTGGGAAAACAGGGTGGACCAGGAGCCAGGGAGCTTTGCCAGCACAGCCTCGATGGGCCCTGGTCCTGGCAGTTGCTGACTCGGGCGGGACTGTGGTTTGTTCTTCCTGCCTTTCTTCCTTTGGATGTGCTCAGACCCACATTCCAATTCCTCCACTGGTGAACTTGGGCAATGGTTGCCCCTCTCTGAAACACACTGTCTCCTGTCTCCTTTCTACTGTCTCCTCTGTGCAAAAGGGTCACTTTAGCCCTGGGGACTCTGGGGGGCTGCCCATGCCTATCCCATCTCCACTCAAGGAAGGGCTTGGAAAGGAGTTTCCTGAAAACCTCTGTGGCTTTGGGGAGATGTTTTTCATGATCACTACCATCAAGGGGGAATCTGGGGATTTTATGTTACCCACATCTCTTGCCTCCTTCCCCTGCCTACACACATGCTATAGAGGTAGTGAGCTCCCCAGCCTTGGTGGTAACCAAGAGGCCAGATGGCCCTGGGCCACAGATGCTGTGGAAGACACTCTTATCCTGGGAATAGGGGATTGGCCAGAGGTTTGGGTAAGACCAGGCAGCTTCTCTCTAAGTGAGCTGGTCCTTTCACAGGTGCCTGGCTGATAGGCGGGTACAATCCCAGCCACAGAGAGGCAGCTAAGGGAAGAGATGAAGGAATTGTCTAGGGAGGCCGAGGGCATGCAGAGGCCACTGTGAGAGGAAATACCTCCTTTCTCCCCACCACAGCTCCCGTCATGCTCCTTCCTGCAGCTGGCACCTTGCAGCTTGTGCCAAGGCGGCCTTGGCTCCGTGTGTCAAAGAAAAAGGAAAATCATTAAATTAATAACATCTGCCTCTGAAAGAGCCTGCCAGCCGCCTTCCCAACTCCCACGCCCCTTCTTCCTCATCGCAGAGAACAGGTTTTGTCTGAGGTGACTGCGCACCTCTCCCAGAGCACCTCACAGCCTCTTGCCATGTGGCGCTTTTCTTGCTGGTGAGAAATGGGAAGCCACGGGCAGAACTTACAGGAAAGCAGTTGGTTTCAGCTGACAAAGACCCTTCACCTTCTCTGCTTCCTGGAGTGGAGATGTGATGGTTGGAGGTGAAGCACCCATCTTGGAGGCAAGAAGAAGAAGAAGAAAAAAATCTTGTTAAGACCGAAAGAGGCAGGGTCTTTGGTGGGGCATGGAGCCCCTAAAATGCCCATTCTTTCTGGTTACATGAGAAAATACCCACTTACTTAAGCCAGGACAGTCAGTTTGAGGTCAACTTTGGCTGATTGGACTTCTAATGGGAGCAGACACCATTGGTGTCCCTTGCTACACCGTCTGGGCTCCCCTCTGACTCCTGCAGCCGTGGCCGCCAGCTCCTGTGCCTGCTCATGGCTTTCCACCCAAGCTCCCTCTTCTCTCTTCCTTGCTTCAGGGTCACCTCCAAAGAATGGGGCCGGACCAGCAGGTACAGGTGTGCAGTGCAGAGGAATGAGTGTCCCTAGAGGTCCCTCAGCTCATGGGGGGCAGAAGTGAGCAGGTAAATAGATCAGCATCCTTGTCTCCAAGGCAACACATCCCTCTGAGGGCCCCAGCTGCCCCCAGAAGTGACCAGCTCAACAAGGGACCCTGTCTGGCTCTTTGTCCTTACCTGATTGGGAACCAGCTGAAGGATTCCACGTCTTCTGGCCAAACAGACATCCTGGAAGGGTGGCGATGGAAACCCAGGCCTAGCCCCCAACCCCTGCCCAGAACCAGGAACCATGGGCGACATGGCGTAACTGGGGCAATGGGCATGGGGAGGGAGATGGGCCAGATTGGCAAGACTGCCAGAGCCACCGGACACGTCTCGGCTCTGTGGGGCTGGCAGCGACTCTCCCTGAGGGAGGAGAGGAGCAGTCTTGGTTGGTCTGCCCTAGGAGGGCCGTCAGGCTGCTGGGAGAGCAGCTCCCAGGGCAAGTCCACCCGTGGTCCCTTCCGACGCGGCCAAGCTGTGTGCCGTGCAACTCTGAGCCCAGGAGAACGCCCCAGTCTGGAAACAAGAAGACTAGGAGGACAGGATAGACCCACCATGGAGGGGCTCAGACTCAGAGGACAGGCCCACCACAGAGGGGCTCAGACTCAGAGGACGGGCCCACCGCCGAGGGGCTCAGACTTGGGAGACAGGACAGACTCACCCTGGAGGGGCTTAGCCTCGGAGGACTTGCCCACCGCAGAGGGGCTCAGCGGGCCTGTGTCCTGCTCCCCTCCTGGAGACACAGGCCTATGGCCAGGACATCCCCTTGAAGAGGGCACCAGGCGAGGGGCATCACCAGAAGGAGCTGTGACCCTCAGGATAGAAGCGACCTGGAGCATGTACACAAACCACGCAAGCCACGTGCCACACACGGCACGGACTCACCACACACACACACACACACACACACACACTCCAGAGACCCTGACACACACACACTCCAGAGAGCCTGACACACACACACTCCAGAGACCCTGATACACACACACTCCAGAGACCCTGATACACACACACTCCAGAGAGCCTGACACACACACACACACTCCAGAGACCCTGACACACACACACACTCCAGAGACCCTGACACACACACACTCCAGAGACCCTGATACACACACACTCCAGAGAGCCTGACACACACACACACACACTCCAGAGACCCTGACACACACACACTCCAGAGACCCTGATACACACACACTCCAGAGAGCCTGACACACACACACACACTCCAGAGACCCTGATACACACACACACACTCCAGAGAGCCTGACACACACACAAACACGCACACACTCCAGAGACCCTGACACACACACACTCCAGAGACCCTGACACAGACACAAACACACACACACACACACACACACACCCCACTCTACAGATGCATCTGGGAGCCGAGCTGGGCCACCCTCCCCTTTCCCTCCTGGGAGCAGGGTGTCTGTCCTCCTGTCCAGCGGCACCTGGCCAGCACTGCCCGGGGGGTCTCTCCATCGAGGCAGTGAGGAGTGGTCTGGTGGCCCCTTTGCCGGGATGTGACACGCAGATGTAGCTGCTCCTGGCTTGCCTTGGGGGTATGAGGGAGGTCCCCGCCTGCACCTCAGTTCCCTGGAGGAACACTTCCGCGCGCTTATGGCATTTTTGTGTGGACCTGCCTCAGGCCCCTGCCCACTGTGGTCATCACCCGAGTAGGGGTCTCCTTTGCACACTGGACCCATTGTGCTGTGCACAGAGAGGGCAGGGGCCTGTGTGGTCACACGGCACCTCCTGCCAGCCCTGGAAGCCCCATGCATTAGTCTGCTCTTGTGTTGCTATAAAGAAATACCTGACGCTGGGTAATTTATTTTTTTAAAAAAGGTTTATTTTGGCTCATGGTTCTTCAGGTTTTATGGGAACCATGGTGCTGGCATCTGCCTGATTTCTGGGGAGGCCTCAGGAGGCTTCTAACCATGGGGACGGCGAAAGGGAACCACGTGTCACATGGAACAAGGAAGGGGCAGGGGAGGTCTCAGGCTTTTCAAACAACCAGATCGCTAGTGAACTAACGGAGCGAAAACTCACGGGTCACCAAGGGGGTGGCTAAGCCCTTCACAAGGGATCAGCCCCCATGACCCAATACCTCCCAGAAGGCCCCAGCTCCAACCCTGGGAATCACGTCTCAACATGAGATTTGGAGGGGACACACGTCAAGCCATTTCGCCCTGGAAGGCCTGATGCAGATGGTCCAACTCCCTGAGTGGGGCGGGAGGCAAGGGCTGGTGAGGACACGTGGCAGGGCCTGGCAGGAAGGTGCTTCTTCGGCCCCTTCCTGATCCCTGAGTGCCGGTCATCCCTGTGGCCAGGAGACAACGAAGGCAGCCGGGGCCGTCCAGGGATGCAGGTCTTACCTCCAGGAGGCCAGGCCTCTCTGGCTGTTGGCACAGGGCTCTGACCTGACCTGAGCAGGGCCTGGGCACCTCCTGCCTCCGCCCTGAGGCAAACATACTCCAAACCCTCCTCATCGGGGGATCCGGCCTGGCCCACAGCCCTGATGCAAAATCCGGCTTCCAGGCCTCCCTTGGCTCATCGCCCATCCACTCACTCACTCAGTGATCAACGGTCAGTGCGACAATGTGCTGAAGAGTAAGATGAGGAGCATTTTATTCCAAGGTTCTAGAAACCTCCCGGGTGAGATACTGATAGTGGGGTATGAGCCCGGGCTCTGGGCAAAGAAGCAACCCCAGGGAACTGCTGCCCTGAGCTGGGGAAGACGTCAAAGAGGTGGAGCTCTTGAGCCCAGTTTCCTCCTTTTGGTCCTGTGTCATCCCTTGTTCTGGAAACCCCACGGCCTAGCCTGTCGGGTGCACCCCACACACAGCAACCATCATTGGACAGACATTGGCTGAGCCAGCACCCAGACCCCAGTCAGCTCTGCTGCAGCGGGAACACAGGAGTCCCATCTTTTCCTGCCTGTGGGCGAGGGTGGGGGGTGCTGGCTCAGCAGAAGGGGTCTGAGGCGCCCTGAAGAAGACAGCAGGGGTGGAGACAGGTTCGGAGAGGAGGGCCTGAGTAGCCCCCAACTCCTTCCCGCTCCGCAGACCCCCACTCCCTCCCACCCTGCAGTCCCCACTCCCTCCCACTCCACAGCCCCCCACTCCCTCCCACCCTGCAGTCCCCACTCCCTCCCACTCCACAGCCTCCCGACTCCCTCCCGCTCTATAGCCCCCAACTCCCTCCCGTTCTGCAGCCCCCCACTCCCTCCCGCTCCACAGCCCCCCACTCCCTCCCGCTCCACAGCCCCCCAACTCCATCCCACTCTGCAGCCCCCCAACTCCCTCCCGCTCTGCAGCCCCCCACTCCATCCCGCTCTGCAGGTGAGGAGGCCACTCACGTGGCAGGGTTGTCCAGGCTCAGCAGCCCCAAGGGCAGGGCTGGGTGGAACCTTCTGCCTCTCTTCCCAGACTCCTGAACTTACCGCTCTTCCCGCCAGGCTTTCCTCCCCCGGGGGCATTCCATCCCCTTCCTTCCCTTTCTGTGGCTCCTTTCTGCCCCTTAGGGAGGTTGTCCAGAGCTGGAAGGGGTCCTGGAGGCCTTCTACACGCTGCTCCTCCTTGGCTGACCCCAGGAGTAGTCCTGCCCTAGTGAGAGCTGCTAAGGCCTGCCCAGCACCTGCTGTGTGTAGCCACACAGGTGCCCCACAGGACACCTCACTCAGTCGTCTCCACTGCTACAGTCCCCACCTGACCAAGATGCCTGAGTTCAGAGGGCTGGTGAGCTTGGGGCCTGCCGGGTGACCTGGCATCCAGCTCCTGAGCCCCAGTGGGGTCCTTCCCGGTGGGGCTTTTGGTTGGTAGGTCCTGGCTAGCCTGCCAGGACTTCCTGCACCCAGTAGCTGGGCCAGTACTCCTGGGGACTCCTCCTCCCTACCTGGTCCCCAGCCCTTTGCTCCTCCTCACCCTTGGCCAGGACATGCGCTTTTTCTGTGAGGTTCCAGTTGGTGGGGTGACAGCAGGCTGGTACTGCGGTCCATTCTCAGGGTGGGCGTCCTACGAGCAGCCAGAGGGAAGTACAAGTCAGCCTTGAGCCCCGTGGCCGACTCTGCTATCTGACAAGTGGCCGGAACCTTGGTAAGCTGTCATAGCCTAGGAGCTCGGGGCTGGGGAACAGGCCCATCTGGGCAGCCAGGTCGCGAGCCCTTGAGGCTGCTGTGCCCCGACCCCCACTCCCACTGTCCTCTGGGCACCCAACCCCACGCCTGGCTGTGGTGGGGGTTGTTTTCTATTTGTCAAAGGAAGGCAGGAGGGATGTGGGCAATGGAGACCATTGAGTAAAGGACAGATCGGGCTGTGCCACTCCCCTGTTCAGAGCTCACGATGGCTCCCCTGGTCCTGGGACAATGGCCACAACCTCCCTTGCCAGCCTCCCTGCCACCCACTCTGGCCCTCTGGCCTCTGCTCTGCTCCTCCGGTTCCTCCGAGGCTACGGGCCCACGTCCTCTGACCTTTGACCCTGCTGCTTTTGCTGCCTGAATTGCCTCCCCTCATGCCTGCCCCGCAACCTGCACCCGGCCAGCTTCTTCCCATTTCCACACGGACGTCCCCCTCTCAGAAGCCATTTCCCCAGTTAGCTCATCTAAGGGCAGGGCCCCATGACCACCTCCAGCCCGTTCCCTCCCTGCCTCACCCCAGCACTCCAGCTCCTCCAAGTGTGGCCCCTCCCGCAGCACCGCATTTTCCTGTGACCGGACTTGTCCAAGTGCTTTTCATATCGACACTCAGTCTTCATCACAACCACGTGCAGCCGACACTGGTTTACAGGTGGGGAAACTGAGGCACCTAGCCATTCAGTCATCTCCCCAGGCCCCACAGCACGCGATGGAGGACGAGGTTGAGGGCGGGGCCTGCGGCAGGCACTGGTTCACAGTCACACGCAAGGCTTGGCCACCTCGGGCTCGGGAAGGTGCTGCTGTGGAGACGGGTGCAGGAGGGGCCCCCAGTCCTGAGAGCTCAGCTTCCCCGATCCTCACCACCCAGCCCCCGCCTCCCCCCAGCGAGGCTCCTATCCCACGCAGCTCCGGGGCATTTGGGGACCCAGAACCAGGAAGAAAGGAGGTGGGAGGGAGACAGCAGGTGGTGTGTGGGGTGGGGTTGGAGGAGAACTTCCAGGGAGTCAGAGATAGACACAGGAGCAGCCGCGGCCTGGGTGGGCAGGGACGGGAGGCGCAGTGGGTTTTTAGGACGTGCCCCCACGTGCCCCTTGCAGAAACCTGAGAAATGCAAGGGAAGGACCTGGAGTTTGATGGCGCCGCTGCGACCCCTCACGCTGTCTCCCAGCGGGGGCCACGCAGAGGCCACCGTGACTGCTGAGGGGAAGGGCGTCCTGTGGAGTCCAGCGGAAGGAAGGGAGGCTCCCACCTGCACAGCCCCTCGGCCCTGTCAGCCTCCTCTCCTGACTGCACTGCTGTGAAGCCTCCATTCAGTCCTAAGACAAAACCTTAGCTCCTGAGCCCTGCGTTTCTAAAGGGCTCTGCAAACCGGCACCGACTCGCTGCTCCACTGCAGAAGCCACGTGGGTCCCCCAGGCCGGGCCACCGCGCCCAGCGCTCCTGCCCCCGGAATGGCTGCACTCGTCCCACTCCGGGCCTTTGAATGTCGTTCTCTCTGCTGCAAGACTTTTCCTTCCTCACCACTTAGCAAACTCCTGTCTGTGCCTTCAGCTCCAACCCAGAGCCCCTTCCTCTGGGAGGCCTGCCCAGATTTTCTCCACTGACCTTTTTGGATGGCTCTCCCTTTACAAGCCTGTCTCCTCTCCTGGGCTTCGAGCCCTCAGGGGTGAAGATGACCTTGGTTACATCTTTTTCTCCCTTTCCCAAGCCAATGTAGGACAGAACATTCTGGGCACTCAATTATTCTATGCAGGATGCATGAGTCGGCGGGTGACAGGCCTGCTCTGGGAGCCGTGGGCTGCAGCAGGGCTCAGCCGAGATGGGGGAGGAGACTGTGCATGCCCACCCTGTGTCCCACCCAGATGGGGCCCTTCCCCACCCACAAGCGCCACGCTGCCTCTGCCACCCCGTGCCCCAGGTCCACGGTCCCCCATCCCCTCTGTGGACTTCAGGCGGCATGGTGGGGGGCACCGTCCATGGGTGAAAGGCACAGACCAGCCACCGCAGGTCCTGCACGGGCTCCGCAGAGCAGCCACTCTCCAGGCTCGGTGTCCCCTTTGTGAAGTAAGCTGTCACCAGTCAGGGCCCTGTCCCTCGCCGAGGGGCGCCCCAGGGGAGGCGTGGCTGTGCTCAGCCTCGTCTTGTGGAGTCTGGATCTCCACGTACTCCACGCCCGGCTTTCCAGTCCATGCTAGTAGTGACCAGTGCACACTGAGGAACTCAGACCAAGTTCTGGGGACCCTGTGGGAGTCCTTTCTCAGACACCAGTGGGGTGGCGGGGGGAGGGTGGGTATAGACCCCTGTCCCTGACTCCAGCCCTTCTCCTGGCCTCCCAGCCTCCAGTCTGTCTCTGCCCTGTCTCTCACCCCATGACAGAGCTTATCCCTGGGCTTGGGACCTCCCCTGGACTCTACTCCAGGGCCCTGCCGCTCCTCCCCTCACTCCAACTCACTCACAGGTGCCTTGACCTCAGCCCGGCCAAAGCGGAGCTTGCCCCCGACCCCCAGCCTGCTTTTCCTGAGGTGCTCACCCCGTAAGGCCTCGGGGTCCCCAGGGCAGCAGCTCCTCCCGCCCACCGCCCCAGAGTCCTGACTTTGCTGCTCCCAGCTCCCGTTTCTCCACAAAACCTCCCCTAGGCCTTGGCCGTGGCTCCTGTCAATGACGCCACCCCCACTCCACGCCCATGGCACCCCCAGCTACTCCTCCCTGCCCCTCTCGAAGTATTTCCCGGAGAGAACCTGACTCTCACCCATGCTCTGCCCCACCTCTGGCAGACCCCTTGGTCCCTGTGCCTGGCCGGCTGCACCCAGGTCCCTGAGAAGCTGTGTGCCGCTGAGCTCTGCTTCTCTAAGAATGGCCCTGTAAACCCTGGTTAGACCAATGGCTGCCCGCCTAAGCCTGGCCCTGTCACCTCTGTCCCTGGGTCCCCCTGGGCCAATTCCAGCCTCTCTTCTAGAGGGTCCCCTGCTGTCTGCAGGGTTTGTGGGGACTAGGAAACTCATGTTTCCCTAGGGAGCCCGGGGGCCTGGGTCAGGGTCTCTGTCCCTCCCCCACTTCTGCCTCATCCCACCCTCACCCCAAATTCCCTCCGGAGGTCTGGGGAAGGAGTGAGCCCAGGGGTCCTGTCAGGGAGCAGGGGGCAGCAGGCCTGCTCCTGGGTCTCCCTACAGTCCCCAAAGCCAGGCTGTCCAGCAGGGAGGGTGCTTGGGGCCCAAGTTGCTGAAGGAGGCCACCTGTGGTCATCCCCCCTGGCCGCCCAGCGAGCCACACACAGGAGCCTTGTCTCTAGGCCTGGCCACCACCCCTCCAGCTCTGTGCCAAAACCACTTTCCACGGCTGGAGACGGGGTCCCAGACCAAGGCCTCAGCCCAGTGGCCCAGGTCCCAGGCCCCCAGTTCTCTTCAGAGCCCTGGGCCTATCTCTCCAGGGGCAGCTGTTGGCATGGGGGGAGAAACCCTGGGGACCACACCCTCTACACACCCCTCCACAGCCACCTGGAGCCTGGAGCCGCGTCTCCACTCCCTTCTGTCCCCCAGCCTCACACACGCCCCTGAGAAAGGCTATGGCTGTGGCTCAGGGAGCTCCCCACTGCAGCAGTTATGAAGCTGGGATATTCTCTTAGGAACTTTCCCAGCTCCCCAGGGTTGGTGGTGATGACAAGCGTCTCTCAGAGGACAGCTCTTTAAAAAATTAAAAACAAAACAAAACAAAACTCTATTACTGGACAGAGTTTCCTCAGGGATGTTATCTCTTAAGAGTCTCCTAAAGAAGACTCAGGGTGACCCCATAGTGGAGCTGGCTGTGTCCTAGGCGGGGGTCATTCCCGAGGCCTCCAGCAGGACTGAGGGGCCACGTCCTTCTCCAGCCTGCCCAGGACCGAGGCTGCTGTCACCAGCGTGTCCCATTGTGGGGAGTGGGAGAAGGCTTTACTGCTAAGTTTCCTGACATGGCAGTGGGTTTAGCCACGCCCTAGCTGTCTCTGCTGGGGGCTTGTAATCCCAGGAAAGCCCCTCTGAAGATGCCTGGGCCGTCAGTCATGAGCCCGAGGGCAGCCGCATCCCCCGCCTCTGGACTGGTTCCATTCTTCAGGTCAATCCTGGACCGCAATCTCAGGCAGTGGGGCTGACTCATGGACTCGAGGGAGGACACGCACGATCCCAAATGACAGTGAGCCCAAACCCATAGCATGAGCTAAGGCGACCACCCCATCCGTGGTGTTCTTGGAGCCCTCCAGCCTCTTCCTGGGGATGGTTAGGGGCTGGTGAGGGTTTCTAGGAAGGGAAGCCCCTCCCCAGAGCCCTGGTCAGTGGCCCCTCCTAGGGGACCCTTCCTCAGGCCAACTGTGGGCTCCACTGTCTCAGGGCCCCTGCCTGGGTCAGGGTACTGCGGCTTCCTGTTTCCAGAGCTTCCTCCTTCTCAGCCTCAGGGCCACGTGTGCTCAGGAATTCCCTCAGCTGCCTGCAGAGTCAGTTGAGGCCAGAATCCTTTGGGTGAAGTTCCCCTCAACCTCCAGACTGTTGAGAACTGGTCCCTTGTAAGCCCTTGGCTGCTGGACAGGCTTTCTCGGGAAGCAATCTTGCTGACTCTGCAGACAGTGGCTCGCTGGGTCTGGGGTGGATACCTGTGGGAAGGTATCACCCCCAACCCTGCACGGTGGCAGTTGCTGGGCTCACCTGTGGGGGCTGCTGGGTAGCCTGGTCCAGTTCTAAGATCCCTCAGGGCACCTGGAAGTCTGTCCCCTGCAGCTGAGAACCAAACCTCACCTCGGGAATCCCTTCCCAACACCTCCGCAGCAGCCGCTGTGCAGAAGAGGCCTCTGGGGGCTCAGTGGTACACACGCACCCTGAGAATGCCTCCCTTTCTGCTGCCATCAAGGGAGAGTAACGCGGTCGAGGCGCTCCCCTGCCTGCCGCCTGGTCCCTTCTCCTTGGTCGGATGACGTCTAGGAGCCTAGCAAGCAATTTCTGTTTTGGGGTGGATGGGCAGACGGGGCGGTCACCCACGGACGGGCAGACGGGGCGGTCACCCACGGACGGGCAGACGGGGCGGTCACTCACGGACGGGCAGACGGGGCGGTCACCCACGGCTGGGGCTGATCAGTCTCCCTAGCAAAGCTTCTGCTGTTTGCGGGTGGACGGGCAGACGGGGCAGTCACTCACGGCCGGGGCTGATCAGTCTCCCTAGCAAAGCTTCTGGGACAAGCGGGGAGACCCAGGATGACTGTGAGCTCAGGGGCCAGCCTCTTGGCACCTCCAGCTCCATCCCATGGCTGGGCCCAGCCTAGTTTAAATTCCCCTCGGTTGGGACAGCCACGCTCTGGAGCTTCCTCCCAGAAAACTCAGCAAGTTTGCCCCAGGCTGAGAGAGGAGAGGGCCTGGTGTCCTGCTCCCAGCAGCCGCCTCTCCCCGCACTCATGAGGCCCCTCCTTGGCTGGGCAGCGCCCCCACCCTCTCCCACCCTCTCCTGGAAGACCTGACCCCTCCCATCTTCTCCTCAGACTCCAGGGCCACCAGGGTCTCAGACCTCTGACCCCAGGGCAGGGCGGAACCTGTGCTGGCTGCCCCTCGGCTTCTTCTCCGGCTGGCCCTCCCTAACCCAAAGGGAGTATTTGCTGGTTTGTCCTTTCCTTGCCTTAAAAAAAAAAACATCAGTTTTGGCTTTAAATAAGTATTTTCTTCTCTGAGAAGGGTAAATCCATGCTCATTGCAGACTCGTTGGACAATTTTGAAAAGGATTCAGAAAAAAAAAAAATCACCCGGAATCCCGGCACCCAGAGATAATTCAATTTTCAATGAGAATCATGAGACTTTTTCGTTCCACTTGGATCCTGAGCCGTCCCAGTCATTAAATAGTCTTCAGAAACGTGCCCATTCTTGCTCTATTTTTGAACATGTGTGGCTATTTTAAACCTGGAAAGAAGCCTTAAGTAGTGAATTTTTTAGGCATTTCTAATTTTTCCTATAGATTCACTCCCTGGAGGTGGGATTCACAGCCAAACCCTACATGCCATGGTCAGAGGGCCTGAGGGTGCCTGGCCACCCTTGGGAGTCCTCCCTGGGCAGGTGTGACGTGTCCTGCGCTTGCGCCTGGGAGCTGGCTGCAATCCTTCCTAACCTTTAAACCTTACATGTAGCTAACAGACCTTTCTTCGCAGGTGCTTCTTCGGTTAGCCTGTGTGTCAGGAGGGCAGGGCAGAAGCGAGCATGTTTAACCATGAGGGGGGAGGGCTGCATGATCCCAGGCAAGAGGACGGGAAGTTTGTGCCGAGGTTCCATGGCGTGGGGGTGGTGGGGGCGGGTGTCCTAGGTGCCTTCTTTTAAAGAACTGAAAAGATGGCCTTATGGCCTGGCAGTGGTGGGAGTGGGCTGGGCTGGCCACAGGGCAAGGGGAGTCGGCAGTAGACGGGGCTGTAGGGTCTGGGGGACCTTCCCTCGACAGCAGTGGGGCAGGGTAGGTGCTGGGGCTGAGTCTCTGGGCCACTGTGTGGCTGGGCAGCAAGGAACGGGGGTCTTGGAGGGTCTCGGGTAGAGGGCCCTCTGGGGTGGAGCCCCTTGGCTCATCAGCCTGGGGCTAGGGGGCCAGGGTGGGCACCAGGCCTCCTCCATCTGGGCTCAGGGGCCACCTGGAAGCTTGCATGAAACGCAGGTTCTGGCCCAGATCAGACATGCTGAACCCCAGGGTGCATTTTAACAAGATCCCCAGATGACCCCCTAATGTCTCCAAGCTGGGTCTAAGGGTGGCAGTCCAGGGAGGGGCTCAGGGTCGAGGAGAGGAAGGTGCCAGGCCCTGCAGACCTCCAAGGGAGAGGGCAGATTGGGGGGGTGGTAGAGAGGCCCTCAGAGGCAGGTGCAGCCCGGCTGGCTTCTCAGACGTGCGGCCGTCCGCCCAGCCCGGGAGGCTCTGGCCTGGCTCTGCTGTCCCAAGGCTGCCTGAGCTGCAGCTGAGCTCCCAGTACTGGGAAGGAGGCAGGACTACGTACCAATGCAGCACTGCCCCTGCTGTGCGGACTGAGACCCTGAGCTGGGTGGGAGGCTGGGTGGACAGGCATGGGACCCAGGGGATCCCCAGGGGCCTCTGAGGAGTCCCAGCAAGTGGGGCTCAAAGGCTAGGCCCAGTGTGGCAGCCTCCTCCTCCCTCCTTCCCAGGTCCCACAGAGAGCCCTCCCATGCTGCAGTGACCAGCGGTGTTTAGGGCCCTGGTACAGGTGGGGGCGACCTACCGTGGCGAGGAGACCGGGTGAGGACTGGGGTGACTGGGGGTCCCTCGGAGTCGAGCTCTGGCCCCGGCAGGCGTGAGTGACACGTCCCTCTGTTCCCTGCACAGGACCTGTCTCCCCAGGACTCGGGACTCCTCATGGTGGCAGCGCCCGGCAATGGCCTCCCTCTGCGCCTCAGGTGGGCTCCCTGCCGGCCGCCCCAGCAGCAAGGGCGGGAGCATGGCGAGCAGGGCTGAGCGGGCGGGCAGGGCCTGGCCTGGGGCTCGGGGCTCCAAGCATGGGCGCAGTGCAAGGCGGTGGCCAACGCTGACGGTTTGAGGCTCTCTCTGACGTCATCCCTATTTCCAGCAGGACCCTGGCAGGCAGCTTTACCATTTCTTTTCTGATTACAGAAGCATTGGTCATCTTTGCAAAAGCGTTTGTCAAATTGACAATTCACACTTGCCTTCACAGCCAAGCTTCCGGCCTCGTTCTGTTCATGAAACAGGAATCATATCATCTGTGCAGCGTCAAATAGACTCTTCAATTTCCACATGGAGTCCTGTTTGTCACTCACTGATTTTGCAAAGAGGAGGAGTGGCCAGCCCTGGGGCGTGAGGATGGCTTCCTCTCACTCCTTGTCTTTGTCTTGCTGACAGTGGAGAAATCACACTTCCTTGTTGCCTTAACCTGCATTTCTTTCATTACTGGTGGGGTGGACCATCTTTTAATTTAATTCTTGGCCAGTCGGGCTTCCTCTTCTGGAAGCCTCTGACCATGGCCATAGCCTGGTGCGGGTTGGGGTGCGAGGCCTGTCCCCTCCGGCCCTCACCCCTTGTTCCGGGTGTGGTGACGGTTTCCTCAGCTGTCTGTGAGGTGGGCTTTTTGGGTGAATTGTGGTCTACGTTGCTAACTGTGAAGGTGTGTCCTTTAGGGCTGCCTCCGTTTCATGTTTAGAAACCCCCGTCTACCCTGAAACTGGGGTGATGAAACCCACATCTCCTCTGTGTTCAGTTTTCGTTTGGAATGTAGTCTGGTGGGAATAGGGCAGGATGCAGGTAAAGTTTGGTTCCAGATGCTCAGCGGTTACTTTGGCCCTGTCCGTCGTCCTGCACATCAGGTGTTCGTTTCAGGCTCTGGGTGTGGGTCTGCACCTGGTCCAGGCCCTGAGCCACCACTGGAACTCTGCGGTGTGTCCCGGCCCTGCAGGGGTGATTGGGCCTCTGCATTTGGTGCTTCCAGCTTCTTAGCTACTTTCACACCCTTTTCCTCCATGTGCATTTTAAAGACAGCAGTTATGGGCTGTCTGGAGCCTCTAGAGCAGCCCAGACTTTCCTGTGAGCTCCCAGCACCCACAAGGGTCCCAGGCTTGCAGGGGGCAGGAGGCCACAGGCTGGCAGGCAGGGCAAGGGGTGCCTCTCTGCCTCCTGGTCCCCGCAGATCGCCCAGACCCAGGGCTCGTGGGAGTGTCCTTGGGTGAGTGCCTCCCCAGGGAGGAAGAGCTCACCAGCAGGATCAGGGCCATGGAGGTCATGGAGCAGAGCCAGGTGCTGGAGACCATCCTAAACCAGCTGGTGGAACACAGCCAGGTAGGATCCCCAGCCACGCTCTGCACCCTCTGTGGCCCTGACATGTACAGAGCCATGGGGCTCCGGGGGGCCTCTGCAGGACTCACTGGGCAGCTGGTGGCCTTGTCAAGCCCGGAGCCCACGCCTCCCAAGCTCAGCTGCCATCACTCCCTTGTCACCTCGGCTCCCACAAGCCCCGGCCATCCCTAAAGCCCCTGACTTTCCCGCTGGAAGGTGCAGAAGTGGTGAGGAAGTCAGGACCGACACTGCTGCTCCCTGCGAGGAAAAGGGCAGGGGGCGGCCCAGGCTGCAGCCACTCTGAGCCCAGCCCTGGTCTGTCTGCTCTTGACCTGCAGGACGGGGAGGGCCTGAGGCGTCCCCAGGGCACCAGCTCAGCCTCCTAGGCTTGTTCTCACACCAGGCCTGGGAGTGGGGGCAGCAGGACCCCCTTGTTCTGTGTGCCCCAGCCCTCTTTGGGGGGCCATCCTCTAGACTTGCTAAGGGCCTGGACCACTGCCAGGGCTTGTTGAGGGTCCCGGGGTTCAGGGGCCGTCCTGGCCTCTTGCCTCTGCATTCCTGCTGCGGCCTGATTCACGTGCAGCCTCCGCATGCCCCTCACCTCTCAGGGCTGCTGTCAGCCTCCTTCACTCTGAGAGACGGGTTATTTGGGGGCCAGGGCCTGGTAGACAGGCAGGTGGAGACACCCCAGCAGGGCCTGAGTGCTTACAAAGGGGGACACACAGTAGGGCATTGGGGCCGACTGCCAATGAAGGTACAAGAGGTGGGAGAGAAAGTTGCCCAGGTGGCGGGGACAGGCTGTGCAAAGGCCCTGGGGCCAGCATGAGGCATCACAGAAGGGCGGGGGCACTCCCAGGCACGGGGGCAGGGCCAGGGCATCCAGGCTTGCAGGCTGCCCTGTTAAGGGTTTGGCCTCTGTCCTAAGGGTAAGGTCTTTGGGGTGGTGGGGTCTTAAGCAGAGGAGCCTGTGGCCAGAATCACACTTGAGCCTGAGCCCCCAGCTGTGGGTGGGGCCTCAACCCGACCCTTTCCTTCCACCCTTTGAGAGTAGACTGTGTTCTCCACCTGCCCATGGGTCCTGGTGGGACCATCTCTGTTCTGTCCACTCTGGGCCCTGTCCTCCTGTCCCTGGCAGGAGGGCTGGGGGCAGGGAGTCCATGCCCTGGGCACCTTGTTCTGCCATAGCTGGCCGGGAAGGAGCAGGCCTCAGACACCGAGGACAGTGGCATCCAGGAGCTTCTGCAGCTCTTGAGCCTAGACTCCCAGCAGGCTTCAGAGAAGGCTGGTGCCCAGGTGTGGAAGGGCTGTCAGTTCCCTCCCCTCCCAAAGTGACTGCAGGGACTCCAAGCCCTCTGGATCTGGAAGGTGGTGGATGGACATGAGACCTGCCGCTCTGTGGCTCCTGCACCCACGGGCAGGCTCTGGGGGTGCAGAGGGGAGGGGAGCAGGCAGCGTCCCTGCAGTGAGAGTTCTGCCCAGGGCGTCTGAGGTCCCCAGGCTGGGAGTCCAGCATGGCCAGGGCCCTGTGCACAGCATGGCCCGCGTGGCAGGCAGGGTGTACGGCAGCACTCAGCGGGCTGGGGTATGTGCTTGGGACCCACAAGGAGCAAGGCCCACCCAGTCCTGGGCTCTGTGTTCTAAGGCAGCTCCCCCGGCCCCAGACTCAGGCGCCAGTGTAGACACCTCCTGCAGGAGTCACCAGGCTTGAAGTCCTGGAGCAGCCCCCACGGAGCAGCAGGCAGCCATGGGGCGGGGGTAGGGGCCCAGCACCTGCTTCCCTCCAGCCTGGGTGGCTCTGCAGACGGACCTGTGAGTGCCGCTCAGAGAGGCAGGCTGGACCCAGCAGCAGCATCCCCTTTCCCTTGGCGTCCCGCCCAGAACTTCCCCTTCCACTTGTACAGGCTGGTCCTTCGAGACTGCGCTGGCGTGGAGCTGGTGCGGAAGCACATGGGCTGCCTCCTGGAGATGCCCCACCAGTCCTCCAACCAAAGGGAGGTGGGTGTTAGCACCCTGGGGACCCTCTGGTCAGCACAGCTCTGGCCCTGCCTCAGATGGGCCCCTGCTGATCCCGGGCCCCTGCTGATCCCAGGCCCCTGTCCCTCACTTCACGATCCTGTGTGATCCTCGAGGCACTGGAGTGTCTTGTCAGGTGCTGATGGGCAGGAACCGAGACCTGCCAGGCTGCGTGTGTCCTGGGCCCACCTTGGCAGAGGGGTCCCTGCTGGGGGGAATGGGACCCCCTGCCCAGTGCAAGCTGCGGCCCCCAGGGAGGGCTGGGAGTGTCTTCACTGTCTCTTGAGGACCAGCCCAAAGCACCCCCGGGTCCCCAGTCCGCAGGGCATTGCGATTGCTGTGGGATGGACGTCCACCTCGCATCTGGAGGAGGTGTGGGCCCTGCTGGAGGTTGGCCCTCCCGTCCTCAGACAGCCAGGTAGAGAGGCCCTGAGCATGAGGCTGATGCCAAACAGGGCGACGTGGCAGGGAGGGCGCAGGCCTTGGCCCCTGGGCCTGGGGAACGTCACCTGTGTCTCTGAGCCTCGGTCTGCTCATTGATGACACAAGGGATTTCTGGCCCCGCTGTCCTCCCTGAAGGGCTGGTGTGGGGGACCCAGGCTGGATCATGGCGAAAGCATCTCTGTACTTGCCTTGGCCACAGAGGCGAGTCTTGGGACCCCAAAGTTCGGTCTGGAGCTGCACTTGGGCTGAGGACCAGGGCCATGGGGCCTGCCCTGGCCCCAGGTGGTGTGTGTGGCTGGGCCTCAGTGTCCTCAGCTGCGCACCTGAGCCGGGAGGACATGTGGAGCAACTTCATTGTCTTGGCCGTCCCTACCCTGGGGCCTCGCTGGGAGAGAACAAGAGACACTGGAAGGAGGAGGTGCTGCCCGGGCATGCACGGGGTTCCCCGAGGGCCCACAAATAGAGGGGCTTCCTGGAGGAGGGGACTGGCACGAGTCCCGGGAACATGGTCCGACGCAGGGTGTGGACACGGCTGGCATTTGTCCTGACCCTGTGCGCAGGGCTTGAAGCTTTCTCCACCGTGGAAGGGGTGGGAGCTGTGTTGGTGTCAGGGGCGAGCCGAGAGCAGAGTCCCCCGAAGGCCCAGCTCCCACTGCCCGTCCCCCACAGCCAGGCCTTGATCTGCACAGGAGATGGGTCAGCAGCACCACCCTGCTGTGCTATGGACAGATGGCCCTGCATGCCAAGGAGAAGATCCTGCCCTGGGTGGACAACGTTGCCTCCAGGATGGTGTACTACTTCTCATCCAGCCCCCACGTGAGTCCCCCGCACAGCAGGGACCGAAAGGCAGAGAAAGGCAGCGGAGGCCGGGGGCCGCACACTCAGGGAGCAGCTTAGGAGACAGGCCCCTTGCAGTCACCTCACCCAATCCAGCACTGACTCCCGAGGCAGCGCTTACAAGGGGATGCAGGGCTCAGGTGGGGGATGAGACCAGGCGGAGCCCACCCCACGTGCTGCTCCCCGAGCCCCAGGTCACCCCAGCATCACCTGCCGCTCTGGGTCCGGCCGCCCTGGCTGTTGGGGCTGGGGTGAGGCCTAACAAGGCCAGGGCAGAAGGCAGAGGGTGGTGGGGCCCCCTCTCCGCACAGCCCTGGGCCTAGGGAGGTGGGCGTGCCCTTTGCTTTAAAAGGCAACAAGTCAAGCGCTCCCACATCCAAACACTGCATGGGAAACACCAAGAGCACGGCCGCTGCAGCTGCCTGGGCGCCTGGGGAGGGGTGCGGGGTGCACAGCGTGAGGCGTGGGTGGTAAGGCTCCTGTGTGGGAGGGGGATGTTTGTTGTGCATGTGTGTCCTATGTTGCGTGCAGAGACCCAGCCGTCTCTGCTCTCACACACGGCCACCCCGAGGCCTGTTTGGGAGCCACCACTCAGAGTGCACTGAAGGCCTTGCCCCCGCAGGTCCCTCTCATGACCCGTGAGGCATTGGGGCCACCCACCCCTGTCTCCCCAGATGGACCCTTCCCCTGTGGAAGGCCCTGGCTGCCAACCTCCAGCTGGCCCGCAAGGTGATCACCCTGCTCTACATGAAGCTGAAACTGCGGCCCCCCCAGGAGCTCATCAGCCCCAACCCCCAGGCCCAGCTCATCTCCCTGCTGGTGAGTGGCACCCGTGTCCCCGAGACACACTCACCCTGCGTCCCTACCCCAGTCCCCCTCTGCAATGGCATTGTCATTCAGGGGCCTACGAGATGCCAGGGTGACCCTTACCAGTGCCACCAAGTGCCCATAGCCCTGGGCCCTCCTCATGGCCTGGGGCTGCACCTGCAGGGGCCTGTTGTCACCTGTGGGGGGCTGTTGTCACCTGTGGAGGTGGGCACCATGTCACTGCTCACCGTGACTCCTGCCCCTGCACACACCAGGGATGTGCCAGGTGCCTGGTGTGTTCACTGAGGGGTCAACCTTGGCCACCGTCAGCAGCTGTCTCTCTGCATCCCGCCAGAGGGAAGGTCAAGCCCCCACTGTCATAACAAGCAGCCTCCAGAGCACACTGGGGACAGCAGCGGCCCAGGCTGCCCTCAGGGACTCATTCACTGGCAATCACGCACTGTGTGGCCCCGTGGTCATCAGAACAATAAGGCCCCAGGGCTGGGCCTGGTGGGAGGCCAAAGGGAGGCCTGGGGAGCGGCAGTGAGGGTGGACACAGGGCAAGGGCATCTGTGGCCAGGCTGGCACAAGGGGCAAGCTGGGCCTGACTGCACAGAGCCGGGGCCATGGCCAGCACCTGAGCCCCATGCAAGAGGCCACAGAAGGCTCCACTTAAGAGGGACTCCCTTAGCTCTGCCCT
This sequence comes from Homo sapiens, assembly GCF_000001405.40. Classification (NCBI taxonomy): domain Eukaryota; kingdom Metazoa; phylum Chordata; class Mammalia; order Primates; family Hominidae; genus Homo; species Homo sapiens. The sequence continues at coordinate 142,572,996 of NC_000008.11, read as the reverse complement.
TTAAAAAGAGGACTCTGGCCAGGCGCAGTGGCTCACGCCTGTAATCCCATCACTTTGGGAGGCCAAGACAGGCAGATCACTTGAGGTCAGGGTTTTGAGACCAGCCTGGCCAACATAGTGAAACCCCGTCTCTACTAAAAATACAAAAATCAGTAGAGCGTGGTGGTACACGCCTGTAATCCCAGCTACTCTGGAGGCTGAGGCAGGAGAGTTGCTTGAACCAGGGAGGTAGAGGTTGCAGTGAGCTGAGATCACACCACTGTACTCCAGCCTGGGTGACAGGGCGAGACTATGTCTCAAAAAAAAGAAAAATAAAGAAAAATATAGAGGACTCTGGGGCGAGGGGAGGGGCCAGAGAAGGCTGCACTGCATCCAGGGACACCGCAGGCAGGGGGCTCATTGGCCACAGAACTGGTGAGAGAATCATTCAGAGGAAGTGCCAGGGGCAGGGCTCAGCAGCTGTTCTCAGCCCAACCCTGCAGAAAGGGTGTTGGGGGTCAGCCTTGTGAGCTGGTGGTGGACACCAGAAACCAGGGTCCAGGACAGGCCAGCAAGCCTGGGGTGGTCTCCAGCAAGAGCAGGTGGTCTGGGCAGAACACCCCAGACGCTGGGAAGGACACCTGGAGAGCTGGGGTGAGGGCCAGGCCAAAGGTCACCAGCTGGTGGAGCTGAGCCAGGGAGAGGGAGGCAGGTGGTGTGTGGGGCCAGGAGGGGCTTGGAGCTTGAGGCAAAGCCATGAGATGAGGACCCTGCACGGGCACTCCCGGTCCTGCCTCTCGCCGTGCCTGCCTCTCCTGGCCCTGCCACAGGGCTACTGCAGGAAGGGGAAGCAGGAGCCAGCCCAGGTCCAGCCAGAAATCACCAAGGGCTCTTGATGCTGACCCCAGGATGGGGCCAACCGTGGGCTGCAGGGGCCGGGGGCAGAGAGGCCGTGCGGCTCTGCTCCCAGCTCTTACTCTCGCGGGTCCTCATCTAGGCTTTGCTCTGTCGCCCGCTGTAGGCCCTGGACACCATTTATGAGCTGCTCTACACCCAGGAGGACAAGCCCACAGTCCACTGGGCCTTTGCAGGGGTCCTGCTGGGGCTGCTGACACAGCTGCATTACCTGTTTGAGCTGGGCATGGTGGAGGGCGTGGCGGAGTACCAGGAAGACATCCTGGACATGGAGCCCTGGACACCCCGCAGGTGGGACCTGTGCCCAGCCCCACGCCTTGCCCCTGCTCCTGGCTCCTCCCACACATTCGGGAGACCCTGGGATAAGGGCTGGGAACCCAGGAAAGAATGCACTCCGGTCCCACCTGTGGGCCTGTGGGGGAGCGGGGGACTGAGTCTCAATCTTGGCCAGGAGAGGACCCCAAGCGAGGGGAGCCCAGGGTTGACAGCACCCCTGGCCCCAGGTGGAGAGTGACCCCCTCCCTGACCTCGTCTCCCAGGACGTGCCTGGAAGCCCTGAAGGTCGTCTTCTGGACCAAGGGCTGCTGGGAGGTGTTCGCCTACCTCAAGCTGCGGAAGGGCTGGGAGCTCTTCCAGTGCTGGAAACCTATGCAGGGTGGGTGGCCCTCTTGGCCAGGTTAGCCCCATGCCTGGGGCCCAGACAGCACCCTGATGGGCTCCTGCCTGCACCCCACCTCACACTGGGACCCTGCACCCAGACTCAGTCTCCTGGGCCCGCTCCCTAAGTACCGAAGTCAGCCAGGAGTGTGGGGTGTCAGGAGTCCATCCCTCTGCCCCAGGCATGGCCCGAGAATGGGGCCTGCAGGAGCCCTGCACCTTCCCTTCCATCTGACAGGGCCATGGTCCCCTACAACTGTGAGGTCAAGGCGGTCTTGGGGCAGGCAGCCATTGCTCTTCAGAGCACCGAGGAGCGGGACAGCGTCGTGGCCATCCTCATCATCACAGAGGTCCACCTCCCCAGCCCAGTTCACCTCTGCTTCTCACTGCCCTCTGCCCCTTCAGAAGCATGTCAGAGAACCAGCCATCCATTCCCGTCCTCCAACATAAAGGCACCCACCGGGTGCAGTGGCTCATTCCTGGCATCCTAGCACCTCGGGAGGCTGAGGCAGGAGGATTGCTTGAGCCCAGGAGTGCGAGACCAGCCTGGGCAACAAAGGGAGACCTCTTCTCTACGTACATACACACACACATGCATGTGTACATACATGCACACACGCATACATACACAGCACATGCATGCACACATGCGTATACATACACATAGGTACATGCATAACTGGGCGTGGTGGTGCACGCCTATAGTCCCAGGTATTTGGGAGGCTGAGGTAGAAGGATGTCTTGAGCCCAGGAGGTCGAGGCTGCAGCGAGCTGTGATTGCACCACTGCACTCCAGCTTGGGGAGAGTAAGACCCTGTCTCAAAACACATTTTTTTATAAAGGCACGCTAACTCCTGCCTTCCACATGCAACACTTGATGGCTGTCTCGAGGGCCTCCTGTGTCTCACCCTCTGTCTCCCGTGGTGTACAGGCTGACTCTCCCTGGCTGCTGTCATTGACTGGTGGGCTAACTGTGCTGATCTCAGTTTCTCAACAGCCCGGAGGTCTCCCAGTGGGCGTCTCGGAAAACCGTGAACAACTTCCTGAGCATGGGCCTGAATCATCCCAGCCAGCTGGTGAGGGTCAGGAGCCTGAGGGGCCTCAGCAGTGCCTTAATGCACCCCAAGAAGGTGAGAGGAGACGGGAGTGCTCCAGGAGGGCACCCACTTCCATCCTAGGAAACGGGGAGGAGCTGGTGCCAGGAAGTCTCTGCTGCAGGCATCGCATTGGAAGGAATGGGTGGGGAGGGCAGCAGTGTTTGGGAGCCCCTGTGGCACTGCACAGGGCTGGGGAGCCCAGAATCTCTGAGCTGAGGTCAGCGCCTCCGGCCTCCTTTGCGGGTGGGAAGGAACCCCGCATCAGCAGCCTCCCACTGGGGCTGTGGTTCAGCTGGGGCTGAGGTCCCCAGGCTTTTCTTCCCTCTGTTAAGTGGTGTGAAAGGAGGCAGGGAGTGGCCTGCAGCCAACCTCTGCCAGGGGCTCAATCGTCCGCCCTCTGCCCACTCAGCCACTTCAGAGGCAGTCGCTATGCGCTGGGCTTGGGGCAGAGCAGATACATTCCCCACTCAGGAAGCTCAGAGCCCCCTGGGAATCAGAAGAGCCCTGTGGCCGGCAGCCAGGGAGCCGCCCCATTAGGGGAAGCTTGGGGAAGTTTCCTGCACAGAGCAGCTGGGCAGGGGTCCCACGTGTAGGGCCAGGTCTCCCCGCAGGTGGTCTTGCTCCAGGTCCAGCTGATGGGGCTGCTGGACAGCTTCCTGAAGACTGAGCCCGAGGACCTCACAGGCCTGATGGAGATCCTGGGTGACATTCTTCACCGCCTGGGCACCCAGGGCCTCGGTGCCATCAGCGTCATGATGGCCCAGCACCTGCTGCCCTTGGTCGAGGACGTGAGCAGGCCTGCCATGGGCAGGGGTGGTGGGTGGGCCCCAGGGGACCTCAGGCCCTCTGACCCCTGGCTGTCCCGGCTGAGGGGGACCCCTGCCAGCAGGGTGCTTAAATGGCCTCACCCAAGCCCACCCCTGGAAGAAGCCAGAGCTGCCCACGGGCTGGTGGAGCTGCCGGGCGAGGACCATGGGAGGGAAGGGGGTTTCTGCCCGCGGGGCTCATGCACTCCCACTGTAGAGGAACGCTGGGGGCCAAGGGATAGGTCCTCCAGCTGGGAGGGCGAGTGGGCTGGGGTTTAGAAAGACCCCTGGGTCGACCAGGTGAGAATGGATGGGGACTTTGAATCACTTAGGGGAGGTGAGGAGTGCAGGGTGGAGGGCTGACCCAGGGCAGGGCAGCTGCATGAGGGTGTCGTGAGCCCACAGCCGCCAGGGACTGACTGGACCCTGGGGAGTTGGAGGGCCGGGAGCGGCCCCAGGTGGGGTCTGAGAGCCGGGAGTGGCCCCAGGTAGGGTCCCAGGTGGGAGATAGTTGCTGCCTTCCGGAGCTGGATCCCGTGTGGGGCAGGGAGCTGCTGCCTTTCGCAGAGGTGTCTGGGGGCTGTCGGATACAGACTGAGGAGGATGTAACCAAATGGGAAAGTGAGGGATGCAGCCATATGTTCAGAAGGAAGAGAAGGCTGAGGTCACCAGGATACTTGTTGGGGGAGGCTGACCCCTATCCAGACCTCAGAAGCTGCAGTTAAAAAGTTACCTGGAGGCCGAGGTCCACTGCATTCTCTGAGCAGATGGGCAAGGGCAGGAAGGTGAGGCTGAGGCCTAGCGGGGGAGCAGAAAGTCCCCCTTGTTCTGTTGATATCCATGGATTTGTCAAGCACCTGCTGTGAGTGGGGCCCTCATTGTGGGTGTGGAAAGGAGGCGGCCCCTCCCCATGAGGAGCACAGTACTATGGGGACAGATGTGTGAGCCCCAGAGTACCAGGCAGGGGCCCTGGCAGATGGACTCAGGAGGCTAAGGGCTTTGGAGAATGAAAACCAGATGGACCAAGTCCTCCCAGCTCAGCAAGGGGCAGGGAAGCCAGGCCTGGGATGGGGACTGCGTGGATTGCCAGGGCCACCTGTGGGCTGGGTGGCAAAACAGCAGAAATGCATTGTCTCTGAGTTCTGAAGCTCATGAGTTCGCGATGAGGCGTCAACAGGGCTACCTCCTCCTGGGGCCTCTCTCCTTGGCTTGCGGACGGGTGCCCTCTCCCCGAGTCCTCACAAGGCCGTCCCTCTGTGTGCCTGTACCCTACTCTCTTCCTCTTAGAAGGACACCAGGAATCCTGGACTGCGGCCCACCTTAATGATCTCATTTTACCTTAGTCACTTCTTTTTGTTTTGTTTGTTTGTTTGTTTTTGTTTTTGAGACAGGATGTCCCTCTGTTGCCCAGGCTGGAGTGCAGTGGCGCAATCTCAGCTCACTGTAACCTCCACCTCCTAAGTTCAAGTGATTCTCCTGCCTCAGCTTCCCGAGTAGCTGGGACTACTTGCACACCAAGCCCAGCTAATTTTTTTGTGTTTTTAGTGTTTCACCATGTTGGCCAGGCTGGTCTCGAACTCCTGACCTTGAGTGATCCGCCCACCTCAGCCTCCCAAAGTGCTGGGATTACAGGCAAGAGTCACTGCACCTGGCCCTTAATCACCTCTTTAAAGACCCTGTCTCCAATCACAGTGGCCCCCGATAGCTCAGTTCCAGGGTTCAGAGCTTCAGCATGTGAATCTGGTGGCCAGAGTTCAGCCCACAGCAGGGGTTTTTCTAAGGGAGGCCTGAGCCTGGGCTGGTGGCTGTGGGTGCTGGTGGCCTCTGGCCCTCCCTTGCACCCCTGTCCCTCATCCCTCTGGTCCTCGAGAGAGGCCCTCGGGTCAAGAAGGAGGCCTGGGCAGCCAGGGTGACCACTGGCCTCCCTGGGAGCTTGGTGAGAGTTACCGCAGGACACCCATGGGGACTGAGGTGGACACAGTGCTGTCAGACCTCCTCTCCCTCTGGCAGGCCAGCCCCTCCGGGGCACCAGCAGACTGTGCGGCCAGGGACAGCAGGGCTGCGGAGGCCCCTGGGCTCTTCGAGGGAGGGGCATGGTGATGGGGAGGGGAGCCCGGACCTCCTGGGGTGACCTATCTTTCTGCTGTGCACCCACAGAAGACCACGCTCACCTTCCTACGCTGAGCCATCTTGCTGAAGCGGAAGTTCCGGAAGGAGCTGTTTAGCAAGTTGGCATGGGGCCACAGGCTGGGCGCCGAGAACCACATTTTTATCTTCATGGTAAGATGTGGGCGCCCTCTCGGAGGAGGACAAGCGGGGCCAGGGAGGAGGGGAGGGCTGTGTGCGGTTGCCCAGCACCCTGAGGGGTGTCCATGTGAGGATGGAGCAGCTGCTGGAGGGTCCGGGCGGCAGTGGACACGGTGAGGGGAGCCTTGCGGGCCTCAAGTCCCAGGGCCGACCTGAGGAGGGCCCTCAGCCCCTAGAAGCCCACCCCACAGATCCTGCTGGCCCAGCTCTCTGGCCAGGAGCACACCCCTGCAAGAGGCAGATGAAGGGGGCGGGGGCGAGCGAGAAACACCACTCCCCTGTTTTCCAGCTGCCAATTTCATCTCTGACTGCATCTCTCATTCTGTCCTACAAGTGGGGAAAACAGACCCCCGGCCTTGGCCAGGCTGCCAGGGCAGCAGCGCCAGGCTCTTCAGCAGGGCCAAGGTCGCCAGTGGGCCCAGCAGGCCTGATCTCCACCCGTACTGATCTCAGCCCACACGGGGTCCCTGCATTTGGGCACTGGGTGCCCAGCGCTGGCTGCGGGCCCTGCCTCACTCCAGCTGCTGGCAGAATTCCTCTGCCTGAAAACCCCACCAGGCTCCCAAAGGGCTGGGGAGGAGCCCGAAAGCTGAAAGGTTTCCTGTTGTCTGCATCCTTGACCCTGCCGCCTCCTTCCTGCCAGGGTTTGAAGGGAAGAGCCACTACCAGCTTGAATGCAGAGGGAGAGGAAATCCCAGGGGGAAGGTCCTGAGGCTGCCCCCCAACTGCAGTGGCAGAGGTGAGCAGTTAGAGGTCAAAGGAGGCCATGTTTCTCTGGACAGGAGCAATCAGGGAAAACTTCCTGGAAGAAGCAGAGGCTGGGGCTGGATGTGGGGAAAGGAACAAACATTTCCTGAGAGGGTGGGGATGTAATTCTCAAAGGTAGGGGAGGGCGGGAATCTGATGGAGCAAAGGTTCCCAGGAAGAGATACATCTGGCTTCTACAGGGAACCCTGAAAGCCAGAGAGCCAGAGCTGGCCGGGCAGGGCCCCTCGGCTGCAAGCCACCTGCGCAGATCCTCCCCGCGTCCTATATGAGGTTGTCTGTGTTTCACTTGGAAAAGTGTGAGAATTCTTTCTATGCCGTTCCTGCATCCTTAGCCAACTATTGGCATTGCAAATATTTTTGCACAGTGACCTGTCCTTTGACCTTGTTTATGGTGTTTCTGGTTGGACGGAAGTTTTTGGTTTTAATGGAGCCAAATGTATTCCTTTTCTGTGCTTCGTGCTTTGGGGCCTTTTTTTCTTTTTGAGACAGTGTCTCTCTCTCTCTGCCCAGGCTGGAGTGCAGTGGCCATCCACAGGCACAATCCTAGCTCACTGCACCCTGGAACTCCTGGGCTCAAGCAATCCTCTTGCCTCAGCCTCCCGAGTAGCTGGGACCCCAGGGGCCTGCCACAACACCCAGATAATTTTTGTACTTTTTGTGGAGACAGAGTTTTGCAATGTTGGCCAGGCTGGTCTCGAACTCCTGAGCTCAGGTGACCCTCCTGCCTTGGCCTCCCAAAGTGCTGGGATTAGAAGCGTGAGCCACTGCACCCGGGTGGGATCTTGTTGAGAACTTCCTCCTTGCTCTGTGGAATTGTATTGGTACTGGGAGGTGTCCAGGAGATAGATCAGCAGTGACAGGCTCGGGGCTGGGAGGGGCTGTGCCTTATGATGTGAGTGTGGCGCCGAGCTCCCTGACATGGGAATGGGATGCTGGTTGCCCACTGCATGCCATGGTGCCGTCTGTCCTCAGGCTGTCACCCCTGGCTGGTGACAGTGACAGCGGAAACATTGACCTTGGGAGCCCAAGAGCTGCTGCACTTGACCGCTAGAGCACAATCAGGACTTGAGTATTCTGTATCCCTCGGAGCCTGTTCCTGAGATGGGCACCACACAGCAGTTTGAGCAGGGAAGTGTAATATGAAGAATGATTCAGTGCCACGGGGAATGGGAGTTAGAAGGGGCTGGCTAGTAAGAAGTACAGAGAGCTCTGAAGAATGCAGCAGCGGCAGGAATGACACGTCTATAGAACACTAGCGGGTGTCCTGCCATGTAAGGCGGAAGAGCCCCTCCCTGGGCTGAGGCAAGTGCTCACAGCAGACCTCCCCTCCTGGGCAGCTCGCTCCTGCAGCAGAGAAGCCAGTGGGTGCAGAGACTGCTGGACACGAGCCCTCTGAGATGCAGGAGAAGTTGCTCACAGGGAGGTGTCGCACGGGTGATACTCCCTTACCAAACCGCCCCGGGGGTTCGGGCACAGCTGCCCCTTCCCGTGGCTGGCCCCATGCTCCACAGGAGCTGAGCGCTGGGGCAGTGGCCTCCCTGCAGGAGCCTGGCCCTGGAGATCCTACAGCCCACGGAGCAGAGGGGCTCCCTCCTTCGGTGCGTCTCACTGCTGTCTTCTGACCACACCCCAGGACCCACCAGCAGAGGAAGGTATTCAGGGGGCTCACATCCATTTTCACACACCAGGAAAAACAGCTGAACTTGGAGAGGTAAAAAAAGCCAAAAAACAAAAAGCACATGAGGGGCACAAAGATCTCACATGTTTGCTGTGAGTGACCTTCTCACCCCATTCCGGTCCATGTGTCTTAACCCCGGTTTCACATTTTCTGTCTCTTTTATGTCTCGATGGTGCATTGATTTATCTCCCAGTTCATTCTTTCTCTATCCCTCATTGGCTGTTAAAACATCCGCCGACTTTGTCACAACAGCGATGGTCTTCGCTTTGTCTCCTGCACTCTGTTCCAGGTGCGCCTGTTCCTTCTCTGCAGTGTCTTGCCTTCTTCTTAGGAGTTCCTGTTTCCCACAAATGTAACCATTTAAAAAACACCTTGTCATCTCCTCTGCATGGCTCACCTCTGGGACATTCTCAGGGTCTGGCCTTGCCGTTGGCTGTGCTTTCTGTCTCTTGCTCATGGTGGCTTCTCACCTGCTCACGTTGCTGCTGCGTATCGTGGGCTTCTCCTGTGTATCATGGGCTTCTCCTGCGTATCGTGGGCTTCTCCTGCATGTCGTGGGCTTCTCCTGCGTGTCATGGGCCTCTCCTGCGTGTCGTCGGCTTCTCCTGCATATCGTGGGCTTCTCCTGCATGTCGTCGGTTTCTCCTGCGTGTCGTCGGCTTCTCCTGCATGTCATTGGCTTCTCCTGTGTATTGTGGGCTTCTCCTGCGTATCATGGGCTTCTCCTGCATATCGTGGGCTTCTCCTGCATGTCATCGGCTTCTCCTGCATATCGTGGGCCTCTCCTGCCTGTCGTGGGCTTCTCCTGCATGTCGTCAGCTTCTCCTGCATGTCGTGGGCTTCTCCTGCATATCATGGGCCTCTCCTGCATGTCGTGGGCTTCTCCTGCGTGTCGTCGGCTTCTCCTGCATATCATGGGCTTCTCCTGCGTGTCGTTGGCTTCTCCTGCGTGTCGTGGGTTTCTCCTGCGTGTCGTCGGCTTCTCCTGCGTGTCGTCGGCTTCTCCTGTGTATCATGGGCTTCTCCTGCGTGTCGTGGGCTTCTCCTGCGTATCTTGGGCTTCTCCTGCATGTCGTCGGCTTCTCCTGCATATCTTGGGCCTCTCCTGCATATCATGGGCTTCTCCTGCATATCGTGGGCCTCTCCTGCATGTCATCAGCTTCTCCTGCGTGTTGTGGGCTTCTCCTGCGCATCATGGGCTTCTCCTGCGTATCGTGGGCTTCTCCTGCATATCATGGGCCTCTCCTGCATGTCGTCGGCTTCTCCTGCGTATCATGGGCTTCTCCTGTGTGTGTGGTGGGCTTCTGCATATCGTGGGCTTCTCCTGCATATCATGGGCTTCTCCTGCGTGTCGTTGGTTTCTCCTGTGTGTCGTTGGCTTCTCCTGTGTGTCGTCGGCTTCTCCTGCATATCGTGGGCCTCTCCTGCATATCATGGGCCTCTCCTGCATGTCGTCGGCTTCTCCTGCGTATCGTGGGCTTCTCCTGTGTGTGTGGTGGGCTTCTGCATATCGTGGGCTTCTCCTGCATATCATGGGCTTCTCCTGCATGTTGTCGGCTTCTCCTGCATGTCGTGGGCTTCTCCTGTGTGTGGTGGGCTTCTCCTGCGTATTGTGGGCTTCTCCTGTGTGTGGTGGGCTTCTGCATGTCGTGGGCTTCTCCTGCATATCGTGGGCTTCTCCTGTGTGTCATCGGCTTCTCCTGCGTGTCGTGGGCTTCTCCTGCATATCATGGGCTTCTCTTGCATATCGTGGGCTTCTTCGTGAAGCCCTGGCATTGGGCTCAAGGCTATGTGTGCCAGGGTCTTTGTGTTTGCTGCTGATACGGAATGAATTTCTGCATTAACTCCCCAGCTCTGGGGTCCCCACTAAATGCTGGCGGTGGAAACTGAAACCCTAAACCCTCCTGTGGGGCTTGACCATGGTTATCACCCCTGAAGAAAACATCTTTTTCTGCAGGCTGAGACAGACACAAACCCCCTAGCAATAACAAACCAGCAGTGGAATCAAGAATAGCAACCATGGAAGCCAGAAGAGGGTGGAACGAGGTTTCACAACTGTGGCTGATCCTGTCTCCTGGGCCAAAAGCCTGGGAGGTGGGCAGACTGCTAGAGATGGCAATGAGAAGGCAGCTTGAGGCCAGCTTCCTAAGTTCTGTTCATGCTGCACCTACCCCTGCCACACACACATTCCCTTGGGGTAGTCAGTGTCTGCCTCTTCATTGAAGAGCTTGGGGGCAGTAGCCCAGGTCCTAGTGCAGGGGTCCTTGGGTGACACTGGGGACTAATGCAAGATGTTAATAATAGAGGAGACTCTGGGGGCAGGGTGAAGGTGTGTGTATGAAACATGATAAAAATAAAATTTAAAAAATGAAAAGTAAAAATGCAAGAAGGACCACATGGAAATTTTAGAATTGAAAAGTACAATAACTGAAATAAGAAAAATTCCCTGGATCGTCTCAATAGCGTACAATGGAGATAAGAGGAGAAGAGTGACCTTGAAGATCAATAGAAATTATCCAATCTGAACAACAGAGAGAAAAGTGATGGACCAAAAATGAAGGGAACCTTAGGGCCCACGACACCAACAGTCAGATTATCAGACTTCCAGAAGAAGAGGAGACAGTGGATGGTATAGGAAGATTCAATAAATAACAGCTCAAATTGCTTGAATCTTGGCAAAGACAGAAACTTACAGATTCAGATATGAACACAAAACAGGATAAACAAAGAGAAATCCATGTTGATGAAGAAACATCCTAATCAAGCTGCTGAAAGACAAGAACATCTGAGGCCAGCCAGAACAAAAATGCTGTAGACATATGGAAGAGCAAGGATTTGAAAGACAATGGATTTCTCACCAGAAACCATGGAAGTCGGGGAGCAATGGAGCAAAATTTTTTAAATGCTGAAGAAAAAGGAATGGTCAATATGAATTCTATATCTAGTGAAAACATTCTTTGGGAATTTAGCTGGAATAAAGGCATCCTCAGATGAAGGAGGACTTGGATGTAATTCTTACACCTTATATAAAAGCTAGCTCAGACTTTATCTAAACATAAAATGCAAACCTATCACACTTTTAATATCAGAGAAAAATCCCTGTGACCTGGCAAGAGGTCTTACATATGACACCAAAAGCTCAATCAATGGGAAGACAACTTTGTTCTGCAAAAGATATTCTTGAAAGAATTAGAAGAACAGCCATGACAATAGCCAGCAAGGAATTCTCGAACCATTGTTGGTGAGAATGCAAAACAGAGCAGCTGCTCTGGAAAATTGTTTGTCATTTTCTTACAAAGTTAAAGATACACTCACCTTATGCCCTAGCAGTTCCACTCCTAGGCATTTGCCCTAGAGACATGAAGATGTTTCTACACAAACTCAAGCATGAATGTTTATATCAGCTTTTTTCATAGTTGTCAAAAACTGGATATAACTCAAATGTCCTTCTGTGAGTGAATAGATAAACTATAGTACACCCATACAATGGAATTCTACTCAAGAATTGGAAAGAGATGGGCTGGCCATGGTGGCTCATGCCCGGAATCCCAGCACTTTGGGAGGCCAAGGCAGGAGGACCGCTTGAGCCCAGGGATTTGAGACCAGCCTAGGCAACATAGCAAGACCCCATCTCAAAACAAAATAAAACAGGCCAGGCACAGTGGCTCATCCCTATGATCCCACACTTTAGGAGGCTGAGGTGGGAGGATTGCTTGGGCCCAGGAGTTTGAGATGAGCTTGGGCAATATAATGAGAACTTGTCTCTACAAAAACCTTAAAAAATTAGTTGGGCAGGGTGGTGTGTGTCTATAGTCCCAGATACTAGGGAGGCTGCAGTGGGAGGATCACTTGAGCCTGGGAGAGTGAGGCTGCAGTGGTCTGTGGTTGCGCCACTGCACTCCAGCCTGGGCAACAGAGTGAGACCCCGGCTCAGAAAAAGGAAGGATGGGTGCACAGCACCGGGATGGATCTGAGCAGCGTGAATGCTGAGGGGTGGGGGCCATCCCAAGGGGCTGCACCCTGCGTGATTCCATGGACATGGCATTCTGGAAACAGGAAAAGTGCGGTGCAGTCATTTGCTGCATCCCCATCTATTAGCCAGTGATGGACCATGTGCTGCATCCACTCCTGTTAGACGGTGATGGACCATGTGCTGCGTCCCCTCCTGTTAGCTGGTGATGGACCATGTGCTGTATCCTCGCCTGTTTGCCAGTGATGGACCATGTGCTGCATCCCCGCCTGTTAGCCAGTGATGGACCATGTGCTGCATCCCCGCCTATTAACCGGTGATGGACCATGTGCTGCATCCCCGCCTGTTAACTGGTGATGGACCATGTGCTGCATCCCCGCCTGTTAGCCAGTGATGGACCATGTGCTGCATCCGCTCCTGTTAGACAGTGATGGACCATGTGCTGCGTCCCTTCCTGTTAGCTGGTGATGGACCATGTGCTGTATCCTCGCCTGTTTGCCAGTGATGGACCATGTGCTGCATCCCCGCCTGTTAGCCAGTGATGGACCATGTGCTGCATCCCCGCCTATTAACCGGTGATGGACCATGTGCTGCATCCCTGCCTATTAACCGGTGATGGACCATGTGCTGCATCCCCTCCTGTTAGCCAGTAATGGACCATGTGCTGCATCCCCTCCTGTTAGCCAGTGATGGACCATGTGCTGCGTCCCCTCCTGTTAGCCAGTGATGGACCATGTGCTGCATCCCCTCCTGTTAACCGGTGATGGACCATGTGCTGCATCCCCTCCTGTTAGCCAGTGATGGACCATGTGCTGCATCCCCGCCTATTAACCGGTGATGGACCATGTGCTGCATCCCCTCCTGTTAGCCAGTGATGGACCATGTGCTGCATCCCCTCCTGTTAGTGATGGACCATGTGCTGCATCCCCGCCTGTTAGCCAGTGATGGACCATGTGCTGCATCCCCGCCTGTTAGTGATGGACCATGAGCTGCATCCCCACCTGTTAGCCAGTAATGGACCATGTGCTGCATTCCCGCCTGTTAGCCAGTGATGGACCATGAGCTGCATCCTCGCCTGTTAGCCAGTGATGGACCATGTGCTGCATCCCCGCCTGTTAGCCAGTGATGGACCATGTGCTGCATCCCCGCCTGTTAGCCAGTGATGGACCATGTGCTGCATCCCCGCCTGTTAGCCAGTGATGGACCATGTGCTGCATCCCCGCCTGTTAGCCAGTGATGGACCATGTGCTGCATACCCTCCTGTTAGCCAATGATGGACCATGTGCTGCGTCCCCTCCTGTTAGTGATGGACCATGAGCTGCATCCCCGCCTGTTAGCCAGTAATGGACCATGTGCTGCATCCCCGCCTGTTAGCCAGTGATGGACCATGTGCTGCGTCCCCTCCTGTTAGCCAGTGATGGACCATGTGCTGCATCCCCGCCTGTTAGTGATGGACCATGAGCTGCATCCCCGCCTGTTAGCCAGTAATGGACCATGTGCTGCATCCCCGCCTGTTAGCCAGTGATGGACCATGTGCTGCATCCCCTCCTGTTAGTGATGGACCATGTGCTGCGTCCCCGCCTGTTAGATGGTGATGGACCATGTGCTGCATCCCCTCCTGTTAGACGGTGATGGACCATGTGCTGCGTCCCCGCCTGTTAGCCAGTGATGGACCCCATGTACAATGGTGGCCTTGTAAGATTGCAATGGAGATGAAAGTGTCTGTCATCTAGTGACATCCTAGCGGCCATTTCTCCCATGTGTGGTGACACTGGCGTAAGCAACCCTACTGCACTGCCAGTCTATAAAATCAAGCTCATATAGTTATGCACATTACATAATACTTAATAATAAATGACTCTGTTACTGGCTTATGTGTTTACTGTACAATACTTTTGTTATTTTAGAGTATACCCTTTCTACTTATATAGAAAAAGGTGAACTGCAAAACAGCCCCAGGCAGGGCTTTCAGGAGGGGTCCAGAAGAAGGTATTGCTGCCCTAGGAGGGGACAGCTCCATACATGCCACCGCCCCTGAGGACCTTCTAATGGGACAAGACGTGAAGGCGGAAGACAGTGAGGTGGGTGATTGTGACCCTGTGCAGGCCTAGGCTACTGTGTGTGTGTGTGTGTGTGTATATATATGTTAGCTTTTAAGAAAAAAGTTTAAAAAGTAAAAAAAAATAAATAAATTTTAAAATAGAATGAAGCTTATAGGATAGGGATATAATAAAGGAAAATATTTTTGTACAGCTGTACTTGTTTGTGTTTTAAGGTAAATGTTATTACAAGAGAGTCAAAAAGTTATGAAAATTAAAAGGTTCATAAAGTAAAAACATTACAGTAAGATATCAAAGAATGAAAATATTTTTAAACAGATTTGGTGAAGCCTACACGTACAGTGTTTATAAAGTCTCCAGCAGTGCACAGGGACATCCGAGGGCGTCCCATTCACTCGCCACTCAGGCACTGGCTCACCCAGAGTAACTGCTCGTCCTGCCAGCTCCATGCATGCTAAGTGCCCTATACAGATGGGCCATTTCTAATCTTTTATACTGTATTTTTACTGTACCTTTTCTATGTTTAGCTACACAAATTCTGTGGGGTTTTTTTTTTTTTTTTGAGATTGGGTCTCACTATGTTGCCCAAGCTGGTCTTGAACTCCTAAGCTCCAGGGATCCTCCCAAGTAGCTGAGACTATAGGTGCAACTACTGCACCCCGTTTGGACACACAGTTTCCTGCCATTGTGTTACAGTTGCCCACAGTATTCAGTACAGTCACAGGCTGACCAGGTTTGTAGCCCAGGGGCAACAGGCTGTACCATACAGGCTGGGCGCATCGGCTCTGCCTTCTAGACCTGTGTGAGTAGACTCTGTGATGTTCACGCGAGGAGGACATCACATAAGGACACATTTCTCAGAATGCATCCTCGTCGTGAAGCGACATACGATTGTACAGGGACGAAGCATAGAGCAGTGGCTGCCCCGGGGGGAGGATGGGGAAAGGATTTTACTAGAAAGGGACCTCCTGAGGGGATGCTGGGGGCTGGTGGCACTGTCCCACTCATGGTGACAGTTGCATGGGTCTGACAGAGTTGTGCACCGTCTGTTCGTGGCAGTGGCTGAGTGTTTACATACGGCCTAACCCATCCAACACTTAAAATGGACGAATCTTAGTATATTTAAGTTGTACCTCCAAGTTAAACCAAAAATGCAAAATTCAAGTGCGCACACCGATATTACTCGCCATGCACAGAGAATGTCATTACATATGGCTCCGTCTCATCTGTGGTATATGTTTGGCTGTATTTTATATTAAAATAAACCACGTCAAGAAAAAAATGAAAAAGAACAGACAAGATGCACACATAGCAACCCAGATGGATCTTTTTAAAAAAAGTGCTTATGGAAAAAAGTTAAAAACAGATTGAGATCTATAACAATATAGTTTAAATAAATAGACACTTTGATAATTGTGCCATGGTTATATAAGATGTTAATGACGGGGGAAACTTGTAGGTGGTAGAGCAGTGCTTTCTATACAATCTTTGCAACTTTCTGTTGCCTAAAATTATTATCAAATAAAAAGAACACTTGAAAAAAAAAAAGACATATTAACTAAATTAGAGTAGCTGCTTATCGGTTGGGGGGCGGATTATGGAGATTCAAGAGCATAAATAAGCAAGAACGGGGCTTCCCATGGGCCAGCATGATGCCAGGCAATGAGTGGGATTAATTTGGCCTTCTCCACACGGACAACAGAGTTACAGTCAACAGGTGTTTGCCAGCAGGACTTGGAAAGCCTGTGCTCCGGGAAGAAGGAGAGCATGACATCTTAGAAGGAATGGTGACAAAGGAATGGCTAAACATATAAGTCCATATAACCAGGGCTGTCTACTGATGAGGATAATCCTGTCTCATTCATAGCGTTGTACATACAGAGCTCAAATGATAGACAAAGCTACCATGGAAGCCCAACGAGAATGAGTAAAGTCTTCTGAGGTCCTTGTACCGTTTGAAAGAGAGTTCATAGACTGATGCATTTTAGAACCAGTTAAATAATGGTTATAATTTCAAAGGTAAGCTGAAAAGGAATAGAAAGAATCTGTAAGATTTCCATATGAATAAGAGGTAAAACTGCATTAAAAATCAATACTTTAGGTCAGGCATGGTGGCTCACGCCTGTAATCCCAGCACGTTGGGAGGCCAAGGCAGGAGGATCACTTGAACCCAGGAGCTCAAGACCAGCCTGGACAACATAGTGAGACCCCATCTCTGCTAACAAATAAACAAACAAATAAATTATCCAGGTGTGGTGGTGCCCGCCTGTAGTCCCAGCTACTCAGGAGGCAGGGGCAGGAGGATCACTTGAGCCCAGGAGTTTGAGGCTGCAGTGAGATATGATTGTGCCACTGAGCTCAGCCTGGGTGACAGAGTGACATCCTGCCTCTAAAATAAAGAAAGAAATACTTTAAAAATGCAGTCCCTTCGAAAAATCAGAAAAGGAGTTTTGTGGTTCTTTTTTTTGTTGTTGTTGTTGTTTTTTTTTTTTTTTGAGAGACAGGATCTCACTATGTTGCCCCATCTGGTCTCACACTCCTGGCCTCAAGCAACCCTCCCACCTCAGGCTCCCAAAGTGCTGAGATTACAGGTCTGAGCCACCATGCCCAGCTGAGAATTGAGATTTTTTTTAAATTAGAGTAAAAACAAGACATTAATGCGGCACTAAGACAGAGTACCAGATCCAAATACAGCAACCATCACCCAAAAATAGGAATAAAAAATTAAAAGCCAGATTCTCTGATTGGATTTTAAAAGTCCAGTTCTATGCCCTTACATGAGACATACCTAAAATTTGAGAATAAACCCACAAAAATGTTATTTAACAAAGGACGATGAGGGTATTTATATTAATATCAAATGAGATAGACTTTAAGCCAAAAGAAAAAAACATTATTATATAGAGAGATGGTTACTTCAAAATGACAAAAATTCAAATCTCCAGGAACATATAATAATTCTGAACTCATATTCCTCAAAACATACTAAGCAAAATTTGGTAGAATTACAAAGAAAAAAGAAACAATCTACTATCATAGTGGGAAATTTCAATACTTCTTTCCAATTCTTGACAGGTCCAGCAGATTCAAAATAATTGAAAGTTAAAGGAGACAAGAAATCCGAACTGAAGTGCTTCTCTTCCTCCCTCTCACATACTCAAATACAGCACAAGATACTTGTGTGACCAGCCACGGGGTCGCTTCCCCACACACTGAGCGACTGCAGTGGACACTGCTGGGTATCCTCAATTCAATCCCGACGCCATCCATCTCGAGGTCGCGTCAGATCCCGCAAGTCGAGGGCTCAGTCCCACACAACGACCCCACTTCCAATGCTAGTGCTTCTGACTAGCACCGTGGGAATCAGGGTTCCCACGACCCTCTCCTTGGGTCTGATGACTTGCTGGAGCGGCTCACAGAACTCAGGGACACACTGAGCCGCGTCTACCCATTTATGACACAGGCTGTGACGAAGGTGCGGATGCACAGCAGGTGGGGGAGACGTGTGGGCAGGCACGGGGAGGGGCGCGGAGCTCCCAGGCCCTCCCAGCACCACCTCCAGGCACCTGCGTGTGTTCAGCTATCTGGGGGCTCCCCAAACTGTGTCCTTTTGGGGTTTTATGGAAGCTTTATTAGGAATGCATGATTGATTACATCATTAGCCATTGGTGATCAACCTTCAGCCTCTCTCCCCTGCCCAGAGGTGGGAGGTGGGGCTGAAAGTCCCAACCCTCTGATGCTGCCTTGGTCTTTCCAGTGACCAGCCCCATCTTGAAGCTGTTTCAGGGACATCAGTCATCTCATTAACATACAAAAGAAGCACTTGTCACTCTGAAGATTCCAAGAGTTTCAGGAGCTGTATGTCAGGAAATAGGGGTGAAGATTAAATATATATTTCACAATATCACAATGAGGTAGGAAGCAGGACTCAACTCTGGAGGTGGGGCTCAGACACAGGACTGAATTGAGGACTAGCTAAAATGGGGCAGGGTAGAAAGACCTTTCCAGAATACATGCCCACCAGTGTGCCTGTTGGTTTACCATTGCCATGGCAACACCAGAAGTTAGTACCCCTTTCCATGGCAGTGGAATTTACCACTCTTTTTCTTGAAATTGCTGCATAATCTGCCCCTTAATTTGCATACGATTAAAAGTGGGTATAACTATGACTGCGGAAGTGCCTCTGAGCTGCTTCCCTGGGCTCACTGCCTATGGGGTAGCCCTGCTCTGCAAGGAGCAGTCCCTCTGCTGCGGCTGCCCACACCACTTCAATCAAAGGTGCTTCGAACACCACTGGCTCGCCTTCAAATTTTTTGTTGAACAAAGCCAAGAACCCTCCAGGCTAAGCCCCACTTTTAGGGGCTCACCTGCCCTGCATCAGCAAGGGTACAGAGGATTTGAGCAATAGAATTGACCAGCTTGGTTTAACTAACATATAAATAACTACGCACTCAGCAATTGTAAAAGAGGTGTGAAATATTTATAAAAATTAGTCACATACTATGCAACAAAGCAATTCACATATAGATTACATTTTATGACAACATAATTAGAAATCACAAAAAGATTTCTTAAATCTCATGGTTTGGAACTTTAAAAACACATATAAAACAACATATATCCATAAAACAATCATAATGGAAATTTAAAAACCAATACAACTGAATGGTAATGAAAATAATACACACAGAAACTTTCAGGGTGGAGCTAAAGTAACCCTTTGAGGGAAATTTGTAGCCTAAAATGCTTATATTAGACAATAACGAAGGCTAAAAATGAATGTGTTCAGCTTTCAGCATAAAAAGTTTTTTCATTCCTCATAAACACAAAGAAGAAGGAAGGAGGTTATAAAGATAGGAGCAGGAATGAGTGAAGCGGGGGGCATAACACAGGGGAACCACAAAGGCAAAAGTTTGTTCTTTGAAGTGAATGATTAAATAAGCAAGTTGAATAACATAAAGAGAGAAGCCACAATTCAGTGTTAGGGGTGACAAAGGGGACCTGACTGCAGACACATCAGAAATAAAAGAATGTTAGGAGCAATGTGATTCCAATACATTTGAAAACTTAGTTGAAATAGTTGGATTTCAGAAAAGCACAATGCACTAGAAGTGAGTCAAGAAGAAATAAAAAGCCTGAATAGCTCCGTAGTTAGTTGCTGACAAGAAGGACTCTTAAGGAGAAAGGCTGGAGAGTGTGGAGGGAGGGAAAGGCCTGGTGTAAAAGACCTTATGAGGAGCTGATTGGGAGGGAGGCAGGCTGGGGCTGGAGGTGCCGGACCCAGCAGAAGCAGAGAGCACAACTTCTCCACTGTGAGCTCTGGGAGAATGAGAGAGGTGGGGCATATAGAGCCAGTGCAGCTTTGAAGATGCTGTAGGTGCCTCCCACCTGAGATCTGTGTCAGGGCCTGGCCTACCCTTAAAATTTATTTGACCAGCACTTAGAATAGTCCAGGCCCAGATAATTAATACATCAACATGGGGTCTTCCTTCTTGTTTTGTTTTTGGAAATGGAAATTGCTCTATTTTTTCCGTGATAATACTCCATCATTACAAATACGTCATGCACAGGTGCCCAGTGTAGACCAAAAATAAAATTCTAAGTCCTCCAACTGACCAAATGGACCCCCTTCTTGGCCAAGGGGATTCCAAAGAAACCTAAAAATAACAAGTTCAGGTTGTGATGAGAAGGAGGGATCAGACATGCCTCATTACACTCTCCTCTCTTGGGAATTCAGGCACAAAACTGATCAGCATTAACATTAAACAGAAATCTTAAGACAGACCGAACAGACTCTTTGTAGAAATAACAGCAAATTCGAACCTGACTCCAGCATAGCATAGCATAACAGTAGGCTCTGAAAGAAATCAAAGGATTTTACCCCAAAGTATATTTCTTTGACATATTTTGAAATGCCCCTGCAAGGCTGTCTCTTGTGGCGGAAATTTACATTCTGTAGAGAATCCTCCTCCCTTTCCAGGTCTTTTTCTGACCTTGAAGAGATTAGCTGAGAGTCTAGCCTAACATCTTTTAAAGGTTGAATAGCAAACATTTGCCATCTACTGCCTCTAAGGGTGGCCACCTATGAGACTTCAACTACATGCTAACTTTGGTCTCCACAAACTCTTATCTTAACTTAAACACCCTTTCTATTGATTCCAGGTCTTTAGATAATAACTCTTCCAACCAATTGTGAATCAGAAAATCTTTAAATCCACCTATGACCTGGAAGCTTCTGTTTCAGGATGTCCCACCTTTCTAGAACAAATATATACGTCATGTGTATTGATTGATGTCTTAAGTCTCCCTAAAATGTATAAAATCAAGCTGTACCCCAACGACTTTGGGCGCAGGTCCTCAGGCCCTCCTGAGGCTGTGTCATGGGTCATAATCCTTAAACCTGGTGAAGTAAATCTCGAATGATGATGACGCCTAAGTACACCACCACGACAGCCTGGATGCCTGGGCTCGAATCCCACCACTGGTTTAGCTCTGTGACTGGGCAAGTCACCTACTCTCTCTGTGCCTCAGTTTCCTCTTCTGTGCTGGGTGGTGGTTACAAAGGCCTGCATCACTGTCCCTCATCCCCGTCATCAGTGCCATGGGTAAGGGCACACGTCATTCTGTGCTTTCTCTGGTCTGCACTGAGGTCTACACTGAGGTCCCTTCTCTGGGAGCTTCTACTAGGAGTCCTTGAGCCACCAGCATCATCTCTGCAAGCCTGGCACACACCTGGGAGGTGTTGCATAGAGACCCGTGGGCCACGGAGACCAACAGGACCCGTGAGATGTGAACAGCCACTGCCCTCTGCACATGACTGCTGTTCCTCAGCCTGGACCCATGGCCTGGCCTCCACCTCACCTCTCCTTGCCAGGCCTGCTCGGCTTAATCTGCCCACCTCTCCTCCAATGGCTGCCTGTTCCTGGTGCATTGCAGGTACGCACCTGGAGGCAGGGGCAGGTGGCCCCTTCCCAGAACACTCTGTGGCCTCTTTCCCCAGGGCCCCTCTCAGACTTCTCAGCTGTCAGATGCTGATAAGAGCCTCCTCTGAGCATACCTGGTGTGCATACCAGGTTCGGGGGAACCCCTGTACTGCAGGAAACTGCCTGCCCCCCGCCAAAGCCTGCTATAAGGCACGTGGCTTTGGAGAGACTCAGAGGCAGGGGTGAGGCGAGGCCAGGACAGTGAAGAGGGAGGCACCACTGAGGTTTGGGGCCAGGAGTGC
The DNA here is from genome assembly GCF_000001405.40 of Homo sapiens. Lineage (NCBI taxonomy): Eukaryota > Metazoa > Chordata > Mammalia > Primates > Hominidae > Homo > Homo sapiens. Next base: position 142,551,534 of record NC_000008.11, on the reverse strand, counting down.
TTCTGGCAGCTACAGGCACAGACTGCCTGGAGGATGGCAACAGTTGGGTGGGGGCGCGGACTGGGACTCTTCTAGGGTTGGCCAAGCAGTGGTCCAGGCCCCAGCTGTGTGACCCTGGCCACATCACATCTTAGTGACCTGTTAGTGACCTGGGGTTGGCCCAGAAAGAAATCCCCCACAGCAGCCCCGGGGTGGGGCCTGAGCGCTGAGCCCTTCTCTCCAAGCCAGCAGGGGGCGGGCTCTGGCTGAGAGCCTGAACTTCCTAAACCTCCAAGGGGTACAAGCCCTGGCCCATGCCGCCCAAGCCACCAGCCTTGGCTCAGCGGCCACTGGTGACATCAGCATCCTTCAAGGCTGGCCCTACATGGGTGCCGACTACCACCCGCCTCCACCACCTCCAGGCTCAGCCAGGTCCCCTCTTCCGGGAAGCCATCAAGAGTGGGAGGTCCAGTCCTTGCCCTGCACCCTCCCTGCCTACCCTCAAGGTCCTGTCACCAGACTGTGCCCATCCCTCTCCTCCAATAAAGCAGCCCCTCCAGACCTGTCCCCTCCCTCCTCTTCCCTGCCCTGGTTCCCAAGGCACACCCTTGTCCTTCTGGGAGGTTAAGCGTGGCCCGGTGGAGGAACTGGGCAAAGTCCATGAGAAGCTTCCCCTCTAGGGGCAGGGGGTCCCTCAGCTTAGCAGGGTCAGGGAAAGATCAGGAAGGACACGGAGGAGAGGTGGGGGGTGGGAAGAGAAGGAGCACCCCACCCCTGTGCACACTGCAAGGCAGGAGGGGCCACGCCCAACCCGGAACCCCTGGGAGAGGCCGAGGAGGTTGCTGATGGGGGTGTTGCCTCCTTCCTCCCCCCACCTCCCCTTCCTGGGCAGGGTCCATATGGTGTTCCCAGAGAGCCATACTGAGCCCAGCGACACCTCCTCTGCCTTCCTAGGACAGCTGGGAGCCATCCCCCATTTCTCCAGAGGCTGGTCTGGAGGCTACCATGCTGCCCCCCAGCCCCAGGTGGGGTCCTGCTTCTCCCGGGAGCCAGGCAGGGGCACTGCCCTTTGGAGCCAATGTCCTCTGCGACTTGGGGGAAGGGTCTGAATTTGATTATTCTAAGATTCCGTACGTTTAAATACAAGTTTCTAGGCTAGGAAATGCTTTGATTCCGTAATTATAAATTTCAGGACTCTAATGGGAAGGGCTGCCATCTCTCAGTGGGCTCCGGGTGTCTAGAATGAGCCAGGCTGCCCAGGCCTCTGATCCGGCCGCCGGCCCTCTGGGGGAGACCCTGTGGCCCTGGGAGGGAAGGTTCTGGAACACAGCTGACGTGCGTGGTGATGGTTCAGGCTTCCGGTTCTGCCAAGGCCTTATTTGGAGGAGTTTCCGCTGTGCGTGGGGTGGGCGGCTCGCACGTTCACCAGCTATTCGGAGATGTTCCTCCCTCCCGATTATTTTTAGGACCTGACAAGATACTCCAGAGCCCGCTGCTTCCGACACCTTGAGAAGCGCCAAGTCACAGACTGCTGGCCCTGGAAGGGCTCTCAGCTGGCACCTGTGGGGAAACTGAGGCCCAGACGGGGAGGGTCTGAGGCAGGGCCAGGAGTGGGCCTGGGTGGCCGGGCACCCTGGGAGGAGTCTCACCTGTCTGCCGGTCCCTTCAGGGGCTGCTCTGAGCTGAGCCGGCCAGAGACACAGGATACCGGGTGGGCAGAGGTGTGCTGCTTGGGGTCTTCAGAGGGGACTGTACTATCACTGCAGGGGTCTGAGAGCCCCCCGGGGCCACAGGGAGCAGGCTGCAGAGCAGGGCTGTGGTGGAAGCCCACTGGCCCCTCCCACTTATGCACTCCCAGGTCTGGGCCTCCAGGGAGGTGCTCGGCCCTCCCCAGGACAATGCCTCAGAGCCAAGAAGCTTGTGGGGCTCTAGCAGGGCTGGGGAGACGGCGCCGGTCAGAAGAGGCTGCCTGGTCCCTCCTGATCCTGCTCACCTCCCAGGCGGTGAGCAGCTGGAGGGGTGCGGGCAGTGCCTGGGTGAGATACCAGCTGCTCTGTCACCTCAGGGCACTTCAGAACCCCCTGCCAGGGGCCCTCCAGGCCCTGCACTCCAGACACAGGCCCAGGCCTCTCCAGGCCCTGCACTCCCCCTCCAGGCCCTGCCCTCCCCCTCCAGGCCCTGCACTCCCGCTCCAGGCCGAGGCCTCTCCAGGCCCTGCACCCCCACGCAGATGCCTCCCCTGCTTCCAGTCTCAGGACAGATCACAGGGAGCTGGGGGTCAGGGCAGCAGGGCTGAAAAGGGAACTCCTGGCTAATGGAAGGTTTTGGAATAAATTCTGGAGTAGGACGCACACTATGCAATTGCTCCTCTGGAGTTGAGCCCTCTGGGAAGCAGGGCCTGGGGAGGTGGGTGGGCCCAGCGGGAGGGTCAGGCCTTCATGCCGAATGAGACCAAGAGAGGTTAGAGGATGGCCCCACTAAATGGTCATGATGCAGCCCAGACAGTGGTGGTGGTCGGTGGTGGGGGTGGTCAGTCAGGATGGAGAAGGGGAAGAGGGAGAACCGAAGAGCAGAGTCTGCTGAGGGGAACAGGGGCCCTCACGTTGCAGCCTAAGGCATGCAGGTTCGACTCACGGAAGGACTTCCTGACAGCAAGCTCTATTACTGCTGGATTGGGGCCAGGGAAGTGGGGTGAGAGAGGTGGTTGTGAAGGGCCTTGCCAGAAAGAGCCTCTGGCCTGCCTAGAGACAAAGCCACTTGGTGCAGGGGGTGGGGGAACCTTCTTAGGCTTCCTTCCCCTTCTGGCATTGTTTGTGTCGGCGACAGGAAGGGGAATGAGCAGATAGGAGTTAGGTGCGAAGGAGCTTCCTCCACATCTCAGGAGTGTGGGTGCTGACGAGACGCACAGCGCCTGGGTGGCTGCCACTCCTGTCTGCTCCACCTCCAGGTGACTCAGAGACTGTAGTCATTGTCCTTATGTATCCTTTCTTCCATCTACCCATCCATCCCCCATCCATCCCCCATCCATCCACCATCCATCCATCCACCATTCATCCATCCACCATCCATCCATCCCCCATCCATCCACCCACTCATCCACCCATCCATTCATCTACCCATTCATCCATCCACATGTCCATCTATCCATCCATTCATCACTATCCATCCATCCCCCATTCATCCATCCATTCATCCATCCATCTATCCATCTATCCACCCATCCACCCTTCCACCCATCCATCCTTCCATCTATCCACCCATCCATCCTTCCACCCATCCATCCTTCCATCTATCCACCCATCCATCCTCCAGACGCTCCCAGTTTATGAGTGAGGAACAGAGTAAGCTGGCAAGATAATAATCTCCAAGCCTATAAGCACCATCATTACAACAGATATTGTGGTGGCTGCTGTCTTGGGCATCACCAGCACCCAAAATCACTCTCCAGCACCATCACCATCACCACCATCATCATCATTATCACCACCATCATCACCATCATCACCATCATTACCACTATCACCGTCGCAACCATCACCACCATTATCACCATCAGCACTACTGTCACCATCATTATCATCACCATCATCACAACCACCAATATCTGCAGCCCCAGATCTGTCCACGAAACTGTCACCACCACCTTTGGCCCCCACAGTGCTCCTGCCAATCACAGTGCCTCCACCATTCTCAGCCCTGCAGTTCTCCCTAGGGCAGGTGCCGCTGATGGTGACAGATGGAGGGTGTCAGAGGAGGTGGTCTCAGCTTCACCAGTGACAAGTTGCTGAGGAGAGTGGCACTTATACAAGGAAGCCAAGACAATAGAGTAAACACAAGGCCCCTGAAGATCTTTCTGGCAAACTGTTCAGCCCTGGACTCCACAGGAAAGAAGTAGCTTCGGGTGGAGGCAGTGGCAGATGGACATGACACTGGTGTCCACAGGAAAGCAACCCATTGTGGGGAGGGTCAGGGAATTCAAGGTGGGGGAGCTGGGTTGTGGGTACAGCCTCGCTCTCAATGCCTGTGGGACACCAGCCACCCGGAGTCTGCGTGTCCTCACCTACAGACAGAATCGTGGTCCCTGCCTTGCTCAGTGTCAAGGGCCCATCACTCCGAGCAGCTGGATGAAGCAGAGGGAAAGCAGCAGAAGTTTGGGAAGAGGCGCCTGTTCCAGCTTGGAGCATCTCCGTGGCCTCTGGCCCAAAGCACTGCCCAGCACAGGGCTCACGACAAGAAGGTGCCTGGGGCAGACGCAAGCAGGGCTCCAGGGTTGATGAATCTCCTGGGATGATCCCTGGCCAGCTTCCTGCTCCGAGAGACAGAGGGAAGAGAGCAATTTCTGTGATGCATCATTGTGAGAGGTCACAGAGTATTGAACAGCTGTGAACATTGGGGTCGGGCAGGACATGGGATATAGCCTCTCCTGGCACAGACATGGCCTTCTGGGAGGGGTGGACCACAGTGAAGGAGAAACGGGACTCTGGCTGAGACTTAGTCTTCACCATGGGGACACTGAGCCCTGCCCCTGATCACACGTTGAGCCCTGACCTTGGCCACTCTGAGCCCTGATTCCGGCCACAGGCTGAACCCTTATTCTGGTCACAGGCTAATCTCTGACCTGGTCACACTGTAAGCCCTGACCCTGGCCACACACTGAGCCCTGCCCCTGGTCACTCTGTGTGTCTGACCCCAGCGGCTCACACTGTCCTGAGTTGCTCCTGCCCCTGGTCACTCTGTGCGTCTGACCCCAGCGGCTCACGCTGACCTGAGTTGCTTCCTTCGCAGGCAGGGTTGTGTGGCTTGGGTCCTTTCTTGTTATTTGTTGTTTTGTTTTGTTGCAGCTTCTCCTGTTATTGGGTGTGAACATGGGGCCAGGAGGTCAGGGAGCTGGCCAAAAACTTGTTCTGGCCACTCCACAAGGACGGGGTGACCTGAGTGGAAGCCCCACCTCCAGAACCTGCCCCAGGCTCTGTGCTGCCTTCTGCAGGGGAGGAGCTGGGTGCTCAGCGCTTTCTCCACCTGCTTCCCAGGGGCCTCCCAGGTTCTTTCCGTAACTTAGGATGAGGAAGGGACCACAGTCCACAGCCTCTCATCTGAAACCCTGGTGCCAAGTGGGATCTGTCCGGGTTAAGAAAGAAGGTGTGATGTGTGTGATATTTCACTTAGTATCCTGGGAGGGGCCTAATAAAGTGCATCAGCATCCCTGCTGCAGAACATATGTGTGTGTGCGTGCAGCGGTTCAAAGGAGCTTTAGATATGTAGTGTGACTCGGTTTCCATCAGGTTTTGTTGTCCAATCTCGTCAAAACATTCTGGTTTTCTGGGGTGCTCAGATCCACAGCTCAGGGACTGTGCTTCTCAACTGCTGGAACCCGGTGACTTTGCACCATCTCCTCTGGGCTACTGCAGACACACCACCCCGTTCCCGGTCATCTGCTCAACGTCCACCCACTCAATGCAGTCAGTCATGGCCACACGTGACCATCTGTGATCACCCATGGTCACTGTGGTCACTGCACCCTCCAAGCACCTTCCCCGTCCCGCCCTGTCTGCTGGTGAGGACTCTGGGGTCAGGAGTGACAGGGCACAGTTGAGGTTGTAGGGGTGAGGGGGTGCTAGGCTGTAGCCGCCTCTGCAGCTTGGCGCGCATTGCTCTCCAGGCCCAGGCTCTGTGCAGCATTTTCTCCCGGTCCTGGGGCCCTGCAGGGTGCAGCACACAGTCGGAGGGGGGCCCCTCCTTCCCCGCTATTGTCCCTGCCAGCCTTGTGGCTTCCCCCAACTAGGCTCCCTTCGGGGGTTCAGGCTGCCCCCTGCTGGAGACACAGAGGGAAGCAGGACGTGCATCTCAAAGCTCCTGGGGTGGGAGGAGGGTGTGGAAGGAGGGTCCTCCTTCTGGGCTGGTGGGGGATGGCCTAGGGGTGTTCACATAGGCTCCCCATGCCTCCCCGGACAAACGGGGCCGAGGCCTGGAGACAGGAAGTGCCCCAGCAATGAAGAGGGGACCCAGAACTGTGCCTGCCCCAGGGCAGAGGCAGGAGCAGAGGAGGGCAGAGCCCCAGGTGGGCGGGAAGGAGGTGGGAGCGCTGAGAGGGAGGCTTCCTCCCTGCCTTGGAGTCCCTGCCCCCACACGCATTTCCACTGTGTCAGACTGTTTTAAAGAATTGGTGTGTTCATGCTGTCCCTCCTGAAAATGACTCAAGGAACAAGGGGAGTGAAATGTGTCCCCACCAAGGGGCCTAAGAGCTGTGTGAAGCTCACGTACTAAGGGTCGGGGGTAGCCAAGGGCACCAGCACTTGGGGTTCCCTGAATGTTCCCAGAGCCCCAGGGAGAGGGGACGCCTTGGGAGCCACGTGACCACTGGCCTGGGAGTCCAAGGCCCAGACGTCCAGGCCCAGGGCAAAGCAGGAGCTGCAGGGCCCACCTGGCCTCCACAGTCCTCCTGGCCCAGGGATGCGGGGACACCAAGGCCAGGCAGAGGACTTCACCCCAGCAGCCAGGGCTGGGTCAGGGCCCCGGGCCGCACAGAGGGAGGCCACACAGAGAGGAGATGGGTTTTTAATTCTTTTTATTGAAGAAAAGAAAAGGAGAGAAAAAATAGATTCCCCCCTGCTTCTTCCTGGAGGGGACTCAGTCCTGCCCCTGGGGGCCATGAGGGTCGGAGGGCTGTGCCCTCCACCTGGGTCTAGGAGGGGCCTAGGGCCCTGGAAGGTGTGGGGAGCTGGCTGCTTCCCGAGGGATGGGGGTGTTTAAAAAACGGTGCCAGGCCGGCCGGGCCAAGCAGGCAGCTCCTCCGCAGCAGGAGCTCAGGCGGGTACCCTGGGACGCTGGCCGCGCTGGGCCTGTCCACGGTCCACAGCCGTCCGCCCATCTGCCCGCTGGGCCTCGGCCCGAGGAGGGCGGAGTCTGAGGCACCTTCGGCCTCTGGTGCCCTGTGCCCGCTGGCCGGGCCGCCTCCTGTCCTGCATCTGGCTCTGGTCCCAGCACTGCGGGCCCTGTGCCTGGCCGCCGTCTGAGCGCCCTGAGGCCGGGGTGCGGGCCTGGCCCGCTGCCCGCGAGCGTGTCTGTGCCCGTCTGCGGCAGGAGCGGGCGGAGCAGCATCCCTCCTCCGTGGCCCAGTGCGTGGCCGCCGCCCACCCGCTCAGACCTCGGTCTGGAGGTCGATGATGTCCTGGCCCACCAGCGGGATCGTGGCGCCCGACCTCTCCCACTCCACGCTGCGAAGCTCCAGCGGCGACGGCTGCAGCGGCTCCAGCTCCTTCTTCACCCACGTGGGCGTCCCGTGGGCTTTCCGGAGGCTCTCCCAGGGCCTCTTGTTGGGCGTCTGCTGCTTTTCCGGCTGCTGGGTGGCCCGTGGTGCAGGAGGGGTGGGGCCCGGAGGGAGAGCCATGAGCCCGAGGAGTAGGGGGGAGGAGGCAGACACGAATCAGTGAGGAAGGGACGGGAGGTGGGGGACAGGGGACAGGGGACAGGATGAGGCTTTCAGGACAAGAGCCCAGAACAGAGCTGGGCAGCGGCAGGCACAGATCCTCTCCCCAGCCTTGGCAGAGGTTGCGAACCCCACGGTCGGGTCAGGCTGTGGGGACCCTGCCCTGGATTGGCTCCACCCCAATCCAGACCCCTGGCCCCAGGAGCAGGCTCGTGACCGCTCAGCTCCCAGTATGGCCATGGCCTCCAGAGTCTGGCATGGCAGGGTCAGGCCAGCCCTCAGGGATGGGCGAATGAATGAATGAATGAACGAATGGATGGATGGATGGATGGATGGATGAAGTGCACAAATCCAGGGAAGAAGGGAGACGGTGGCCTGACCTAAGGGCTCTCCCCACCCCGCCCCTCCCTGCCCTCCAGACCTTGCTGTCCGGCCCCAGCACCTCCTTGTCCTTCTCCGCTGCGTGCTGCAGCTTCCGGTTCAGGTCCTGGAACATGTCTTGGTGCCGCTTCCGGGTGTGCATGATCTTCTGCAGGCGGGGTCTGGGCAGTGAGTCCTGGGCCAGGAGGAGGGCATGGCCCATCCTGCCTGCCCCGCCCGTCCCCTGGCTGCCGGGGAGCTGCCTGGCCGTGTGGGAGCCCAGAGCACATCTGGCCCTAAGTGTCTGGTGGGGGGGGACACCAGAACTCACCTCAAAGTCCAGTTCTGCATACCGCGACTTCCGCCGCTGCAGGGAGAAGGGGTTTGCGAACATTCGCCAAGGGTCCCTGACAAGTCCACGCCTCTCCCTGCCTCAGACTGAGGGCATCAGGGACTCACTCGCCCCATGCCTGCCTTCAGGGACCAGGCCAGACCCAGGGGACATGCCTGGGGGCGCACTGAGGCAGCTCCTCCAGCTATGCGCTGGGTGCCAGCGAGCAGCACCAAGGCTGGGCTGGGGTGTCCGGCTCGCCTACCCGGGACACACTCCCCAGGATCAAGGAGACCTGAACTTGGGGCCACATGGCTGGGTCCCCCGACAGAGAACTCAGGGACACAGGGCAGCATCACCAGAGGCCAGGAGCCAGGATATGGTGGGAGCATATCCTGTGGGGACGGGCTCCCCCAAAAACAACATCCTACAGGCTGACTGAGGCTGGGTCAGCTGCAGGCTCCAGGCTGACCTAGGCAGGTATGTGCTGCCAGGCTGCCCCAAGGGCTGGACTAGCGACTGTGCGAGGTGCAGGTCCTGCTCCGTGGGTCCAGACTGTGGGTCCCTGAGCCCCTTTGAAACGGGGTGAGACCACCCTGCCAAGCCTAGGGTGGGGACCACACGTCAGACATACACAGCACACCCAGCAGGGCCAGGGGTGGGGGGTGTAGCTAGGAGGCAGAGCCAGCCCGCCCCGCTGACGGCGTGGGGGTCCCACCCAGCAGGGGTGACCCAGCTGCTGCAGCCCTGCCCTCGCTGGCTGGGGTGTGGCCCACCCCTGCCCCCCTCACCTCCAGGGAGCTCACAGACAAGGTGGCGACATTCTCGTTCTTGGTGCTGGGCCCCGTGCTGGGTCCCGGATGGGCGGCAGGCTCCCCGGGATCCCCCAGGCTGGGGGGTGCCGGCTCCAGATTGGGCGGTGGGGGCAGGGGCTGCTGGGGAGGTGGTGGCGGTGGGGGCGGAGGCGGTGGGGGCTGGGCAGGGGGTGCCTCGGGGGGCCCGCCGCTGGGGGGCTGGCGGGAGGGCGGGCTGCGGGCGGGGAGGCTGGCCTCGGGGGCCGTGCTGAGGTGGATGAGGCGGGTCTGCGGCATCTGGTCAATGTGGATGCTGTACTTGGGCTCCTCCTTGGGCTTGGGCCGCAGCGTGGCCGTGGCCGTGGGCAGGATCACGTAGCTCGTGTCCAGAGCCTTCTCCTGGGCCCGGCTCAGCTCCGAGTCCAGCTTCTTGAAGATGTCCCCGTCACCGACGAAGGAGGACTTGGGCGCCTTGTCCCTCTTGAGGGTCAGTGAGTGGTTGGGGAAGTCGGGCAGGGGCCCGCCGGGATAGCGGGGTGAGCCGTGCAGGTGCAGCTTGGACACGTTGGCCGGCAGGCTGTTGAAATTGGTGGGCGGCCCCTTGGCATGGGCCAGCTTCAGCTTCTCCTCCTCGGGCAGAGACGGCCGCTTCAGTGTGCCCGTGATGGTGGCAGTGCGGCAGGCCGCGATGTCCTTGTTCAGCACTGCAGGGGCCGCGGGGGAGACAGCGGGGACAGGTGTGGGGGTGAGGATGGCGTAGGACAGTCCCCAGCAGGAGAGGGGCCCAGTCTGCCCTGCGAGGCCGCCACCTCCTGGGAGACCCTGGCCAGGTCCTGCTGGGTACCGATCGGAGGGCCAACTGCAGGTACCACCCTACCCAAGCCTGGCGCTACGGCCCCTAGGGTTCCTGTGTCCTCAGATGAGGCTGCCACACAGGGTGGCCCTCTCCACTGGCCCCAAGAAGACAAATGGCTGTCACCCACACACTGCCCTCCCCAGCGCTGAGAAGAGCAGGCGAGGGCGGCCTTGACTCCCGGAAGCACAGGGACACAGGCAGAACGGTCTGTGCTGGTGGCAGAGCCCAGCCGGCCCTCCAACGCTCCCGACGCCCACGGCCCTGGGCCTTGTGTGGGTGGGGGGCAGTGTGCGGGAGCCCAGTGGTGCTGAGTGCAGCCACGAGGCCCTGGCCCTCTGTCACGGCCCTTCCTGCATCGCTGCCCCTGGGGCCTGCAAGCCTCCCTGCTCTGCCCTGAGGGCCGCCTGGTCCCTGGAGAGAGGTCTCCATACCCAGACACCTCTGATTCTGTCTCTGGTCAGTTGCAAGGGGCCCAGCCGCCTTGACCTCTGAGTGGGGCTCCAGTTTGCCCCCGACTTCCTGCCAATGAATCTAGCCCCTACTGGCTGGCGGAGAACCCCAAGCTGACTCTGACCCAGCCGCCTGCCCCTGACAGAGGGGTGCCCACCCTCCACACCCCTCCTTTCTCCAAGCCCCAGTCTCCAAAGATCCAGACCCCAGGGCCCTTCCTGGGAAGCCTGGCCTGCCCCCTGTGTCCTGCCCCATGCAGGCTGGCAGATGGTTACCCACCACGCCAAGCCAGCCCTGGGTGCCTGTGTTCACCAGCTGCTCCCTTCAGCCACCTTGCCAGGCACACGGGCCCCAGGGTCACCAATGCCCCCCAAGCTGCCTAGCCAGGGGTCACTCTCTCTCCCGAACACAGGCTTCCCCGTCCCCCTCAGAGCTCAGCAGGCCATGCTCCCGGCCTGGTCCTCTCCTCCACCCTCTGGACAGCAACACCCTGTGCCCATTTTCAGCCCCGCCCCTTCCCTCGTCCCTACCCAAGAGTGACCCGTCATCCTCCCCGTCAGACCCACATGCCCCACCCAGACAGCCACAGCACTCTCGGGACGCACGTCCCCAAGGCCGCCCCACCCCGCACAGACCCTGGGGCTCCCGACCTCCCACACACCTCACACTTTGCTCCCCACAAGGCAGAACGAGCGCCTGGCACGTGAGGGGTCTATGTGCCTCCCTCGCATGTACCCACCTTGGGGCACAATAAAAGCCAAGCTCCCCCCAGGCCCAGGCCCCTCGCTGGCACCCCGCCCACCCTCCCGCTCTGAGGAAGCTCCCAGGCGCTCAGCACCAGCTGCTCATGGCGCATCCACCAGCTGCATGTGGATCCACCAGGCGCTGTAGCCAGCGCATGAATGAGAGGGAATCAGGGGCTCAGAGAGGCCCACATACACCCAAGCCACCTGAGGCCCCAAGTCCTAGGGTCACCCCTCTGAGAGGCTGTGGGACTGGTTCACAGGAGACCCCAAGGGGGCAGAAGGTGCTTTTTGTCCAGCTCCCATTCAGCCCAGCCCCGAAGTCACTTCCTCCAGGAAGCCCTCCTGGGGCCCAACTGGCACCAGCACACACTCCCCACCTGGGGCTGTCCCAGCTCCTCTGCCAGGGCTGTCTCTAGAGAAGGTGCTCTTCAAATATCTAAATGACCAGAGGGAGCATGGTCCATTGGCCTCTCCACAGCTCAGAAAGCCACTGCCTGTCACTGCCTCAGGACCTGGTTCACAGAACAGTGGTGGGGACAGAAACAGACCCTCGCAGTCTGATGCTTGGGGATGGGCGGCGGAGCTTCCTTTATTGGGCAGTCGTTCGTTTTTTGCACTTGGTTCCAGGAAGCTCAGCACCGGCCGGGGGCTCCATGGTGGGTCCTTCTCCCCGCCTTCCTCTTGCTCCCCGTTGTCCCCCTAGCCTGAAAGCCCCACTCACTTCTGCCCCTGCTGGGACTGGCAATGAGGAAATGAAGGTGGCACAGAACACAGGTGCTAGAGGGCGGTGGGCAGGAGGCAGGGGGGGGGAGCGGCACTAGGGTGAGGCTGTGCTCCTCGCTGGGGCCACGACAGAGGAAGAGATGTCAGGTGGGCAGGGGACGCAGCCAGGCGCTCCACAGGCACCTGCTCAGCAGGAGTGCCAGGGCAGTGTTCTGGAAGCTTCTGATCATGCCCCATGGACCCTCCTTCGGCCTCAGGAAGTGGACGGGGGTGGAAGGCTGGGCCCCCAGGGCAGGTCCCCTGGGTCCAGGTGGGCCTGACGGTGTGGCTGGGTGTGGGTGGGGGCAGCAGGAGTGGACAGGGATGGGTGATGTGGGGGAGGCACAGGCGGAGGCGTGGAGTGGGGCCATGCAGGGGGCCGGGCTGGCACTGTCCTCTCACCTGTCGGGCGCTCACCTGATCTACAGGCCAGATCCACGTCCTTCTCGAAGTCGGTCTGTAGGACAGAGACAACAGGGCAGGGTGAGCGCCTCTGGGAGCGGGGGTGTGTGCACGCGTGCACAGACCGCTCGGGAGGGCCACGGTGCTCCTGCTGCCCCGAGGAACCCCTGTCCATGTCCACAGCCCAGTGCCCCACGTGGGCGACCATGCCTCCCCATGTACCTGCCTGTGTGGTGGGCGTTTGTGTCTCTGGGTGGATGCGTGTGTGAGTGTATGCGTGCGTGTTTGTGGATATGTCTGTGTATAAGTGGGTGAATTTGTGTCCCTGTGTTTGCGTGTGGATTCAGGTGTTTGTAAATGTGAGAGAATGCATCTGAGTGTTTTGTACACGTACATGCGTGTGTATTTCTGTATGTGGCTGTGTGTGTGTTTCTGAGGTGTGTGTGAGACTGTTTGTGAGGCACACATGTGTGCTCTCTCCAAGGCGTCTGGGAGCTGATGACCTCCTGCTTCCTCTGGTCTCATCTCTCCCCCCAGGCCTCAGGAATGGCTCTGGGCCTGCGGCACCAGAACTCTCCCCCTTGGTCCCCCACATCCCTCCAAGGGGGCCCCATCCAGGGTCTGGGGAGGGAGAGGTGGTGGGGGGGGATGTTGAACATGCAATTCAGGGCCAAGGCCGGCACCCACCACCCTCAGGCAGCCACACCAAGCTGACAGTCAGCTGGGGAGGCAGGAGTGGGCGGCCCAGACCCGCCCTCAGGGAGCTCAGGACCTGCCCAAGCCTGGGGCTGTCCTTCTCCAGGGGCCCTGGGGCTCCAGGGGACAGGCCCACCCTTCACTGAAAACCTGGAGGTTTCTTCCCTGCAAATGCAGGGGTTGGGTTGGATGGAGACAACAAAATCTTCCCCCTGGGATCAGAGGTCAGGCCAGGAGAAACGCTGGGGGAGGGGGAAGCTGTGTCCCAAAATGACAAGCTAGCCACTGGTGGATACCTGCTCCCTGGCTGATGGAGACACTGAGGCATGGAGCCATGAGGGGCCTGCCTGGACGTCACCCAAGAGCCGAAGTGGCCGTCTCTCACTGAAGGACCTCACCCTCACCCGGGGCTGGACATGCCATCTGCTGAGGCCCTGCCTGTGAGCTTCACAACCACTGTGAGGTGGCTGGGCACCCCGGGACCCAGGGAGCACCTCCCGCGCACCAGCCGTGCAGAGTTCACCAGGGGCGTGGCCTGAGCCCAGAAAGGTGGCACCATGGGGCAAGAGTCAAGGAGGGCTCCCTGGAGGAGGGGACCCACGGGAGTGCGCAGGGTGGCCAACACCTGGGGTGGAAGCTTGTGTGAAGGACACAGGGGCAGGAGCAAGACCAGCACAGCTGCGGGTTCTGCACAGGACCAGGCCAGGGCGTGGATGCTGTCCTGAGGCCTAGAGGGTGGAGAAGGGGGCCTGGCTCCACCCTGTGTGCTAGCCTCTGGGTGCAGAAGCAGGAGGTCTAGTGACGGGTGTGGGTGGGAGCAGACTTGGTGACTAGGAGCCCACTACGGTCCTGGCTGAGCCCCAGGGGCACAAGGCTGCAGGAGGAAGATGCTGAGGTCGAGGTGTGGAAGAGTTGAGGCTCCACAGGGGGCTGTTGGGGGCCCTTACGTAGGAACCGCCACTTGGGCCGCCCTCCCAGGACCTGTGCGTGTCGTGGGAACGCTGTGCTGTAAAGAGGACAGGCGCAGGCACAGGCAGGGGCGGGGGGTGCAGAACACACCGCTGAGGACACCAGGATGGGCAGGGGGAGGGCAGAGAGCCCAGAGAGGGTGAAGGCAGGATGGCCAGGGGCCACAAGGGAGAGTCACCCTGCAGGGGCTGAGGACTGGGCAGCACCCAGGGAGCGCCAGGGAGGCAGCAGGTGGGAATATGCGGGGTAGGGGGAGGGGATGGGCAGGCTAGGCTGGACCCCTAGGTGGCAGCTGAGCAGGACTTTCCTGGGTGGGGATGGAGGGCACTGAGGGTGGGCCTGGGAGGTGTAAGGATGGGGACCTTGAGTTGAGGGCTGGGATGCTCAGAGGGTGGTGTCCAGCCAGACGGGCACTGCTGCCAGCGGGGGTGAGTGTGGGGTGGATGCCAGCCTCCGCTGAGACCTCCAAACTCATCAGCTCAGGCCTTCCCAGCTGGAAACCCCGGACCAGGGGTTCCACTTGGCGAGCCTCAGTTTCCCCAACTGCACACTGGGTTCAGAGCTCCTCTCAGCAGGGTTGCTGGGGCCTAGGGGAGCTTGGGGCACGGTGAGGGCCTGGAGGCACTTGGCGGGGGTACGAGGCAGGTAGGGCAGCCTGAGTCCCCGGGCCCTGAGTCCTACCATGAGCTGGGCGTGGCCGTTCTGGAAGGAGCCCCCTGAGTCCCCGTTGCCCTCCTCCTGCCGGTCAACCACACGGCATTTCACAGCGTCCTGGACCTGGGGAGGGAGAGCCGAGCACCTCAGTGGCAGCCACGCCCCCACCCTGCGCCAGCGCCAGATCAGATGAGCAGCACCTGTGGGGGGGCGGGCGTCTCGGGGAAGGGCAGGGCTGGTCAGCAGGAGGCCTCCCCACAGGGCCACCTCTGGTCTGCTGAGTCATGACCCACTGGGTGGAGAAGGGGAAAAGAGACCCCAGGAGGGGAACAGCCTACCCCTCTCCTGTCTGAGATTCTCTCTACCAAGCTCCCAGCCACCGAGAGCTGCTGCAGGCCCTCGGGCCAGAGTCCGCCTGCGAGAACCTGCCCTGACCTGCAGCGGGCCGAAGATGTCCCTGGACCTGGCCTGCATCTCCAGCAGCCTCAATGTCGTTGCCTCCTCTGAGCCAGTGGAAAGCCTGGCCCTCACTGCCCTGGGAGTGTGGGGTGCTGTGCCAGGGTCCCTGAGCCTGGCCCCTCCCCAGAGCCACCCCACTGGGAACAGCACTCTGTCAAGGGGGATTTCACCCTTCATGGCCACCCACTCTTCAGGGGGGACAGTGGTGAGGACGGCAGCAGACTCTGTAGGAGGGGCTACAGGGGAAGACCAGCGGCCAGCAGAGCTTATGGACAGGGAACTCCCAAGGAGGTAAAGACTGGATATCCAGGAGACATCATCTACGAATGCCAACTGTCCCTCCCGTGGGGCCAGCAGCCACCTCCTGTGGGCTGCTCTGGGCAGCACACTGACACTGCGGTGGTAACAGTATATAAAGGGAATCCTTGGGGGTGGTGGGGGGCATGAAAGCACAGAGGGCTTCCTGGAGGAGGCATCCAAACAGAAGTTGGCAGAGGCAGAAAGAGGGCAAGCTGGGGCTCCTGGCTTCCAGGCACCCACCTACCTACCCACCCACTCAACCACAGACCTGTGGCCCTGTTCCCTCACCTAGTGCTCTGCTTCATGCTGCTGGGGGGCTGAGCACACCCAGCCCACCCCTCTCATCAGGCAGATGGGGACCGAGGCCCAAAGCGGGCGAGAGAATTGTCCGTGGCCACACAGCTGGTCAGAGGCAGGGCCAGGCCTGGAAACCAGGGTCTCAGTGGCCTCTGACCCCCGGACACCAGCTAAGGACTCCAGGCCGCCACAGCAGGTGTGCCTTCCTGCCATCCTCTCCCTCATGGACCTGCCCCGCAAATGCCTACTGGGCACCTACCGTGTGCCCGGTCCCACAGGCAGGTAGGGAAGTGCTCTCTGTGGGCGAGCAGAGGAGCTGGGGCTCCCCAAGTCCCTCTGGTACCCTCTCCAGGAACACCCGAGCCAGCCTCAGCCCAGGAGGCCCCAGCCTCATGGGCAGACGAGGGACTGACTTGCCCACCTGCAGGAGTGTCCCAGGCCACAGGGCCGGCTGGGCTGCCCGGCATGGCCTCCACCTGGCCCAGCCTCCTCAGCATGCTCTGCAGCCCTGGCCACCACCCCCGAGGCTGAGGACCTGGGTAGGCAAGGCCCCTTGCTACCAGGCCCAGGTGGAAGCCATCTCTGGGCAGGACCTTGAAGGCCCTGCAGCACGGAGCCCACACACAGGGGCTGGGAGCTCACTGGGGGCTTCGGGGAAGTCTGGCCCTGGTGTCCTCTGTCCCCGCCCACCATAGGAGCATGCTGGGTCCCCTCCTTCCCTGACCCCATTTGCCAACCATGAGGCTTCTTGCACATCTGAGACCCCCAGTGCCAGCCCTCTGCTCCAGCTGGCCCTGGGCTCTGCCTCCCTGGAGCCCCTCCTCTCCGCTGTCTCCTTTGCAGCTCCCGTCACCGGTCAGTTGGTCCTTGGGGATTTGCCTAATTGTTTGAGAAATCTCTCCAATTTCCGTCTTTTCTATTTTGTGAGATATTTTGCCTCCATTTTCCTTCTACTGAGCTTTGAGCTGCTCTCTGTTTTTAATTTCCACAAGGCTCTTTTTGTTCCTTTTTCATAGGCTACTGTTCTTGTTTCACAGAAGCCAGGCACTGGGGGCCAGGAGTGTGGCCTCAAAGAAGAACCGCCTGGCCTCAAATCCCAGCCATGGTGATGAGCTCCTGTGACGAGCTCCCTGGAGCTGTCCTGTCTGGAACGGAGCAGGTGGCACCTGCTTTAGAAGCTGTCATGAGATTCACTAACACGAGTTCATTGCTGGGACCAGGGCCTGGCCCATGTGGCGTGCACCAGGGTGAGCGGCTTCTCCCAGGTGAGGATAAGAAGGGGCCACTGAGGTTTCTCCTTCCTGGGCTGCCTCTGTCCCCACGCTGTTTTCCTGCTTGTCTGGTTGGGTTGCAACTCCAACAGGAGCTCTGCTGTCCTCATCAGGAGCTGCTGGGATGTAAGTGTGGAGCACTGCCCGGCTGGTGGTTGACTGGTACAGGAGCCGTTTCGCTGCTGGACATCAGAACTCTGGCTCTTCCTCCTCTTGTCTTTCCTCGAAGTCAGATTGCCTTGAGAGGGGCGTTCACACCTCCCCGCAGAGGTCTGGGTCTGGGAGGCCTGCGCTGACACGTGACCCAGGCTCAGCACATCCACTTCCCTGACTTGTTTCCAGGCGGCATCCCCATCTTCAGCTGTGCCAGCTGCCCCAGGCCAGAGCCCCTCTGTTCACTCTGCCCAGAGAGTGAGGCCCAGGCCGCGGAGGCCAAGAGGGCAGCCCTGCCCTTCCAGGCTGGGATGGAAATCGCCACCTAAGGCCGGAAAACCAGGCCTCCCACGCCTGACCTTCCTGTGGCAGCCAGAGATCCTGGGGAGGGGGCGGGCCCCACTCCTGACACCGTCTGGCTCCTTGCAGCTGGCCGAAGCCTGGGCTGTCTCCAGTTAGCTGGGACTGCACCTCTCATCCTGCTTCCCTGCCTACCGGCTCCCCTGCTGTCGGCTTCTCCTGTATTCTTCATCCTCGGGAACCTGTGTGCTTTTCAACAGCCCCTCTGCCGTCTCTCCAGGGGGACCCAGGAAGGGGGAGGTGGCCGCCCCGCTCCTGGGCCTTCCGCCCTCCTGGCGCTGATCTGGAAGCAGGTGTCCTACGCCACCCAGGTCGACATGCATGCTTTCCCACATTCCAGCCTCCGCAAGAGCATCCCAATCGTGGCCACCAGCCAGGCGGTAGTTGGGATGTAGTTTGGTGAAAACCTTCTAGTGACACCTTCTGGAAAGATCCAGAAAACGCCGGAAGCAGGAGTCTCTATTGCCCTGGAAGCTACTTCTGCTGCCAGCTTCCTCACTCCTGTAGGCCCCTTGAGGATGGGGGCCCCATGTGCTTTCGTCCCCCACGCCCCCAAGCCAGTGCGGGCGCAGGGCATCCTTGGGAAGGTGCTGCACTGCCTGGGCCGCTCCCAGGGAGAGTGGGGTGGACACGCTCACCTGCAGGCCCCGCTCTGTGGACCACCGAGGCCTGCAGATGTGTCAGGGTCATGGATGCTGCGCCTACCCACAATCTCCCTGCCGAGGTCCTCGGGGAAGGAGGAGGCCACTCGGCAGCCCCAGGACCCCGCAGGAGCCCGGCCCGACAGAGGCTGCCTCACCCACCTCTCTACGGAGGATACAGTGCACCATGACGATGACGAAGCCCTCCAGCGAGTCGAAGACAGCGAAGAGGATCTGGAAGAGGGCGGAGCGGCGGTCGGTGACGGCGAGCACAGCCGACATCCAGGTCAGCGCCAGCAGCGGCAGCACCACGCAGGAGCTCCACAGGGAGGCCCTGGGGATGGAGGGTGTCAGCGCTGCCGCCCCCGCCCCTGCCCCCAGGGACACCCTGCCCTGAACCCTGCATCTCCAGGCCTCGGTGGGGACCCAGCCCTAAGTCCCCGTCTCTGTCTCTGGGGGCCTGGGCCAAGCAGCCCTTCCTCTCTGGGGTGAGTCTCCCTAGGGGTCCACCACTGCCCAGGCTGCGTCTGCACCCTCTCTCCTCCCCAGGACTCCCCCAATCCTGTCCCACACTCTGCCCCTCCCCTCTCAAGCCCTTGCCCCAGGCTGGGGAGGAGCCCACCGTCAACACTGAGGTCCCAGCACCCCCTCCCCAAGCCCAAGGTCTCTGAGTGGACCCAAGGACTCAGGAGGGAGGTCCTGAGAAGCTGGGCAAGGGGGAAGGGCTCTTTGGGAAGATCCAGGTTCCTGACAGTCTAGGAGGTGACAGGGGAAGGGAGACAGGCTGGAGAGGGATGGGCTGTCTGGTGTGGGGTGCGCCAAGGAGGATCCCCTGGTCCAGGACCCTCAGAGAGCCCACAGGCCCCAGGCGAGGGGTCCAGGCCCTGAAGGGCAGAGCAAGATGGCCATGGTGGGGAGGGGAGGGTGGAGCCCAGAACTCAGAGACCTGGAGAGAGAGAAGCTTAGAGGGAATGAGATGAGGACAGACAGACGGCCAAGGCCAGCAGGGGAGGAGCAGAGGAGAGACAGAGACAGACGGCAACAGACAGACTGACAGGCGCCTCCTCCTCTTCGTGGGCCAGCTCCGCCCATGCCTCCTGAGCCCCAGCGGCCACCTGCCTGTAGACCCTTCCTGCTGCCTCTGCCGCTCAGTGCCACCCCCTCCCAGGAGGTCCTCCAGGAGCCTCACAGCAGCCCTCGCCCCTGCAGCCCAGCCTCGCTGGGAGCAGTGAAGGCCTGGGCCCCTCCCCACATCCACCCACTGGGTTCCGCGCGTGGCCTCTGAGCCTGTGCTCTCCTGCTCACAGTGGGGACACCAACCTGCTTCCCGGGGCTGTGGAACACAGACAGAGGCCAGCAGGACCCCGGCTGCGGTGAGTGCTCGGGAGGTGGCCCTGTGCCTGCCCGCAGGAGGCCCCACAGCCCGCAGGACTGTCATCACCACCCGGAATGGGTGCTGGCGCCAGCTTCCCTCCTCCCCTCCTCCTACACAGGGGGAGCTGGGGCAGGAGGACTGAATAGGGAGTAGGGGGCCCAGGTGTGCGGTCAGAATGCCAGGCAGGAGCTGGCACACCAGGGCTGGCAGGAGAGATGCTGGAATGACCTGGAGTCTGCCAGGACAAGGGCCTCCAAAACCACACGCTCTGCTCCTCAGCCCTCTCTAGTGTGGCTTGGCCACCAATGCTGCTCCCACCCCTAGTGCAGAACACCTGTGCAGGGCCCAGCCCCCAAGGGATATCTGTGTCGTCATCTCTCAGGACCTCTCAGCAGGCACAGCCAGCCATGCCTGCCTCCTGGACTCTCTTCCTCCTCTCCTCCATCCGGCCCTCTACCCCAGGCCTTGGTCTGCTTTTCTTCAGTGATGCTGTCCGGCAGGGATCTGTCTGGCCCCAGCCTCAGGCATGACCACATACCCATGGCTAGGACACGTGCAGGCCCAGAGCCCAGAGCAACACCAGGACAGAGGGCCTGGTCCTGCATGGCCAGTGCCTCCCGGGTCTCAGGGTACCGTGGCCCTGGCCACGCACCCGCCCCTCCTGCTCTTGGACATAGGATGGGCTCTAATAGCCTCATGGGACTCCTTCTTCCCTGTACAACTTTGGAGTGTACTAGAGGCCACCAACCTCCTTGGCCCTTCCCCTGGCCCTGGAGAGCCTGCCCCTGCTCCCTGTGCACCCCACGCCTGGGAACTCAGGCGTCCGGAGAGGCCTCCCTTGCCCATGACCGTGCTGCTCCCTCCAGGCTGCAGCAGCGGACAGGGCCCTGGCTGTCACTCACTGCTGTGTCCCTGCACTTGGCACAGGGCCTGTGATGAGGAGGCCCTCCATCAATATTCACAGAGCCAAGGAAACACTCACTGACACAGAGCAGGACCCCTCGGCTGGGGCCTCGGTTTTCCCATGGCGATAAGCTGGAGAATCTCTCTTCTCCCTTCCAAAGCTGGTATTCTTTGAGCCGGGACCCTGGACTCCTCTCCTCACCCAAGTCCTAAGGGAGGAGGTGCAAGGCTTCCCTCCCCATGGAGACTTCTTTGCCTGCTGTCAGTCACCCCTGCTGCTGCCCGTCAGGGGATACAGTGGTGCAGCTGGGTCTCCAGGCCTGACATTTACAGCCCGATCTGCTGCGGCTGGCAGGTGGCCTGGGGCCTGGGGACCTGTAAATTACTCCCACACAGCAGCTCAGCCTCTGCGGCTGGGAAACATTTCTGCAGAGAGCGGTGGGAAGGAAGCAGAAAGGCCCGGGAGCTGCTGAAGGGGAGGCCAGGAGTGCCCAGCTGCACCGCGCCTGCTCCTGTCTGGAGAGGCAGGTGCCCGGGGTGCGGGGAGAGGCTCTGAGTGACTGCAAAGGGAACATCCTTCTGGCCCCCACTTCTCTCTGATGGAATGAGATGGGGTGGATCCCACAGCCCCTGCCACATCCCTGGTGTTGAGACAAAGAAAGGGCAACACTAGCCCCAAAGAACCTGAACTTCCCGGGGCCTGGCAGGCCAGTGTGGACGCTGCCCCAGCTCCGGGCTTGCTCCTCCCACCCAGGCTAGCCTCGCCCCGACTCGCATCTGCACAGTGCCAGGGCCCAGAGCTCTTCTCCCACGGCTCCTAAAACCCTGGACCCCTAGTGCCTGGCTCAGGGAGCAAAGCAGGAGGGTACAGGGGTATGCACCTGGGCGCACCACCCTCACCTTGGGTTGAGGGAGGCAGGGCACGGACGAAATGACCCCTCAGGCTGGAAAGCCCAACTGGCCCCACCCACCTGAGCCCATACCGCCCTGCCCTATGCACAGCTGCTAAGGCTGCCCAAGGTCAGCAGATCAGCCCCTGACCCTGAACCCTTCCTTCCCTGTTCCCTTGGCCCTGGCTGCCTCCTGCTCTCAGGCACACATGCGTACACACACACACACGCATTCACACACTCACCTATAAACACATTCCCACATACACAATGCTCACACGCTCATACACACACACGCACACACAGGCACATGCCCAATTATATACACACTCACACTTATACACACACACTAACGCAAAATATCAAGTTGCACTCACACACAGATGCACACTCACATGTATATACACCAGGTTGCACTCACACACAGAGATGCACGCTCACACATACGCACAGCAGGTTGCGCTCACACACACAGATGCACGTTTGCACGTATGCACACTGGGTTGCACTCACACAGATGCACGCTCACAGGTACACACACAGATGCATGCTCACACATCCACACAGATGCACGTTCACATGTATACACACCAGGTTGCACCCACACAGATGCACACTCACACATACACACACCGGGTTGCACTCACACAGATGCACACTCACAGGTACACAGATGCATCCTCACACGTCCACACACATAGATGCACACTCACACATATGCACACTGGGTTGCACTCACACACATAGATGCACGCTCACAGGTACACCGATGCACGCTCACAGGTACACACAGATGCACACTCACACACGCATATACAGATGCATGCTCACACGTATGCACACTGGGTTGCACTCACACACATACATGCACGCTCACACATGCACAGTGGGTTGCACTCACACACATAGATGCATGCTTGCACACATCAAGGCACACTCTTACACATGTACACATACACTTGCACACTTGTGGCATCAGAGGTGGCACTGGCGGCAGAGAACTCCACACTCAGTACACTTGAGAGCACACCCAAGGGGGTATGGGGGCGGTTGGCTACAAGCGAAATTAAAAGCCTGAAACAAAAGCAAGTACTCTCACATGGGCACACACACACACACAAACACATCTGCACACACCTGGTCATGCTCTCACACGAATGCACACTCATGTACACTCACATATGCACACTCATACACACATACCTGGTGACATGCATACCCACACACCCCCAGTGGCATGCATGCACACTCACACACATGCACACACCTAGCCATGCTCTCACATGTGTGCTCATGTGCACTCACAGGGAGGGAGGCTTCCCATCAGGCAGGCCAGGGCCAGTCTCCTCGCCCCACCACAGAACTGCGGGGGTGTCATGGGTGCAGACCCCTGCCCAGGCATCAGCCATCCTGGGCTCCGTGCCAGCAGCACCAGGGGTGGGGGTGGAGGTTCAACTCCAGAAGCAAGAAACCACAGCTTGCAGCCTGGCACACACTCGGGCCCCAGAGGGACAGGACTGACCACCGCTCCTTCCCTACCGCAGCGCAGCCCACAGCTGCACTCCACCTGTGCCCAGGCCCGGCCCCACGCCCTGCACCCGCGGTGCCTTGTGCTGCCAGGCCTAGAGCAGGCCTGTGGGGAGGATGGAAGGAGGAGCTGAGGGCAGTGGATCGGGGGGACGGGAGTGGCCTAGAAACCCAGAGTGGACGGTAGAAAAGGAAGAAATGAAAGATAAACATAAAACAAACAGAAGGTGACTCAGAGCGCGGAGCCCCAAGGGTGGGCCTAGGAGGGAGGTGGCAGCGGAGGCACTAACATGGCGTTACTGGTGGCGTCGGAGGTGGCATCGGCGGCAGAGAGGACTCCACACTCGGCACACTTGAGGGCGCGCCCGAGGGGGTGCGGGGACGGCTGACTGCAAGTGAAATTAAAAGGCTGAAACGAAAGCAAGCGCCCTGCTCTCGGAAACCAGGCAGGAGGGGCGGGGCCAAAGTGCAAAACCAGCCCCTCAGGAGTCCAGCCTGGGCCCCAACAGGGACGGTCCTGGGGGCTCTCAGCCACCTCACGAACTCAGGCCTGGGGCGTGGGCGCTGTGGTGGGCAGGGCTGAGGGCTGCAAGTGGCAGGCATGGGGGGAAGGTAGTGAGGGGTCCCTGCGCTCAGCTGAGGGTGGACCCTGCCTCCGTCTGCACAAAGCGGCAAAATTCCCAGAGGGAGGCCGCTGCGCCTTCCAGTCCCCTTTCCGTGTGTCTGCGAGGGAGCTGACCTGGGCAGGGACCTCGTGCAGGTCCTCGTGGCATGTGTATGCCCACGTGTGTGTGCCCATGCGTGTGGGTGTGCGTGCACACATAGACCGGTGTACTGGGTGCCCCTCCACCCCAACCTCCATCCCGTCTACGTGGGCGGCGAGACCTACACGGCCACACAGGCGAGTCTGGGTGCGCTCCTGGGCTGTGTGCACCTAACGCAGCTGGCCCCCGTGGCACACACAGGGTGAGGTGGGCAGAGTGCAGGCCGCCTGGGCTTAGTTCTAGTGTGTGCCCACCTGGCCTGGAAGCTCAGCTCCATCAGCCACTCAACCTCCCTAAACCTCCATTTCTCAGCTTTAAGATGGGACTATAACCATAGAATCTGCCACAATGGTTATTCTAAGAAGCAAACAAAACATCCACCCTGGGTGAGCCCCTGAGATCACTGCTGCTTTTACGACCAGGTAGGCAGTCTGCCATGCTCAGACCCTGGATGTGTAGCCCTGGGGACCTCTTCTGAGTGTGACCACTGTCTTGGGAGCAGTGTGGGACAGGGTGTTCCGGGGACAGGTAGGGCAAGGCCTTAGAGAGGCCTGTTCCAGCCTCCATCTCCCAGGCCAGGAGACAAAGCACCGCGACTCCCACCCAGAGTGACAGACCCCAGGGCCATGGCACGCACTCAGCATCAGACACCAGCTCGGCTGGTTCCTAACCAGGACCAGAACCCACAGGCACCCAAGGGGAAGGCTTCCTGAAAGCGTCTGTTCACTGGGGACAGCAGGAGGAGCCAGGAAGAGAGAGACAGGAACAGAGAGAGAGACAGAGAGACACCAAGCATCCAAGCAAGACTGGCACGGAGGGGAGGGGCCCACGCAGACACCAGCCAGGGCTGGATGACACAGAACAGCAGGCAGAGGTGAGGGGCGGGAGGACCAAGAGGGGCTTGTCCGCCCTAGTCAGCTCCCCACGCCCCGCAGCTTCCCCTCTGTGCCCAGGGCCCTGTCCCTCAAAGGTGGGTGCAGCCACACATCCCAAGCGCCTCTGTCTTGCTCCAGCACCCTGTCCAGCTGCTGTGCTGAGAGCACTCCCTGGGCTTGGGTTCCCCGGAGGGAGGAACATCAGCTCCACCTGTCCTCTGCACCATCCTCCCCATGATGAAGGTCCCACAAAGACAGGGAGTCCCTGCATGGACAGGCGACATCCTCCCCCTGGCCATGGAGCAAGCCTTGTGGTAGGGGAGTGGGGGGCCAGGGACCCCCAGCACCCAGCCTTGGGGGCACCCTGCTGCCATCCTGCAAGCCAGGCAGAGGCGGGGTGTCCCTGCACAATCAGTCTCACAGCTTCTGAGGACTTTATGGGACCCACCCTGTCCAGGTCAGATGGAGAAACTGAGGCACGGTGAGAGGCAGGGGCTGGCTGAGCCTAAGGGGCCTCTGTACTCAGTGCCTCCGTTTCCCACCCGCTCCGGGGTCCCTGGACCTGCAGTCTCAGATTGGGCATGGAGCGTTCTCCATCCCCCGGGGCTGGGTGGGCTCTGGGTCTTGCACTCCGGGTGGGCAAGGAGCCGCGTAGCCCCGGTCCTACCCTGCCCGCTCCTTCAGCTTCTTGTCCGTGATGCCGTCTTTGGACACGAGCTTGTTGAACACCAGGATCCCAATGACCATGTTCACCTGCCGGGCAGAGAGTGGTGGGGGTGTGGGGGTGGGGGCCGCCGTAGGCTCAGGGGCTGACACTGGCCGGACCGATGCTGGCTACGCCAACCACGACCCCCTACCCCACCCAGGGTCACCTCCCGTGCCTCCATCACAGGAACCCCAGTGCCTGATGGGATGTCAGGTGACCTCCAGCCCAGCTGCCAACTGTGCAGGGCCCTCTCTGTGTGTCACCCGCACCGTCGGCACCTCTGCTGCAACTCCTTGCATCCCTTCCACCAGCGAGCTCCCCACCCACAGGGCCCGGAGGCCCCTGCCAGCCTGCAGCTGAAACCTGTCTAAGGGACACCAATCCTGGCTCTCCCTGGGGTCACACTCCTCCTGGCTCTCTGCTCTGGGCAGGCCACCTCCTCTCTCTAGACTTCCTTCCTGATCTCCCTCCCCTATTCCCATCAGATTAACTGCCCACCCCATAAGGGCCCTGGCTGGGCGCCTGCACCCAGGGAGGCTCTTCTTGGGCTCTAACATAAGTCTCCCATGCCTGCCACTGTCCAGGCTACCAGTCAATACAAGAGCTGTTCCTGGAGCACCCCCGGGAAGCCACTGGCCCTGAGCATCCTGGGGTCTCCCCCTGTCTCCTGGCCTCCTCTGCTGGGGGGAAGGAGGAGTCTCAGGCCATACTCTCTGCTCCCCAACTGCCAGAGGCTCCCTGAGGCCCTCCTCCTGCATCCCCACTCTGCAGAAAGATGCTGCTAGGACCCCGAGGGGCAAGGCCTGACTTCCTCAGGCCCAGGTTCCAGAAGCTGGAGGCTGGGAGACCCCAGGACTCCATGGACCCCTGACCAGGCATTTCACGTCCAGAAGACCAGGGTGGTAGACCGTGTAGCCCTCCAGCTCAGGGCTCATGACCACACAGCCGGCCTGCTTTCCACAATGGATGCAGAGTTCCCAGACACCCACATCACAGCCTTGGCCAGCCTGATGGGTGGTGGCCTCTTTCCTGGGCAGCCTACTTTTCTGATGTGGCCGGAGCAGAGAAGAGAGGATGGACACCAGTGACGGACCACTGCCTGCAGCAGGCTCTGCCCAGCCTGCCCCACGTGGCCCCAAGGACAGGAGGGGCTGCTGGGGCTCGGGTCCCACAGCCGCCAGGGTCAGCCTGCCTTCCTGACACATCCTGGGGAGGGGTGTACAGGGTGGGACTCCTGTCTCTGTCCCCTTTCCCACAACCTCCATCCCCAGGTGCCTGGGGTACCGCCAGGTACCCCACGCCTCTCCTGCCTCCCGCCTGGAGGAAGGAATAAAGAAGGTAGGATCCCACAGCCAGGGCTGTGGGGAGGGGTCTGGGGCTGCCCAAGGATGGCGCCCCACTGCCCCTCCAACCCCCAGTAGGCTCCCCAACTGCCCCTACAGGGCTAGCTCCCCATCACCCCTCATGCACGTTTCTCTGCTAGGCCCAGCCTGTGCCTGAGTCCCCACTAGGATGGGGTGTGGCCCTGCAGAGACACCGCTCATGGCAGCAGGAATTACTGGAAGTGGATGGCCTCTCCTGGGGCGAGAGGGGAGGGGATGTGAGGGTGGGTGTGAACCCTGGTGCTCTGCCAGAGTAGAGAGGTGGGGGCTGGCTGAGTGGGCTCAGAGCTGGACCCAGTAGAGGCCAGTGACCCCAGGCGGGTCCCCCAGGCTGCCGCAGCTCATCTGTGACCCCAGGACGGTGACCCTGCGTGCCACCTGCCACAGTCTTGCCTTCCTCCACACTAAGGTGGGAGGAGAGCGGGAAGGAAAGCCCAAGGACCCACACAGGGAAGGTCCTCACCGGGGCCCCCGAAGGGGCAAGCAGCCGCGGTCACCAGCCTCACATCTGGCGCTCTGGGGCCAGACACCCACAACCCAGGTCCAGCCTGCAGCTCCCCGCTGCTCGCATCATCCGTCCATCCCCAGCTTCCTCCCATGCCACTCACTCACCACACCCGCGGGGATCTCCTGGCAGGTACACAGCTGGCACCCAATAATCAGGCAAGCCGAGACTCACAGGTGTGAAGGGTCACTACCCTGGCCCAGCCCCTGCACTGCATGCCAAGGGCAGGTCAGAGTGGGGCTGTGGGCACCCCCACCCCCTGGTGATGAGGGCCATGAGGGCCATCCTGAAGGGACAGCAGGTGCACAGCCTGGGGCATGAGACAGCACCGAGGCCCAGGAGGCAGGTGGGGGGCCCAGGTGGGGTCGTGGGGAGTGGGGCCTGGGCGGGTCAGTACCAGCACAACGGCAGCGGCAGGTCCCACGAAGGCATAGAGCAGTCCCCCCTCCAGGGAGAGCCAGCAGCTGGGGAGGAGACAGGCCATCAGCACCGCCCGTGTGCAGAGGGGCGTGCAGAGAGGTGCTGCCGGCCTCTCAGGAGTAGGGGTGAGCTGGGAAGTGGCAGAAGAAAACTGGCACTTATTAAGCGCCTTCG
Organism: Homo sapiens; assembly: GCF_000001405.40. Lineage (NCBI taxonomy): Eukaryota > Metazoa > Chordata > Mammalia > Primates > Hominidae > Homo > Homo sapiens. The sequence goes on along the minus strand of NC_000008.11, from coordinate 142,524,107 downwards.
GCATGCAGGGCAGGTCACACCCACTCTTTAGCCTTAGAATCCTCAGGAGACCCCAGGCAGCCACTGTCACCCCCATTTTACAGATGGGGACAGTACCAGAGGGGGGGACCCACCTGCTTAGAGCCACACAGCAGGGGCACCAGGCTGGCAGGGCCAAGGCCACCTGACTGTCCCTCCTTCCCCAGGCCTGGGCCCTTCCTGGCTCTTCTCTTGGGGTCTCTGGCCGACCCTCCTTCCTGACGCGATGCTTGAATGCTGGGGCTCAGGCCCCGTGGCCTCAGCACCTGGTCCTATGCTCACACATCTGTCCTGCCCCCTCCCCACCCCCCTCCCAGTAAGCAGCCCCACATTCTCCAGATCTCTGGACACCACCTGTGGTGCCCATGGAAACCTGAAACCCAATAAGGACCGTTCCCTCTACCCTGAGCAGCCTACCTCATGTCATCTGTCAAACAAACTCCTCTTCATCCTTCAGAACCCCACTTCAATGTCCCCATCCCCTCCTGATCCACCCCTGACTTCGGCAGGCCAGGTATTTGCTTCTCTCATCTCTGGGGACAGTGTTTGGATTTCCCTCTCAGCACTCACCCCCTGGGCCCTCAGCTATGTCTACCCCCTACTGCCACCTAGACAGGGCAGTGCTCCAAGGGGGTGCCACATCCTGTCCCCAGGGGCTCCACAGTGAGCCAGGCCTGCTCCGCCCTCCCACTCAGCCAGCATCAGTCACTTCCTCCTGCCTCGCGCTCCCCACTGCTCCCCTCCCTGCAGCCAGGCCCTCCCTTCAAGCCTCGGTTCCCCTTCCCCACCCCAGTTCTTCTGCCCATCCTGAGCCCCAGACCCTTTCTCCCTACCCGGTGAACCATACTGCCTCTAGGATGACCCCAAGCTTCCTGGCTTGCCATTTAAGGCCCCAAGGACCTGGTCCAGCTGACCCTTCAGGGTCTCAGTGACATCATCTGTGAAATAAGCCTCCGACCCCTGCCCTGCCTGCCACAGGCCTGCTGTGGGGGGTGTGCCCACTGTGCCCAGAGCTCATGTCTCAAACAGCCCTCCCTCTCACCAGCACCGTACAGAGGGGGGCTCCCCACCGAACAGATGGGGAAACTGAGGCTCAGAGTGACTAATGGACCAACTGACAGAGGGGGAGGCCCTGATGGCCCGGTTTCTTTCAATACTGCTGCCCACTGCTCGCTGCCAGGGAGAAGCTGGCTGGCCAACAGGGAGGGGATGCCCAAGGGGCTCAGCCTCCAGCCCCTGGGGCCCCACCCTCCCTGAGCCTCTGTGAGATGATCAGGGTCACACGGGGGGAGGGCATGGCCAGCCCTCACCCTCCAGGGCGGTGGAAGTCTCTGGGGGGCCATGTGGCCATCCACCACACCCCCAATGCCCCGACTCACTAGTTCATGGTGCTGTACCCTTTGGCCTTGGTGAATCCCACAGAAATGGCCACAACCAGTGCAGGGAGCCCTGGAGAAGGAGCAGAGAGAGGGTGTTGGCCCCACCCAAGTCCCCAGCCAGCCTCCACCTCCTCCTAGCCCTGCCGTGAAGGGCGGGGGCCAGGCAGGCGCTTCTGAAGCCCCCAACAGAGGATGGGGCTGAGCAAGAGATGGGGCAGGAGGTGAACAAGGCAAGGGCCTGCGGAGCTGGGCGCAGGGTGGTCCAATGAGCAGAGAACACATAGGGTGCCCGGCACATCTGACTCGCAGAGAAATCAGGAATCATCTTTTTGTAAATGTACCTCCCAAATACTGCACCGGACATACTTGTGCTAGAAACGTTTTCGTTATCTAGACATGAAAGAGAACTGGGTGTCCTGTGCTTTATCTGGTGACTCCATGGAAGAACGAGGGCCCAGAGGGGGAAGCCCACCCAAGCAGCAACTGAGGCCCCAGGGGTCCACAGGGGATGGGGAGAGGAGGGGCTGCCAGGACAGAACAAGCAGTGGGGGAGGAAGGGTATCTGTCCAGGAGGGTCGGGAAGGCCGCGGCTCACCCCAGCCCAGGCAGAGGAAGCGCTTGCGGATGAGGCGGTTCCGGAGGTGGCCCGTCACCGCCATGTAGGACTGCCAGGCCTCGGTGAGCACCCAGCAGAAGGAGGACAGGAAGAAGAAGTGCAGGAAGGCGGCCACCAGCGTGCACACCACCTGTGTGGGGCCCAGGGCGGGGCAGGCTGGGCAGGTGCTCCCCGGCCCCACACCTGTCCCCACTGAGTGCCTGTCTGCAGCTGGCAGCCCAGCACCCAGCACCCTCACTGGGACCCAACCAGGTCCCCAGGCAGAAGGCAATCCAGAGATCACCTGGTCCTTGCCCTGAGATGAATTGTTGACCATCTAAGCCCCGTTGGGACAAACAGATCCTCCCTCCCCATCTTTCTCAGCACCATTCATAGCCACACCAAATGCTAAGCCAGGGGCCTTCTCAAAAGTCCAGGTACCCGCCCATGCGTTCAGGAGGTAGTAAGCCCAAGGCCCAGGGAGGGCACGTCACGCCCCAAGGACACACAGCAAGTCGCAGGCAACCTCACCCACACAGCGGCCCTGAGCTTCTGCCACAGCACATGGCAGGCCCTGGGGCCAGGCCTTCTCTGTCTCACTGCGGGCCCTCTTGCTTTATTTTCTCTCCTAGATTGTCAGCGTGGCCCCTTGAGGAAGCAGAGGCCCCCAGCCAAAGGCTGCACCTGCCACATTTAGTGGGATGGGGCTGGAGACCACAGGGTAGGAACCAGGGATAGGGGGTCTGGGGAGGGCAGGCAGGGGCCCTCCATGAGCTGCCAGCTTCAAGGCTGGCGAGCGTAGGGGTGAGAGGGTGGACCGTGGGAGCCTCTGTCACCACAGTGCCACTCGTCTTGAGTGCCACTCCCCAGCCCTGAGGCAGCTTGAGCTGAGGCCGAGTCCACTGCCCACAGCGGGATGGGCAGGGCTGCAGCAGGCTCATCCTGAAGGGCAAGTCCAGCAGAGACACTGGAACACAAGCTGCCCTTCTTGGCCGGCTGACCAGCCCCTGACAGGCTCCTGCAGCCACAGCAGAGGGCAGGGAACTCCCTGTAGCTGGGGCAGCCTCCTCCTGCCCCCACACCCGCCTGCCTGAGTTTCCCAGGGATCCCACGGTCCAGGCCCCTCCTGGGGTCCATCCTCACCACCCGAGGATGTTGGGAAGTGCATGGCAGGACGCAAGGCTGCCTACCTTGTTGCGGGTCTGGGTCTGCCCGATGAGGATGAGGGCATTGGAGGAGATGATGGACAGGCAGAAGTTGATGAGGATGACAGAACGCTCTGAGCGAATGTACCTGTGGAGAGTGCAGGGGCCCAAGGTCAGCACCCAACAGAACCCCATCTGCACAGGGGCTGTGGTCCTGTGGCACCAAGACCAGAGCCCCACCCCACTTCCTGCAGGCATTGTCACCAACAGCACCACCACCATGACCATCATCACCGCCACCATCACCACCATTACACCATCATCATCATCACACAATCATCACCACCATCACCAACACAACCATCACCACCATCACAATCAGTACCACCATCACCACCACCACACCATCACCATCATCACCATCATCACACAATCACTACCACCATCACCACCACCACTACATCACCATCATCACCATCACCATTATCACACAACCATCACCACCACCACCACCACCATCACCATCACCACCATCATCATACAATCATTACCACTATCACCATTACCAACATCACAATCACTACCATCACCACCACCACCATCACCACCATCATCATACAATCATTACCACTATCACCATTACCAACACAGCCATCACCACCATCAGCACCACTATCATCATCACAATCACTACCACCATCACCATCACCATCATCACCACCACCATCACCATCATCACTCCATCACCACCACCACCATCACCATAATCACTAGCACCAGCACCAACACCATCACAACCACTACCACTACCACCACCATCACACCATCACCATCACCACCATCATCATCATACAATCATTACCACTATCACCATAACCAACACAGCCATCACCACCATCAGCACCACTATCACCACCATCACAATCACTACCACCATCACCACCACCACCATCACCACCATCACCATAATCACTAGCACCAGCACCAATACCATCACAACCACTACCACCACCACCACCATCACGCCATCACCATCACCACCACCACCACAATCACCAGCACCACCAACACCAACACAACCACCACCACAATCACCAGCACCACCATCACCACGACCATTACCATCACTACCACCATCACAATCACCAGCACCAGCACCAACACCATCACAACCACCACTACCACCATCACCATCACTACCATCACCACGACCATTACCACCATCACTACCACCATCACCACAATCACCAGCACCAGCACCACCAACACCATCACAACCACCACTACCACCATCACCACCACTACCATCATCATCACCATAATCACCAGCACCAGCACCACCACCACCATCACCACCACCATCACTACCATCACCACCACAATCACCACCACCACCACCATCACTATCACCACAATCACCAGCAGCAGCACCACCCCCACCATCACCATTACCACCATCATCACCACAAACACCACCACCAGGACCACCATCACCACCATCACCAGCAGCCCTTGAGGACTGAGGTCCACCCAGCTGGAGAGCAGAGGGCACAGGGCTGAGCCTCAGGGGCTCTGACATGACCCTGATGTGCTGCATGACCTTGGGCAGGTCACGTTCTCTCTCTGGGTCCCCACTTCCTCATGGGGACCACAGAACAGTCCCTGCCGGCAGCTCATAGGGCACAGGGATGGCCAGGAGAGCTCACCAAGGGAGATGCTTTGAAAACTGTCGGCAGAAAACTTCCTCAGAACTCAGGACATCAGAGCTGAGTTCAGAGCCCCTGAACCCCATTCCCCAGATGTTTTGTGGAATCCAGGCCCTAGGGGAAGGCAGGTCCCGGGAAGAGGAAACACCATGGTCCCCCTAGAGCCCAGTGGATGCTGTCCCCTCAGGCAGGACAGTGGAGAGCCCCTGCCACTACCCACAACCCAGTCACTGTCTCCGGGAAAGCTCGGCCACCCTCCCCCACCAGCCACATTGACCTCCCGATGCCCGACCTTGGGCAGCAGACAGGCAGTCAGTTCCGATTATCGGCTGACATCGCGCTGCCTGCAGAGCCGGAGCCACGTGTCCTCTGGACACGTTGGGAGTCCCCACTCGGCCCCATGGGCAGTGAGTGACCTTGAGCCCTTGCTCCCTGCTCCACACTTCTACTCAATGGGACAGGAGCAGATAGCGGGGAGTGCCTGGAGGCGCGTCCACACACTCAACAGGCATGTTACTGCTCAAACACGAGCTCTCCTCCACATCTCTCCACACCTGCCTGGGTGGCCCCAAAAACCCACTGGCCACAATCAGAATGGACAGCAGGCTGAGAGCCCTGTGGCCTTGGGGAAAGGGGGTTTGGGGTGGAGAGTGAGCAGGGGCTTTGGGCCTTAAGGCCTGACTGGGGGTCCGGGGAAGGCTGTGGCCTGGCCTGCATGCCTAAGGGTAGACAGGGAAGTCAGGAAGTGCAGGCAAAGGGGGCACGTTCAGGGGAGGAACCAGGCCCCACCCCCTGTGTTTGTGCGGCATGTACACATTATGAGTGTGTGGGGTGGCCTCAGGACCTGTGGAGGCCTCGGAGGGGCCACAGCATGGCTGGTTCCGTGGCAAATGCGGAGGTGACTGGGAACGTGAGGACAAATGGAGGGAGGGGCACCCACGACCCCGCCCGTGACCTTCAAGGGAAGAGGCGTGTGATGCAGGAGCCACAGACATGCATGCCCAGCACCTGGGCGGCACCCACCTCCACACGGACACGTAGATGATGACCAGCATGAGCAGGGTGAGAGAGGACACGCCACAGCCCACGATGAGCGTCACCGACGGCAGAGTCGCCTTCTCCATGTTCTGTGGGGACCGGGAAGAGACCGCAGGGAGTGAGGCACCCCACTCGCCCACTCGGCAGACCCGAAGACTGAGACCCGAGAGCCCGCAGCCCCGGGTCACACCCCCAGCGTTTGGCCCAGCCCCTCCTCCACCTCCCCACCCGCCCCCTGCAGACGAGGGGTTTCCTCTACCAGCCCAGGCCCTCCAGAACTCCCTTTCGGGGCTGTGCTCTGTGAGGTTGGGCCCTTTGCCTGTGCCCCACAGTCATATGCCAAGCCCGATGCCAGATAAGTCTTTGCTGCCATCATGTCTCGGAACCCCGTCAATTCCAGGCAGGCGCCAGCCCCACACTGCAGACGGGGCCAGGGAGGTGCCAGGTCCAGGCCCACCCACACGCACAGTCCTCTTGGGCCCAGGCTTCGAGAAATCCGGGGGCAGCAGCCGCTTTGACTCCGGCCCACCCCCATCCAAGATGCCATCCAGCCAGGCCCTGACACCCCACACCCACCTGTCCCTCCACAGCCCGGACACATCCCGACCAGCTTCCTTGCACCAAAGCCCTCCCCCTCCCACCCCTCGCTCTCTGTTCGGCAGGTGACTCTGTGTCACCTCCACAGCCCCTCAGTCCCCTGCAGCTTCTAGGCCTAGCCGCCAGCCCTGGCCCCAGGCATCCCCACCTCTAGCCCTGCCCCCTGTGAGCTCCTCTCCCGCCACAGCGGCATGGGGGAGGTGATCAGCGCACTGGAGGGCACCTCTGCCCTGCTCAGAGGCAGGAGAGTGTGGGAGCTGGGGTGTCATCCGGGTGCCGGGGTGACCTGAATAAAGTGGGCCCTTCCTCCTCACCACCTGCGGGGTACTTAGTTTAGGTGACTGCCCCTTCCTAGGGAGGGCCACCACTCCTCCCTGACTCTCCTGCCCTGGGCGTTGTCCAAATGTCCCACCCGGCTCTGCAAAGGCCACTGGGCTGGCCCTGGCCCTGCCCCTGGCCAGCCTCCCTTTCCTGACAAGAATGTCCCGAGCCCCCCAGGCCCCCTGGTTCCCCTCAGGGCTCTTCCCCAGCGGTGCCCCCAGAAGACCCTTCCCCTCTTCGCATGACTGTGCCTCTGGCCACTGCACTCAGCTCATCCTCTCCTCAAAAGGGCCTGGGCCGGCCACAGACCCTGCCATTCCCGACCCCATGGCCCTGCACAGCCCCAGCATGCCAGGCCTGAAGACAGACAGGGAAGTCAGGTGGCTGAAGGGCGTGCAAAGCTGGGGAGGGGACTCAGGCTGACATCGCTTCTACATGGATGAGTTCACCCCGAGCAACTTCCCAACCCATCACCTGAGTCATAAGCCAGGCTGAACCGCCATGCCTGACTTGTCCTCGGGGTGGTGCAGGCCACACGCCTGACATGCACAGACACACGCACCTGGGACCCACACACAGACACACACCTGGGGCCCGCACACATGCACGCACCTGGGGCCCGCACACAGGCATGCACCTGGGACCCACACACACACACACACACACCTGGGACCCGCACACATGCACACACACACACACACCTGTGGCCTGCACACACACGCATGCCCCTGGGGCCCACACACACACACATGCACCTGGGGCCCACACAGATGCACGCACCTGGGACCCGCACACGCACGCACCTGGGGCCCGCACACACGCGCGCGCACACACACACATCTGGGGCCCGCACAGACACACGCACCTGGGGCCCGCACACACGCACACCTGGGGCCCACACACACGCAACTGGGGCCCACACAGACGCACGCACCTGGGGCCCGCACACACGCACGCACCTGGGGCCCGCACACACGCATGCACCTGGGGCCCGCACACACGCATGCACCTGGGGCCCACACACACGCAACTGGGGCCCGCACAGACGCACGCACCTGGGGCCCGCACACGCACACACACACCTGGGGCCCGCACACACGCATGCACCTGGGGCCCCCACACACGCACGCACCTGGGGCTCCCACACACGCACACCTGGGGCCCGCACACACGACTGACGCCCCCCACACCTGGCACTCGCCTCCAGGGCCAAGCTGTGCTGCCCAAGTGTACCAGGTGCCACGGCTCCAGCTGTGCCTCCCTGGAACAAGAGTCGCCTTCTCTTCGTGTGCAGAAGCACTGCCAACCCACCAGGCTTTCAAAAGCCACTGCCTCCACACAGGCCCCTCGAACTACCCCAGGTAGCGCTGCTCACCTCTGTTGTCCAAACTACGCTCTGGGAGGGCAAGATGGGAACAGTGATGCCGTGCCCGGCAGGAAACTCTGCTCAGCACCACTCCTGCATGCCACAGCCTGGAGCTCAGGCCTCAAACTGGTGGTCCTCTGGAATTGAAGTCCCATCATCCGGTACTTCTCCCATCAAAACTCACCTGCCAGCTCTCCCACCGGCCCCCCGATCCCTCCCAGCCTGGCTCATCAGTCACCGGTAACTTTACCAGCGCAGAGCTGAGGTCCAGGGCTAGGAAACCAGCTGGACAGGGACAGGTGGGAGACAGGGTGACCCCAGTAAATGTTTCCAAGACACTGGGCTGGCCTGAGGCCGGCTGGCCACAAAGGTCACAGGCGGCCGAGTAAGCGTCTCGCGCCTGCTCTGAGGCTGGCTCAGGCCCAGGCCTCTGTGGCCATCTGCTTCCGCCTGCCCTCGTTAGGCCTGGCAGCCGCAAACCCGCCAGCTCTCCCACTGGTCCACCTGATCCCTCTCCTCCCCGCCTGGCTCATCAGTCACTCCCGACGGCCGTTGCTCAGCAGGTTCCAGGCGATGAAGAAGGGATGGGCGGTGGCCTGGGCAGGCCTCACTAGGAGGGGTAGACCAAGACCGGCCTCAACTCACGCCGAGGGGAGGCAGAGCCAGGCCGGGCCCCTGCCGGAGACTGGCTCAAGCCAGGCACAGCGCGGCCCAGGCCCTTGCACATGCCAGGCCCCCTGCCCTGCACGCCTTCCCTGACCTTCAGGCGCCGGGCTCTCCTCCCAGCACAGAAGTCACCAATTCTCGGAGGCCCTCCCTGCATACTAGGTCTGAACCAGCCGGCCCCCTCCCACCAATGGCTTCTCCTGGCTGGTGACCGAGTCTCTGCCAGTTTCCACCACATGAACTCCCACTCCCAATCTTCTCCTGAACCCTATATCCACCCTTTGCCCCCTAAGGACTCATTTCTACCCACAGTACCACCTTCGTCCTGCCACTGCCCCAACACCGTCTATGGCTCCCAAATGCCCACAAAACTAATTTCTGTCTCTAGTCATAGACTAAGCCCTGAACCCCCATCATACTCTGACCCCTGACCCAGATTATACCCCGAGCCCCAATTCCCATCACACCCTGTCCCCTGAATCCAGCCACACACTAAACCCTGACCCAAGTATATTCTGAGCCTTGATCCCAGTCAGGCTGTGAGTCTTGATCTTGGGCACACACTGGGCCCTGATTCTGGTCACGTGCTGAACCCTGACCATGATCACACCCCTGAACCTAACCCTGGTCATACACTGAGCCCCAAACCTGGTTGCAAATGAACTGTGACCCTGGTCACAACCTTCCAATACAGTCTGAGGCACATCACAGAAGTCATGCCAACAACAACTGTCCTTTTCAGACTGTTTACTACACGCCAGACTATGTCAAGTGCCATAAATATATCACCTAGTTCAGTCCCCACCACTCTGAGACAGGTGGCATCATCCGCCTCACAGGTGTGACTCAGAGCGGTTACTCAACCTTCCGGCCGTCGTAGGCCTGCTGCAGCCGCAGAGCCGGCATCTGCGCAGCCCGCATCTGCGCCGACACCCTGGCTCCAGGCCAGCTCTAGAGGAGGACTCGTGGGTCTCACCTCCCCTCGCTCTACCACCCTGCCCGGATCTCATCCCACCCTGGCTCCCGGGGTGCCCACGTACCCGCCTCTACCACCATCTCAGGCCCCTGTCCTGGTCAGCAGCCCCTGTAGGCCACTCTGAACCCCCGAAGCCACAGCCTCTGCCCACTCAGACCAGAGTCCCCACACCCAACGTGTCCATCCAACCCCAGCCAGGCTAAGCTAGGCAGCACCCCTCTCTCTCCCTGCCCAGCCAGGCTCACTTCTGGCCGCCTCCCCAACTGCCAGCTGGGCTCACGCTCCTCACTCCTGCTGGGACCCCTGGGTACCCAGGCCTGACTGCTCTCCTCTTACCTCCCAGCCTCCCACCAGTCCATTCTGTAGCCGGCTCCTCACGCCCCTGGAGTAAGCTCGGGCTCCCCGCAGCCCCCCAGGCCTTGCGGGCCACCAGTCTCTCTGCCTCTCCTGCCTGCTGAGCCCACGCCTGTGCCCACTTCCCCGCAGCTTCATGCCTTCCTCACTCTGCAATGGCTGCTACTCACCCCACAATGCTCGGCTGGTAAACTCCTGCACACCCCTCAGGACCCCACTTCAAGCCTCAGCCCCGTGCACTTCTCCCCACACCACACTCAGGAGGGGAGAAGGCTGTGGCCATGCACCCAGAGCCCACCCGCAGCCTTCCTCCTTTCCACCTGGGCGGCTGCAGACCTCTGTGTGCACACATCTGCCTCCCGCATCAGCCCTGGCACCCCAGCCCACAGCCCTCAGAGGGATCGGCACGGTGGACAAAGGAACCTGCCAGGGGCAGGCTGCACCCAGAGAGCAGTCTCCCTTTCACTCTTGGCCTCTCCCTGCCCAGCATCAAGGGGGCCAGCCCTTGCTGAGGAGGAAGAGGTGGTGTGGAAAGGACAGGAAGGCCCCAAGGGGCTCTGGTGCCAGGGAGCACCTGCCAGAGGCTGTAACCACCCTGGCTTCTTCCTGGCACTCTGACTGTCAGCTCACACCCCTGCTGGTGCCCAGAGCCCAAACTGAGCCACACATGGTCTGCCCTTGCGGCAGAGCCAACCGCCCTCCCATCTCACAGATGAGGACACTGAGGCTCCCAGGGTCCAGGCAGCCCGCCCTCGGTCCCGTGGCTCTGCAGACACTGCCAGCCCCTGTGCCCCGGCCTCAAATGTCCTGTCTGGGATGGGGGACAGGGCACCCAACATGCCTGCTGGCATCCTGCCCTGTGAACACCAGTGTGCGTGGGCTGGGCTAACACTAGAAGCGCCCCCCGACAGCAGCCACGAACCGCCTGCCAAAGAAGGCCCAGGACTGTGTATCTGGCTGCCTCCACCCCCGCCCCCCGCTGCTGTCCCACAGAGCAGCCGCTTCCTCCCCCTCGTGCACTGGGGCACATAGTGGGTCTCCTCCTGGAAAGGCCCCTCAGCATCAAGGCCCCTGCTGCTGGAATTTCAGGGGCACCCCCTTCAGCCCATGTACCTGCCCCTCTCTGAACAAGTTCCCTAAGCCAGGCCCACTCTGGAGGTCAGCCTGGTGACTGGCTGGTATGCCACCGCCTGGGGACTGCCCCGTTCCTGGGACTCTCTCCGAGTCATCTGTTTCCCTCCTCACAGCCAGTCCTGGGTAGTCCAGGTCCCCTCCCTTTTACAGGTGAGGAAACTGAGGCTCAGAGGGACTTAAGGCAGAGCCAGTCCAGGGTCACAGTTCGTCAGAGACAAGCCTGTGTTTCCAGACTCCAACACTGACCTGCTGCAGGCCTGACACCGGGCTGGGAGAAGGGGCAGATGGGGCACACACCATAGCAGGTTCTCTCCTGCCCAGGTCCTCCTCGAACACCCACAGGAAGAGCAGCACCCGGAGACTGGAGGCTGGGCCCTGCCTTGCCTGGTCCAGCTTCGAAGGGGCCCAGAAAGGCTGCCCAGTGAAAGCCATAATGTCTATGTCCTCCTACACAGAAGGCCACCTCTTCCAGGGAGCCTCCGAGATGGCCCTTCAGACTGCTGCCTGCCAGGCTCTGTCTGCAGAACCAGCAGCATCAACAGTCTCACCTGAGGGGACAGCCCAAGCAGGGGTGCACTATGGTCAGGGACACAGACCCCTGTCCAGCCCAGACTCACCCAAGACCTTGAGCAAGGCCCTCTCTCTGGGCCTCAGTCTCCCTGCCTGTCAACAGAGGATTTTACTGGCAATGGCCTGGAGGGTCCCATCCGGCTCTGGCACTGTGGGAGACCCCAGCTGCCAACATCACCTGCCCCCCACTTTTCCAGAGAACACAGCCAGGAGGCTGGAGTGTCCGAGAGGCTAGGCGCTACCTTCTACATCGAACCCGGGGTTCCCCAAGGGCCAGCAATGCCACCTCCAACACCCAGGAAGGACAGGTCCCCTCCAAGTGCATCCTCCACCCCTGCTGCCTCCCAGGCTTCCACACGAGGTCTGGGCGGAGGTTACTTGGTGAGCACACGCCCAAGGCCCTTTCCTGCTCTGTGGGCTGTCCTGGGCCTCGGCCTGGGCCCCAGTAGAGGGCTGTGGCCCACCTCAGGCCAGGGGGTGCAGCTTGGCCGGCCCAAAGCAAGAGAGCCCACCCGCCCCAGGGAGCTGCGCCCAGCACCCAGGGCCCCTGCCAGCGGCTGACCCCAGATGCCGTCTCCATAGAAACCGGCAGCCCCCACAGGAATCACAGGAACAAAAAGGAAGCCCCGAGGTGCTGAGGCCTGGGGGGCGGTGGATCTGGGCCAGGGCCCCTGCCTGGGGCCACCGCCACCTCCTCCTCCACGGACCAGGCTCTACTTGGGGTGGGTCGAAGGGCTCTGCCAAGGCGGCAGCTCCTCCTCCTCCCTCTCCCTGGCAGGCGGAGAGGACCAAGGGAAAGGGTAGCCCCTCCACAGGCGACGCCTCCCAGCCCCCGGCTCAGGACCCAGCCTCTCCCCAGGCCCAGGCTCCCTCGGAGATCCCGGGCCTCCAAGGCCAGGGGAGATGGGACCCACCCATCAGCCACTTTCCGGGGGTCCCGACTCCTCCCAGGCCCGTCTCCAACTCCACACTGCCACCCGCTCGGCGCCCACCCACCCTCTCCAGAGGCGCATGGACCCCGCCGGCCGGGCCAGGCCACGGCGGCTGCGGGCCACAGCGACCCCTCCGGGACAGGACGGGTGCGGGCCCTCCCCACCCGCAGGCCCGCCGGCAGCCCCCGCCCGCGCCCCTGCCCGGCGCCCCTCCCGCCGGCCCGGCCGGGGTCTCACCGCGTCGGCGCTGAGCTGGGCTAAGATGGCGAAGGTGGAGAGCCGGTCACAGAGGCAGCGCGTCCGGAGGGCGTCGAGGGGCACCGTGCGGCAGCCGCGCCACGACCAGGGCCCGAGCTGCGGGGGGGCGGAGGAGGAGGGTCTGGGGGCGGGCGGGACACGGGAGGGAGACAGGCGGAGCGTCAGCGGCGGCGGGGACGCGGGCGCCCCGGCCCCCGAGCGGCGGCTCCGCGCCCCGGCCCCGGCCCCGGCCCGCCGCCCCGCACCTGCGCCCGCAGCCGCGCGCCCGTCCGCCCGCCGCCGCCAGGCCCCGCGGCCCGGGCGCCCATGCCGCGCTCTGCGCCCGCCGCCGCCGCCGCCGAGAGCCGCGGAGCGCAGCCCGAGGGAGCGCCGGGCGGGGGAGCCGAGCGATCGGGGGCGGGGCGGGGGGCGAGAGCTGGCCCGGGGCCCGGCAGTCGCCCGCCCCGCGCCCCCGCCGCCCCCAGCTCCTCCGGGGCCCGCGCCCCCGGCCCGCGCGGGAAGGAGGGGGAGGCCCGGAGGGGCGCGTGGGCGCACGTGGAGCGGGGAGGGTGCGAGCCGGGTGTGGCCTGGGGGCGCGGGGCGGGTTCGGAGCGCGGCGAGGGTCCGCTCCGGAGCTCTCCGGCCCCGCGGCCCAGGGCGCCGGCTGGAGCTGACGACCTTGGGACCGCTCCATCCCCCACATCCACCTCCCCCGGGCCTCATCACCCCTGGTGCCTGCGGCTCATCTCCTGGGACAGACACAGCCTTCCCCGCGGGGAGGCTTGCCGCTGGAAACTTCCCTCTGCGGTCTGACCCAGCCGCCCGCTGTCTACGGGCCGCGACTGCCCCGCTTTTCATCTGAGCACGCATTTAAGCACAGGACTTGTTACTTGGTGCACCAGGGACTGACCTGCTCTGCAAACCCCTCCTCCTCCTCTCCACCCCCAACCTCCTCCTCCTGTTCTTCCTCCTCCACCTCCTCCTCTTCCTCCTCCGCCTCCTCTTCCTCCTCCTCCTGCTTTGGAGCCGAATTCCCCCACCCTTCAAGGCAGCCCTCCTGTCCGGAAGCCACCGTGTCCCTCCTTCACAGACCTGGCCCTGGAGCCGGGCCTGCCTTCCTGCCTGCTGGGGCTTGGCTTGCAGAAACTGCCCAGGAGGCCCTCTCTGAGGCTGAGTCCCCAGCCCCACCCAAGGTCCTGGGCCTGCCTGGTGGAGGAGGGACTCCAGGCCTCCTGAAAAGATGAGCCCCAAGAGCTTGTGGGTGCAGCTCTGCAGCTGCAGGAGCCCCAGCTGCTGGTCTCCTTCTGAACCCACGGCTGAAAAGGCCTCATTCCTCCCTAAGTAGCCGGGACACAGCCCCTGCCCCCGGACTTCAGGAGAAAAGCCCAAGTCGAGGGTCTTCCTATGGTCTGCCCTAGAGCCTCCATGCTGCAGTTTTACCCCATTCCCCACCCAGGAACGAGTGCGGCAAGGTGCCTTGCAGAGTCTTCAGCTCACCTCTTCCATCCGGTCCCCACTGTACCAACGGGGGCTGAGGCTAGGAGTCAGAAGGGACCTGCCCCGGTGCCCTGTGGCTGGCGCTCTCTCCAGCCTGCTATCCCCAGAGGAGCCTGGAGAGCCACCCCCACACGCAGCCCTGACCCCACACGAAAAGCCGCCTCTGATCAGACACCTGACTTTGTGCCTCGGCTGTGTCCTATCCTAGCTATGTGACCTTGGGAAGTTACCTATACCACCTCTTGCTTCAGTCTCCTCATCTTTAAAATGGGGGTGGGGGTGTCCAGAGGGAAGCACCCACTCCACTCTGGACAGCGCTGAGCGGCACAGGGCCGGGCTCAGAGCAAGCATGGGTCACCAGTGCCCATGTCTGATAGCCCAGAGCAGCCTCTATTGAATTGGGGATGTTGCTCAATCTCCCTCAGCAGCAGCACTTCCTGAGATTCGGGCCCAGGGGAGAAGGGACATGCTGTGAGCCGCTGGCTGGCGGGGGAGACCCGTGAGAATGCCCTTAGCATCTGCTTTTATCTCTTGCATCTTCTCCGCCTCCTAGGGGAAGGACCTGCTCCTGTTTTACAGAGAAGGAAAACTGTGGCGGAGATCACAGACAAGGCAGAGCTGAGAGGAGGCCCGGGAGCCGGCCTGAGGTTCTGCAGGGCTGGCTCTGGGCTCTGTGACCCTGGGAAGCCCCCTCCCCTCTCAAGTGCGGTGTGAGGCCAGGATCCTGTTTCACGGGCCAGGGTTTAGAAGCATGAGGCTCACCCATCTCCAGCATCCTCCGTAAAAGGAAGCCACAGAGGCACGTGGGAGCCTGGAAGGGCCCTGCAGCACGGTCAGGCTCAGAGGATGCCTCTGTCTGTGCCAGGGGCCTCAGCCCACGTGACCTTCGCAGGCTCCAAAGGGCAGCCATCCTCCACACTTACCCAGCCACTGCGATGGCGGCCAGGGACCCAGGCTGTTCTGCGTCCGCAACACAGGATGGCCGAAAAGTCATAGACCTGGGGCAGAGAGACCCTTCCACCCTCTCCCTGAGCAGAGTGCAGATCCTGATAACCACAGAATAGAATCCTGGACCCAGGCAGGCTTTGGGGCTATGGACAGAACAGGAAAGGGAGCGTGGGGTCCCTGGAAAGTCCTGGTGCTCCAAATGACACCCCAGATCCTACATCCTGGCCAGAGGGTTTTCCAAGGTCTCATTCAGGTGCACAAGGAACATCCCACTCACCACCTGTGTCCATCCCCTACACCCTCCAGGGCAGAAGCCACTGTCCCCATGCTGGAGAGGAACAGGTGGAGCAGGGACCTGAGACCCACCCCAGGCACAGAGCCGCTAAGCCCTGGCTGGTGGCTGTGCAGCAAGGGAGGCTCAGGTAACTCCCAGGAAACCTGCATTGGCTGAGTTTATTTCCTGGCTTGGGATGGGTCTCAGGTTATCTCTGACAGTCCCTTGCAGACCTGCAGTTCAAGTCAAGGTTCAGCTGTAGGCCCCGGGTGGGAGGGGGCATGCAGCCAGACACATAAAAACTGGAATCCAGGCCCACCGCTGTCTTGCTATGTGACGTTGGATAATCGCTGCCTCCCTGAGCCTCCATCTCCCACCGAGAGGGCCCATCCCCGTGCCTGGGGATGGGTGTGCGGTTGTGGTCTATGCCTGCCAGCCTTTGACCAGACACCAAGATGGCCAGCACAGTACAGGCCAGAGGGCACCCCAGGAAGAGTCCTGCAGACCGCTTTTCCCTGTGCAGCTGATACTGGGTTTCCAGTCACAGCTCTGCTTCTCAAGGGCCAGGCACAGCACAACCCAGGCCAGGCACAGCACAACCTCAGCCCTCTGCTCAACTGCCTGAGGGTTGCTGGGAGCACTTCGAGGGTGCAGGGAGCCGGGCTGGCTGGGGCCAGCAGCCTGGCTGGTTCCCAGCCGCACTGGCCAGTCTGCAGGGCGCCAGGCCGACAGCTGTCCACCACTGCCTGGGAGAAGGCCAGCCTGGGAGCCAGCACCCGGCCCCCAGGGCTCCTGCTGTGGGTGCTGAGTCGTTTATCGGCCTCTGGGGGCAGGGAGAGAGACGGGCTGCTGCCTACTCTGCTGAGGGTCAGGCCATGGAAGGCCCAAGGAGGCACCTGCCCCTGGTCCAGAGAGCTAGCTGGTCAGGCTGGCAGCTCTGGAAGCAGGAAGCTCCCGGCCATTCTGTAAGGGCCTGGATCCTGGGGTGGGGTTCACTGGGACCCTGCAGGCCTGCAGTGCAGGTGCCCTCCTCAGCCTCTCTACCTCCTCCGTCCTCCTGGCTCCACAGGCCTTGGCAGCATGTGTCAGGGGAACAGCCTCCCAACACACAGCCCAGGGACAGGGACCCTTCTCCTCACCCTTCCCTGCACCTCCACGATAATGGCTTCTACTCTGTGCTAAGGGCTTTCTGGCAGTTTATCATTTGATTTCTGCAGGAACCCTTAGGTCAGCTTTGTAAATAAAGAAACCAAGGCTCAGGGAAGCAGCGATTGTCCAAGTTCACACAGCAAGACAGCAGTGGGCCTGGAATCCAGTTTTTATGTGTCTGGCTGCCTGCCCCCTCCCACCCAGGGCCTGCAACATCTGAACCTTGACTGAAATGCAGGTCTGCAAGGGACCGTCAGGGGCAACCTGAGACCCATCCTGAGCCAGGAAATAAACTCAGCCAATGCAGGTTTCCTGGGAGTTACCCGAGCCTCCCTTGCTGCACTAGACCTCAGTCAAGGACTGGCCTTTAGCAGGACAGATGGAGGGCTGGGCCCTGAACTGAGGCCCTTGTGTGCATCTTGGATGCATGTCGACTTAGGCAAGGTGGCAAAGCCTCAGACCTCCCTCTTTCAACAAAATCTCTGGGACGCATCCTCTTGTACCAGATCCTGACTTACAACATCTGGAAGTTCCCCCGAAAGTCTGACTGAAATCCTTCCTGCTGCAGGGGGCACCTGTTCCCATCTCTGCAAACAGGCAAGTCATTCCCTCCTCGCACACAGCGACTGCTCCCGCACGTGGGAGACCATTTGCCACCTCTCGTCAGCTACAGAAACTTGGAATATCTGGGTCACAGAGCGAGGTCCCCTCCTGAGCCCAGGCCTGAGGAATCTGGGTCAGTTACACCTGCTCCCCACCCCCATGTGTCCAGGGTGAGAGCAGGAGCTGGGGCAGTGACACCACCCAGGACCAGCTGAGCAGGGGCCTTGCTACAGCAGGTCCCCTTCCTGCCCAAGAGGAGTGGGGACCTAGAGCGACCTGGGACCCTCAGACAGGAATCCCAGGGCAGGGCTGTGCCTTTCCCCTTAGATAGGGCCCCATGACAGGTCCAGCCACTGCCCACCCCTCTGCAGACCACCAGTGACCGCCACCATTGGGACTCCTCCCACTCGGCTCCTGCCAAGGTCGCCAAGGACCTCCGTGCCAAGAAACCCAAGGGACAAGTTCTGGTTCTGTTTACTCCACCTCGGGGTCGCCCAGGTGCTCAGTCAGCACGCTGCTCACACATGTGGCCCCAGGGACACATTCTGGTGCATGACAGTCCCACAGGCGCCCACAGGCGCCACTAAGGTAGGGCGCACAGCCAGGACGCCTGCGCGTGAATGAATGGGGAGGGCACGGCCAGCCTGCCATCGCTCACCCGGAGCCTTGGGTCCCCGCTTCACCTCCCCCACCTCCCTGCAGCTGCCCACCAGCTAATCCCACCAGCCTTTATCTGAAAATGCATGGAGAGCCCCACAGTGCCCACCCTCCACAGCCACCACCCGTGCCCCTGGCTACTGTGGCCGCCGCCCCTTGCCCTCCTTCGCCTGGCTTCCCAGGGCACCAGTCATTTGAAATATGTCAGGCCGCATGGCCCTCAGCTTAGAGCCCTCCAGCGGTTCCCTCTTCACTCAGAGCAAAGGCCACAGTGCTCCCAGGGCCCGCAGGGACTGGCCCCAACCTCCCTCACCCAACCTCCCAACTCTCTCCTCTGCCACAGTCCCGTCAGTAACCACGGCTCCCAGCAGACCCCTCCAAACCCAGCAATGGCCGCAGCTCCCAGACAGCTCCCAACCCAGTGTGGATCCCCACCTCACGTCGCCCTCAGCCCCAGTGCAGGGCCACAACCTTGTCCCCATCTCCCAGGGGAGGGCAGCTCAGAGAAGGCCTCCCCAGCTGGCTATGGGGAAGGACCTGGGCCCAGCCCTGCTCGGGCAGCCCCCACAGGCACCTCCACTGAGTCCGGGGCAGGTAGGAGGCCTTGGGAGAGCCCACTGTGGCTCCTGTGCTCTTGGGGCCCCTGCCCTGCACCCCCGGCAAGCGCCTAGACGATGCTTGTCCAGCCCGGCAGGGGGTCCAGCAGCCAGCTCTATTCTCACCCTCGGAGCTCAGCTTCCTCCTGTGAAATGTGCCCAGATCCTCACCCCGCACCTGTCCATGGGATGGCAGAGGCACAGTGCCCGCACAGGGCCTACTCATTCATGGGACACAAGGGGACAGTGACGGGGAGGGCGCTCTAAGAGCCCACCCACCCACCCACCCACCAAGCCAGAGCCTTCACTGCATTCACGATGCCTCCTGCCGGCCCACGAAGCAGGTGCTATTATGGGACTGTGCGCTGTCGGGGTCCCCTTGGATTTGATGGGCTAATTCACACTCTAGTGTGAATGACTCACAGGGTGTCCTCCCACATAACAGAAAGAAGCCAGGAGTGGGCACAGCACACCGCAGTGGGGGAGTTCAGGCGCTAGGCAGGGAGTGGAAATGGTGTCTCTGCAGGCAGAGGCTTCGGCTTCTAGGCCTGGCCTCAGGAGCCTTAATGGGCTGGCCTCCCCAGTGCCCCTTAAACCAACACGCGGCTCGATCACCCCTAGGTACAAGCCCCTTAGTCATGCTTCATCCATCAGGAGTGCCTGGCTCCCACCTCTGCCCATTGACTTCTTGGCCATAGATCAAGACTGGCATTGTGTCCTCCTCCAGGAAGTCTACCTGGATAACCAGACTTCCCCCCTGCCCTTCCATGAGCTCCTGGGCATTGCTCCTGACCCTCAGCCAGACCCTTCCCCACCGCTGTGCTGGGCTCCCCTCCCTGTGTTCTGCCTCACCCAGCAGCCAGAGCCCCCCGCGACCATCCCAGAGGGGCCTCCCTTGGCCCTGGTGGCCCTGCCTCTGGTGGGCCTGCCCCTGGTGGCCCTGCCTGCACAGGCCAGCCCAGCAGGTAACCCAGCAAACACACGCCCTCTGCTGCCTCCAGGCCCTGGTCCTGGCTGGTCCCCTGGCCACAGGCCCCGCATCCTGTGTGATTAGCCTCCCCCTCCAGGGCTCCTGGAGCCACTGCCTCCCCTAAGAAGCCTCCTTGACTCCCACTCCATGCCCAGCCCCTGTCTGGCTGCCAGTCTGTGAGGCTCTCCAGGGCAGGCCTGGGTCAGCTCTAGCCCCTCCAAGCTCAGGGCCTGGGGGCAATTACCTGGGGTCCTGAGGAGATCCTGGTCGCTGTGACCCATCGACCTTGGCATTTGAACACCTGCCTGACCTGGGTCTTACTGAACCCAGCTTGCCAGATGACGCTGGAGCCTGCTCAGGCTTGGTGCCCTGTCTATGAGGCTGGCTCCTGGGCTTCTCCCAGAGCTGCCCATGTCTGAGCCTCCCTCAGCACCGACAGGTCCACATCCAGGGCCTCCAGGGCTTCTCATGTTCCTCACGATGCAAGATGCCAATCTCCTGGCTCCCACCTGGCGCCGCCACACTGAGTCAGGGCTCCTGGCCATGGGATACCCCTGGGCTGGAAACCCAGCCCTCCCCAGGGTCCAGCAGCTCTTCTCCTGACCTACTTATCCACCTGGGCAGAGGCACAGAGGCCCCAGGCTGTCTGCCAGGCAGAATGGAGCTCCTGAAGAGGGCAGGGTGCTGGCTGCCCAGCCTGGCAGAGAAGTGACCTGGAGCAGGAGGGCTGGGGTCCTGCAGACCCGCACCTGCTGCCCCTCCCCAGCAGGAGGCTGGCACTCAGAAGCCTGCCCGAGCCGTCTTGCCTCATGCAGACCCGCACCTGCTGCACCTGCAGCCCTGCTCTGCCTGGCCTGTCACCTACCCCTGCTGGCAGGGGGCCACTGCCCAGACCTCACACCCTTTTACGCTCCAGCCATTGGTACCCAGTGGCAAGGTCAAAGGGCCAGCACAGTCTCTCACTCACTCAGCAGGTGCCTCCCTGGCCTGGCCTGTGCCAGGCCCTGTACTGGGCACTGGGCACCCCCACGAGCTCTGCCCTGGCTCTAGCAGATCCCAAACCTTCCCCCCATTACAGCCAGCCCAGCCTCATCTCCTCCCAGACCGCCATGACCTCGGAAGCGCTCCCTTGGCTCTCCCGCCATTTCCTCACCCACCTGGCCTGCCATCTGCATGGCTGCTGGGCTCTGGTTCCTTAACTGTGTCATGGGGGGTCTCGCTTCCCTCAGGGGGCTTGGGCTGCAAATTCACCTAAGAGCTGGGCCTACCACCACCACCACTTGTCACCACAGCCTCCACCCTCATAGCTACCACTGAGGCCAATCACTATCAACACCATCTACAATACAACCAGGACCACCACTGTCACCATCGCCACCACCCCCTCCATGTGTTATCAACACCATCATTACCACCAGGTCTCACCACCACTACCAACAATACCATCCGCCTTCATCACACCACAATCATCACCTCAAGACACGACCATCAGCATCATGCCATCAACAGTACTGTCACTACCACCAACAGCAGCAACACCCACTCTGTCATCATCAACAACACAACCATTGCTACCACACCTTCACCACCATCCATGACACCATCAACATCATAAATACCACTCTTTCTGCCACTATATCACAACCACCACCACTACCAACCCCATCATCAGCACCAAAACCATACACTACCAACAATGCGACCCTTACTACCACCATCACCATCACCACCATCACCACCGTCACCGTCCCCATCTTCACTACAGCCACCACCCCATCATCAAAACCACAGTGATGACTGAACCACCATCCTATCACCACCACCACCACCACCTCTGCCTCCATCCTCAAAACCACACAACCATCACTAACGCCACCCCATCATCACCACTGTCATCATCAAAACCACAGTGATGACTGCACCACCCCATCATCACCACCACTACCACCACCACCACCATCACCACCACCACCACCACCATCACCACCACTGTCATCATCAAAACCACGCAACCATTACTACCACCTCCCCATCACCACCACCATCACCATCACTACCCCACCATCACCATCACCACTGTCATAATCAAAACCACACAATCATTACCGCCACCCCATCATCACCACCAGCACCACCACCATCACCATCACCACTATCACCATCACCACCACCACCACCTCCACTGTCATCATCAAAACCACGCAACCATTACTACCACCACCCCATCATCACCACCACCACTCCATAATCACCCCCACCACCTCACCTCCGTCATCAAAATCACGCAACCATTACTACCACAACCCCATCATCACCCCCACCCCGACCACCATCACCACCACCACTGTCATCAAAACCACACAACCATCACTATCACCATCCCATCATCACCACCACCACCCTACCTCCATCATCAAAACCACACAGCCATCACTACCACCACCCCGCCATCGCCATCACCGCCACCACCATCACCACCACATCACCCTCACCATCACCACCACCACCCCACCTCCATCGTCAAAACCACACAAACATCAATACCACCACCCCATCATCACCACCACCACCCCACCTCCATCATCAAAACCACACAGCCATCCCTACCACCACCCCACCATTGCCATCACCGCCACCACCATCACCACCACCACATCACCCTCACCATCACCACCACCACCCCACCTCCATCGTCAAAACCACACAAACATCACTACCACCACCCCATCATCACCACCACCACCCCACCTCCATCGTCAAAACCACACAGTCATCACTACCACCACCCCACCATCGCCATCACCGCCACCACCATCACCACCACCACCACATCACCATCACCACCACCACCCCACCTCCATCGTCAAAACCACACAAACATCACTACCACCACCCCATCATCACCACCACCACCCCACCTCCATCGTCAAAACCACACAAACATCACTACCACCACCCCATCATCACCACCACCACCCCACCTCCATCATCAAAACCACACAACCATCACTACCACCACCATCACTATGACCACGACCACCACCACCACCGTCATCATCAAAACCACAGTGATGACTGCATCACTACCATCACCTCCATCATCACCACCACCACCACCACTGCCATTAACAGCACAGTCATTACCACCACTGTCACCACAACCGTCACCTTTACTGTCCCTTCACAGTCATCACAATGACCACCGGTCACCCATGGTCACCAGCGTCACCTCCACTATAAGCACATCATCATTCTCGTCTCCAACACTGCCATCGCCTCATCAGAACCAGCTCCGTCACTGTCCCTGGAACTGACACTAGCCTGGTAACAGTCACCAGCATTCGACAACAAGTGTTTATCCCGTGCTCACCATGTCCAAGGCGCAGTGCAAGCAGAACCAGGCTGGCAGGAGGGACGGCCACCACCATCACCAGCAACAGGGCATCCACGCCATCACCACTGCCTGTCACACCTGACACCCCTGCCCTCCAGGGATCTCCAGGCTGACCCCACTCCCTGCAGTCATCTCTGGTGACCTCCAGATTGTTCCACCATCCCCCTGCTTCCAGGCACCTGTGCACCAAGGGCAAGGTCAGAGAATGGACACTCAGGGCCACTCTGCCCTCCTTGCTCACGTGGAAGTCCTTCCCTTTGTCTACCTCATATCCTGCCTTCCCACATCCTTCAGAACAGTCAGTCAGTCACCACCCTCCCTCTCTGACCTCAGGGTAACACTGAGGGGCCTGGGAAGGTGGGGCTTTGATGAAGCCTTTTCTGCTGCCTTAAATGAGCCATTGTGCTCCTGGGGACAGGGACACGGGTGCTGAGCGGAAGAGGCTCACGGCCTTCCAGGCCCATCCCCGTGGCCTGGACCCCTGCAGCCGCCCCTCCACATGCCCTCGCCCCCACGAGGCATGACTGAGAGGAGCTCCCAAGGTGGAGGAGGGCATGGGGGGGTGGTGGAGGAGCGGTGTAGGGGGCGGGGGAGGAGCGGCGCGGGGGGCAGGGGAGGAAAGGCGCGGGGGGCGGGGGAGGAGCGGCGCGGGGGGCGGGGGAGGAGCGGCGCGTGGGGAGGTGGAGGAGCGGCGCGTGGGGAGGTGGAGGAGCGGCGCGTGGGGAGGTGGAGGAGCGGCGCGTGGGGAGGTGGAGGAGCGGCGCGGGGGGAAGTGGAGGAGCGGTGTGGGGCGGGGGCGAAACACAAATGTCCAGCCTGCCTGCCCCGATCCCAGGCAGCGCCGGACGGCAGCCATGGGACTGGCGTCTTGCATTGTGAGGAACGTGAGAAGCCCTGGGGGCCCCAGTCGCAGACCTGTCCGTGCTGAGGGAGGCTCAGACATGGCCCAGGAGCCAGCCCTACAGGCAGGGCTCCAGGACTAGGGCCGGCTGAGATGGCTGCCAGGGCCATCTGGGTGCAAAGGAACCGGGTGGGCATTGAGGGGTCGCTCCACTTGGGCCCAACCCATAAGCCTGCTGTGACCCCATTCTGAGTGCCAGCTTCTGGTCCAGGTCTGGGCCTGTCTGGCTCTTCCAAGCTCCTGGCAGAAGGCCCGGCACCGAGCAGGCACCCAGGAAGTGGCGGCCCTCTCCTTGCACGCCCCCGCTACCCCCAGCTATTCCATCTCTGCTCACCTTCAGGGCCAGAGAGCTCACCCTGTCTGCTTCTAAAAGGCGGCATGGGGACGCAGGCAAGGGGCCCCCGGAGGCCCAGGGCCTGAGCAGCCCCACCCACCCCAGCCGCTCCCAACCCCACCTCTCACAGACACCTCGCAGGCAGCGCTCCCACCGCGGCACTCCGCCTCTGGGCCTTTGAGGCGCCTGGGGCCTGGCGTGGACTCCAGCTCCCTCTTCATAGCCGGTGCATGCTCCCTCCCTTCCTCTAGGAAGCCCACTCCCAGAACTGGCCCCGAATCCCAGCACGCGGGTGGCCGTACCCCAAGTCTCCGGCCCCCAAGGGTGGCGCTCTTTTGAGCGGCTGCCTGCCATCCTCTCAGAAGCCGTCCTGGACTTGGAGGGTAGGACGGTGCCCACCTGCTGAGCAGCCCAACTCTCGTTCCGTAATACTCACAGCAGCCTGGCTTTAAAGACACGGGAGCCAAGACTAGAGGAGGGGGAAGTCACCCATAACCACCCTGCCAGTGAGGAACAGGGCCGGGGCTGGAGAAAGTCACCCACAGCCTCCCCGCCAGTGAGGAACAGGGCTGGAGCTCTGCCCCTCCCAACTGCCAAGCTACCCTGTGTGTGGGTGCCAGTGAGGGGCCTGCCTGGAGTGGGCATTCGCAGCCCACGGGCTCCCCCACTTGGCACAGCTGGGGTTGGTGGGGGATGGATAGCACTGCCCACCAGGAAAGGGGTGAGCAAAGGCCTAGCAGCCTGTGGTTGGGGCAGGCCTGGGAGCCACAGCCAAGCTCCCAAGAGAGGGAGAGAGAGGCTGGGGCCCCGGGGAGGCAGTGGCACAGAGGTCTGGCAGGCAGACTAGCGGGTCTGTTATGCCCACCTGTCCCCTCCTCCACTGCCGAAGCCCCTCCCAGCTATGCCACATGGGGGCTGTCACAGGCCATGCATCTGGCAGACTTTCTATAGAAGAAAAAGAATGGAGGCAGGAGGGGTAGTGTGGGCAGGGGAGGGGTGGGCAGGCGGGAGGTGTGCGGGGAGTGGTAGGCAGGGGAGGTGCAGCGGCCCTGGGCCCTTGCTGGTGGCTGGTGGTCTCCAGTTGCCCAGGAAGCTCCCTGGACTGGGAGGAGGGCACAGACTCTCAATATAGTGGTCCCTCATCTCCTGTCCCATTGCACAGTTAAGGAAACTGAGGCCTGGGCGCGCACAGCCAGTGTGGCCAGATCTACGAATTCTGTGCTTGAGGGAGGGGCTGCCCTGGCTGCCAGCCCCAACTATAAGACTTGCACGCCCCCAGCCCTCAGGACACAGAGGCCCAAGCAGGCACCCGGGGCAACTCACAGCTGCGTCCTGGGCAGCCTGAGTGTGTGAGCCAATGAATGTGGAAGCCCCCAGCTCCAGAGAGGGAGTGACCCTGTTAACACGGGGCACACTCAGACTCCCTGAACAAACTCCTCCTGAGGGGTGCTGTGTGCCTGGAGCCATGGCAGAGATCCAGGCCCTGCCCTCGGGGGCTTCTGCTCTGCTGGGGTAGGGTGGATCGAACACACACGGATCCAAGGATTCACTGCAGATCGGAGCCGCTGCCAGGAAGAAAGAGACAGGGGTAGGGGGGCAGGGCAGTGGGCAGAGACAGCCTGGAGCACGTGGAGAAGAGGGCACTGGGCAGGGACAGATGGGGTCCCAGAGTTCCCAAGCAGGCCCTGTGGGGGAGTAAGAGGGCCTGGGTAAGGGCAGCTGAGAGGCCCCTGGGCCAGGCAGAAGAGCTGGGTCCATTCCCAGATGCAGAGACCTTGGGCAGGCCCAAGGGTCTGTCCTGGACTGGGAGGAGGCTAGCCCACTCGAAGTTCAGGCCATGGGGGCTTGCCCGCAGCCGTGACCTTACGACCTGGTCCATTCCCTCCAGCTCTGAAAGCTGCCACGAGCCCCTGCATGGGCAAGGACCCTGCGCCCAGAAAGAACAGGCCCACACAGGCCTCTGCCAGCCCCTGCTGCCCCTACCCAAGGACCAACCAAGAGGACATTCAGAGAAAGGGGTACCCGGGAAGGGGCTGGTGCCAGGCCCAAGCTGCTGCAGGGGCAGAAGCTAGGCCAGGGTGGGCTCATCTTTGAGAGCAGCACTCCACCTCTCCCCTGTCCCCGAGGCCCCACCCAAGCTGGGAGAGGCTCATCCTCCTCCTCCCTCCTCAATCATGGTGCAGATACTGAGGCTCTTCCCAGGCCACCAAAGAGGCCTCTGTGTTGGGTGCGTCCCCTCCCCCTGCACCCCTCCCCCAGCCTCCTCTGCCCCCATCAGGAACCGGCCGGCGTGGGAGAGACTGAGCTGGGAACCGGCTGCTGACAGCGACCCGGGGACCCTGCCAAGTCTTCCTTCCGCTTCCCCCCCCTTGGCCTGCCCCCTCACTGCCCTCTCCAAGGAAACCAGGAAAGGGGTGGGTGAGGGAGAGGCTCTTAAAGGGACCAGGATGCTCGCTTGGGCAGGGGTCCCAGGGAGGGACCAGGGTCTGGGTCCCGAGCCAGGACAGCTGAACCTGACAGGGGCCCCACAGGAGGCAGGGCTGGAGGCCCGCACAGGCCAGATGGGAACAACCATGAGGTGGCCCTGGATCTGCCAGTGAGCACTCTGGGCCTCAGTCTCCTCAGCTGTAAAATCGGTTAATAAAGACGTGTGAGCTGAGACAGCCTGTGTGCACTGAGTGAGGCAGCTCTCATGGTGCCTGGCCTGAGGCTGAGCTTCAGGAAAGGAGTCCAGCAAATGTGCCTCTCACACGTCCTCCTTCCACACACGCCTACCAGGAGGGGACCATGTCTGGCAGAATAAGGGTTCTGAGAGCCAGCAAAGTTGGGAAACTCCCAGCCCAGTTGGACAGGAGTCTCCTGCAGGACTTCTCAGGTCATTATGGTCAATACGGACTTGGGAGCACACGGAACGCTGCCCTTCCTAAAGCCATGAGGATGGGCTGGCTTCTGGCAGAACACCCCATAAACGCTAGGGTAGCATGGTAAGGGCTTCAGGTCTGTGGCCCGGCTTGTACTAACATCCCCGCTCTGGGACTCCACTGAACCACGCTTCGAGTAAAGACAGAGTGCATGATCTTTCAGGATCTTGCTAGCTCTGACTTTTATACTCGGTAAACTCTGGGTTATTTACATTTTTTAAAGCAGTTTTAAAAGACTGAAAGATATTTGCAACTCTTACGTGTAAAACACCCAGGGAGCTGTCCTTTCAGGACCACAGAACCTAACTCCCAATGTGTGCTACTGGCCTCCATCAACTTCCTGTCACCCACCAGCCCATCCTTTTCTCCACCCATCATTCACTCATCCACTCATGTATCCAGCCACCCACCCAGCCGTCCATACCTCCATTCACACATCCAGTCACCCACACACCTATCCACCCACCTATTCACCCATCTATCCATCTACACATCCAGCCAGCCACCCACCCATCCATACCTCCATCTGCACATCCAGCCACCCACACACCCATCTACCCACCCATCTATTCACCCATCCACCCATCTACCATCTCTACATCCAGCCAGCCACCCATCTATCCATCCACCCATACCTCCATCCACACATTCAGTCATTCACGCACCCATCCACCCACCCACCCACACACCTATTCACCCGTCCACCCATCTACCATCTATACATCCAGCCAGCCACCCACCCATCCATCCATACCTCTATCCACACATCCAGTCATTCACACACCCACCTATCCATCCACCCATTCACCTATTCACTCATCCATCTATCTACCATTTACACATCCATCCAGCCACCCACGTATCCATCCACCCATCCACCCACCCACCTATCCATCCACCCACCCGCCCACCCACTCATGCACTCATCCACCCACCCATCTACTCATCCATCCATCCATCATCCACTTCTCCCCAATATATGTCCAAGTCCTAACCCCCAGAACCTACGAATATGATTTTATTTGGAAACATGGTTTTTGTAGATGTAATTGAGTTATGGATCTTGACTGATACCACACTGGGTTTGGCGGGGGGGCACAGATCCATTATTGGGGTCCTTACAAGAAGAGGAAAGTACAGAGATACACAAGACAGAAGGCCAGGAAAAGACAGCAGCAGAGACTGGAGTGACGCCGCCACAAGCCAAGGAACACCAAGGATTTCCTAGAGCCACCAGAAGCTGGAAGAGGCAAGGAAGGAATCTTTCCTAGAGCCTTTGGAAGGAGCATGGCCCTACTAACACTTTGATTTCAAGATTCTGGCCTCCAGAACTGGGAGATAATAGATATCTGTTGTTTTAAACCACCTGGTTTGTGGTAATTTTGGCAGTTTGTTAGGGCAGCCCTGGGAAACTGAATCTCTATCCTTCCAGACACCTTCCATCTTCTTTCCTTCTCTCAGTCACCCATCCATCCACCCCTGTCTCTAGCCTTCCATGCATGCTGTCATCCACAGTCCGCCCACCCACCCTTTCCCATGCCAGCCATCACTGGTCACTCACCCAGCCATGAGACTGTTCTTCCGCTGCCTCCCCATCCCCCAGCAACCCACAGCTGCACCCTGGGTGCATCCCTCTGGCAAACAGCCGGCTCCCACAGATTATCCACACCCCCGCTTGTCCACACTGCCTACCAAGAACCCCTTCGCACATCCATTTCTGCATTCAGCCACGTAATCACTGCCTTGCTCATAAACCACTGTTGATTCTCACTGGGTCAGGGCTCAATTCTAGGGATACAGACATGACTTTGACATAACTGCCACTGTCCCCGCCCTCCACCCCACTCCAGTAGAGACACCTGTGGTCAAGGAACTATACAGGGATGGGCTACGGTAGGGGCAGTGTCTATGGCTTGAAACATATGAGAACTCTGCAACCCCCACCCCCCGCTTTGCTCCCCATTTTCCTCCCTAGCATCCCCATTCCCCAGGCCCTCAGCACTACAAGCCAGGCTGGTGCAGGGGTGTGGGGGAGCAGGAGCACCTGAGCCATGCTGCCAGGCCAGCGTTCAGGACTGGATGACCCAGGGTGTTTGGGCCTGGGAGGTTGGGGTTTGGTTACGGATCTAGTTGCTGGGGTGCAGGGACACCAGGTGCTCTTAGGGCTCAGGGTTTACAGAGCATGAGCAGACATCATGGGCTTGAGTGTTGAGCCCATGGGTGCAAGTGTGTCTGCACAACCGGGGTGAGGCAGGCAGGTGACTTGCATTGCAGTGGAAGCCTGTAAGTCTTTCTAGGCTGAGTGGGTCACATGGTCAGTTGCTGTATGTGGCTGGAAGAGGAGGTGGCCCTACAAGCATGTGACACACACAAGTCATTCCAGCTAAGACACCAGAGCAGGACTCAGCCTGTGACCAGGATCAGGGCCCAGTGTATGACCAAGGTCAGGACTATGTGTGGCTAAGATCTGGGCTCAATGTATGAACTGGGCCAGGGCTCAGCCTGTGACCAGGATCAGGGCTTAGTATGTGACTAGGATCAGGGCTCAGCCTATGACCAGGATCAGGGCTCAGTGAGTGAGTAGGATCAGAACTCAGTGTGTGAACAGGGTAAAAACTCAGTCTGAGTTTGGGATCTGGGCTCTATCTGTGACCAGTTCAGTTCTGAATAATGATTACAGCTCTAAGAGTTCACTACTTCTCAGCTGATGGTGACTGATGGCTCTCACTCCCCTCCCGCCACAAACCACTGTGCTCCTCACACACAGAACCCCTCCCCAGACGCATGAGACTCTTTCCCATCCAAGTGCACACCGACACAGGCCCACACCAGCTTGGACCCGGTCCCTTGGTGCCCTGGTGGAAACAGACCTGGGCCCCTGCCCGTGGTCTCCACTTCAGGTCAACTGGGAAACTCAGCTCCCCGGAGACAGTTCACAGGGCGAGGAGTGGCCCCTGCAGCAGTCAAGGGAGGTGCCATCCAACTCAGAGTGGAGGGGAGGTGAGGGGCAGAAGGAAGGGGACCGAGGTCAGTCCCAGTCCTTCCCTGCCAGCCGTGGCCCGCCCTCTAGGGCTCCAGGCTGCCCAGTTCCAGAGCAGAAGGCCTCGATCACTGCGCTGTGCTTTCAGCGGGACTGTAGGAGTCTCAGGGCCTCAGCTCCTCACAGGCAGCAGGTGTGCAGCGTGGCCTGGCTGCCGGGCAGGGTCAAGGACCCAAGAGGCAACTTGGGCACAATGCTGCCAGGCACTGCGTGGGCCACACCGGCACCTGCCTCCTGTCCTCCTGTCCTGAAGTCCTGGACCCAGGCACCAAGACCTTAGCACTCAGCGCACCCAGCCGGTGACGGGGTGGGTGGAACACCTGGTGTGACTGGCGGGTCCTGGGCCTTCCCCACACCTGTGACTTTTAGGGTCGACAGAGGCCACGCGGACGCCAAACACCCTGGGGACTTGACCGCCGTCCTGCTGCCCCCGCCCCTGCCTAAAAGCAGGCAGACCCTGGCCATAGGGTCAGGAAGCCAAGGCTCCCAGGGCACAGGCTCTGCCCAAGGCCACGCAGCATGTCCTCTTCGGCCACAGTTGGGTCCCTGGGGCAGTGTCCTTGTCCCGGCTCACTGGACAGGCCCCTCACAGCCTGCTGCCCTGGAGGACAAAGGGGATGCTTTCCTTTCTAAAAAGCAATTTACTCTGCAGGCCCCCCAGGGGCCCACACCCTCCACCTGACAAGACTGCCTGGGGACTGATCCCCAGGGAGCAATCAGAAGTACGGGTGAAGCTGTCCTCGCAAGATCGCTGGTCACGCTGGCATTTATGCTGGTAGAGAGGGAAGGCTCCTGAAGGCCACCAGCAGGGGCTGGTTGAGTGAACCAGGGCGCAGCCCCCCGAGAGCTGCCGCGGCCGGCGAACAGCCCGGATGGAGGGTTTCTGCACTGTGGGGAGGGGCCTGTGCTGGTGGAAGTGCTGGGGCTGTGGGGGTGAGAGACCCACCTGCAGCCCCCGCACTGCCACCCCCTGAAAATGCAAAGCCCAGGGGTGGGCCTGGGTCATGCAAGCAGGGGGGCTTTCTTCTTGCATTTTCTTTTTCCACCCTTACGAGAGCTAGAGAGCTGGCTCCCCAGGGCTGCAGGGCACCCAGCTTTCCCCAGCCCAGCTGCCAACCCCAGACCCAGGGCAGGAAACATAGCAGAGTCCACCATGTGGGGTGCAGAGAAGGCAGGAGCCTGGTGTGACCTGCCAATCCCACCTTGAGGCCTTTGCCCCGGCTGCTCCTTCCCCTGCGACGCTCATCCCCAGACACTCACACGCAGAGCTGTGCTTGCCAGGCCTCTGCCGAAACCTCCCCTTCCCTCGGAGGCGTGCATGACCCTGCTTGCAAAGGCCCCTCCCCACCCGCATCCAGACCCTGCTAGCTTCCCTTCCCGGCCCATGCACGGCCGGGCATCACCACACTGCTCCGTCTGTCCCTGTTCCCCATCCCTCCTCACTGGGGAGAGGAGGCTAAAGGCTGGGACCTGCCAGAATAGTGCCCATCAGAGGGTAGTGACCGCCGGAGGAAGGGTGGTGAGCAGTGGGCGATGGGCGGATGGATTAAAGAACAGGCGGACGGAGGAGCGGTGGATGGGTGGTGGGTAGAAGGTGGTGGCAGTGGATATAGATTAAAGAACAGGTGGACGAAGGAGAGGGTTGATGGTTGGTGGGTGGAGGGTGGTGGCAGTGGGTATAGATTAAAGAACAGGCAGACAGAGGAGAGGGTGGATGGGTGGTGGGTAGGTGGAGAGTCATGACACCCAGCCCCCACTAACTGTCCTCACCCTGCCGCGGCCTCCCCTGAGCCCCTGCCTGCCTCTGCCTGCTCCTCCTGGCCGGCTCCCTGCTCCTCATGCCCTCAGCCTCCCTGCCCTTGCTCCAGCTGTCTCCTCCTGAGCCACCTGCCTCCCTCTCCCTGTCAGGCAGCCTTGTCCTCCAACGCCTGCCACTCACAGAGCCTTCCCTTGTCACTGAACTACCCACCACGCAAGGGACCATCACAAGTGCCACCGGCACCCAGGTGGCCATGCTGACCGCACACACTCGGCCCGGGAAAGGGGTGCAGGGAGGCCTGAGGCTGGTGATGTCAGAGCAGCCAGGAGGGACTGGGGCTGAGGGAGCCGGAGGAACACGCTCGGAGGAGGCGGGCGGCAGGGTGCACACACCCAGGTCCCCGACCACACACTGAGGACCCCTCAGGCCGGAGCCGCATGTTGGGACCCGGCCGCCATCGCTCTATCCATCTCCCCACGTCCTGGCCTAGCTCAGCCCTGGGCGCTGGCACTTTGGGCCTTTACACAGACTCTTCCTGTGACTGGGCGAGCTTCTCTTCGCTGCCCCCACCTTGCTGTCTGGGAGGATGGCCCCACTCTGGCACACCCACCAGGGCCCCGAGATGGCACCCCACAGCCTGACTGCTCCTTGCGGAACCCCACATGGGGCGTGGAACTTGCTCCAGCTGTGCCACAGCGCCTGGGCCAGCCGGCACCCAACAAGTGCTTGGCCTGCAACTGGCACAGGATATATGGCCACTGAAGACCCCAGGGGCCCACGCCCCCATCTGATGAGCCTGAAGTTCCAGTTCCACTCCATGCTGCCCTGGTCTGTCATGGAAGCTTTCGCAGCCCCTCAGTGCCTGGCACCCACCTGCAGACCTGAATGTCAGGATTCCACCTGCTGTGGGCATGGGGCTGGGGGCTGGGGGCAGGTGGCAGGCCAGGACGCCTGCCCATCACCTGGCCTGTGGTTGGACCTCCACGTCCGCTCCTCCCTGAACTGTGGACATCCCTGGGAGGGGGTGGGAGGCGGCCTGGTGGGCTCCAGAGCCAGACAGTGAGTGACAGGTGGTGACACGGAGGCCCATGCGGGTACACAGACAGCTGGGGGGCAAGTGGACAAGACCTGAAACCTGCACCCCTCCCCTACTGGGCCAGCCTCCCACGAACCCCACCCCAGACCCCCACGGCCATGAAATCCAAGTGAACTTACACATCCGTCTCATCCCACAGGATACAGGTCTGGTTGGTGGTGCCCTGGGAGAGAGGGGAGAGGAGTCAGGGCCCCTGGCAGCCAGGACCAGCCCCCACCCTCGGGTCACCATGGGACCCACCTAAAGGTGTGCTACCAGGCATGCTACCTGTGCGGGTCCCTGAACAGACTGCGTTTTGCGAGGAGGAAACTGAGTCCAGGGTGGAGACAGCAGTGGCCCAAGGTCACCTGGGCTTGGCACAAGCCCCCACCACCCATGTGGCCTCGGGCAGCTCCTGGCCCCTCCCAGAGCCCAGGTCCAGTGGCCAGGCTGGGCAGCAATGGCTGAAGTCCGTCTCTGGTATGAAGTAGGGTGATGGGAAGACCCTTCCCCCGGGGCCTAGTGAGCAGGGGTCACCGGGCACACAGTGGCCTCTGTAAGCACCCTGCACTGCTCTGACGTCCTGCTAGCATTCCTGGGACACAGCCTTGCCAGGCCTGCCACACACTAGCACTGCCAAGATGGGGCAGTGACAGCAGAGATGGCCACAGCTCCTGAGGGTGGCTCTCAGGTGTGGCCTGCTCTGAGCAGCTGTGAGACTCAGTCCTCACCCAGCCCTATTGTTCCCACTTGATAAGGGAGGGAACCATGGCACGGAGAGGCTGAACAACTCTCCCAAGGTCACACAGCTAGAAAGGACAGGGCTGGGTTCTCCCGTGGCTTCCTACAGCCCTGGCCTGGGCTGGAGGCCTGGCACTGCCCAGTCCTGGTGCGGTAACCCAGGCAACGTGTTCCCTGGGGGCCCTGGTTCTCGGCCCATCAGAAGGGCATCTCGGCCCCTACTCCTCTGAGGCCCAAGGAAGGGCTCTGGAGAGCTCCAAGGAGCAGGGTTGGGACCTGGCAGGGCTCACATAGCAGCCGTGGCCTGGAGGCTGGGGCTTCCCGCCAGGGAGTTCTGGGGGGACGCTCCCGTGCTGAAATCCCAGGGCCCCTGCAGGCGAGGCCTGGTGTCAGTCCTGGCGGTGCCGGCAGAGGGTGTACTTACACCCCCAGCTTCTTGGTGGCCAGGCGTTAGGGGGCCAGAAGTCATGGGACGGGCTCCACTTCTCAGAAGCGGAATGACCAGGCCAATGGGGGCTGGAGGGCAGAGTGGTTGGAGCCCAGGTGGGGAGTCAGGCACAGATGGGGTTTCGGCACCTCACTTGCTGTGTGACCCCGGGCAAGTCACCGCACCTCTCTGAGCCTGTTTCCCCACCTGTAATCCAGGGATAAAAGTAGCTCTCGAAGGTTAAAGCTGTTGTGAGGAGGCCCCAAAGGCTTAGTGGCTGAGGAGTGGGACAGAATTCGCGCACACGCGTTTCTGCTGGCATCAGAGTGTGCACGTGGACGGCACTCACATTATACATGTGGGCAAACTCGATCTCCAAGGGTGTGCGCAGGGAGCGAGGCGGGGGTTTCACAGTCACGGAGATCACCTTAGAATTCAGGACGGTCGTGTTCCTGCAAGAGCCAGAGGCACAGGTGTCGGGGGAGCCCTCCCAGCCCAGGCTCCTCCTGGCCCTTCCCCAGGTGCCCCCGAGGGCCCCTGTACCCGCCGCCACCCTCCACAGCCCATCATCCACACTCCTCCAGGCCCCCTGGCCTCCCCCTTCACATCCTGTGGCTGGGGTCCTGCCCACCCCACCTGCCCTGCACTGCCCACCCCACCTGCCCAGGGCTCCCCACCTCTGCAGGGCCAGGAAGCTGCCCAGGTTCCTGTAGAGCACGGTGCCCACCACAAACACGGATGCTTCATCGGCCTCTGGAAGAAAGTGCACTGTCAACCCCGGCCCGCCATCCCCACAGCCAGGGTGGGACTTGGCAGCCTGGCCTGGACCCCGCTGTCACTGGCATCTGCCGCCCATCTTCAAGGTCGCGTCCAGGGCCCTGGCGGATGGTGAGGCCCACCCACCCACGGACACAGTGCTGCAGCCAGGGAGCTGGGGCAACAGCCACGTGGGAAGAGGGAGACCGGGCCATTCCCTGGGGCATCCTGAGAGCTACGGGCAGGCAGGACATGGCTCTCTTCCAGGTAACAGGGT
The DNA here is from genome assembly GCF_000001405.40 of Homo sapiens. NCBI lineage: Eukaryota > Metazoa > Chordata > Mammalia > Primates > Hominidae > Homo > Homo sapiens. The sequence continues at coordinate 142,488,754 of NC_000008.11, read as the reverse complement.
CCTTGACACGTGACTCCCTGTCCCTCCCTGAAGCAAGGTGGTTCATCTTGACCCCTCTGCCTGGGCCTCAGGGTTGATCCGCAGGCCCTGGCCCCAGAGAGGGCAAGGAGGGCTTCCTGGAAAAGAGGACCCCCTTGAGAACCGCCCAACTCTGAGGCAGCAGCTAGACTCCAGAAGGGTGGTGACCGTCCGACTCTGGGGCCCACGTCCCCCATGAAGGTCCCCCTCCACTCCCTGGGCCCCTCACCTGTCAGCCCCGTGGAGAAGACACTCTTGGACACAGTGACCCTGTCCTCTGGCACCTTGGCCCAGTCACCCGTGGCCCGCCAGCCCTTCATGGGGAAGCTGATGTCAGTGGCTCCGCTGGCTGGGAGCTTATGGATGCTGAGAACTGGGAGCAGGGTCAAAGGCGGGAGAGACAGAGAGGAGGGAAAGTCACAGATGTGGCGGGGCCTCAGCTGCGGGAGTTGAGGTGCAGGCCTGGCAGTGCAGGCTGATGCCGCGGGGTGCCCATGGCTCAGAGGCAGGAGTGTGGGGGCCATCTGCCCCAGCCCCAGCCCCCAGAACCTCGGTGAGGTCCAGGAGCAGAGACAGCAAGGAGCACCAGGCAGAGGCTGGGCCGGTCCTGGTCCTGCTGAATTGGAGCCTCGGTGAGGGGCAGGGAGCCTGCCCCTCCCACCCTCCATGGCCCAGAAGGTGGTCAAAGGCAGATTCTGGGGTCTGTCCTGTGGCCATGGAGGGATCCGCAGGCACCAGGCACCTCCTCAGCGCCCCCCACTCCCTCCTGGGACAGGGGAGCCCAGCTGCCCTCCAGCTCTGTGAGCTGATCCCGCCTCCCCTCCCTCTGTAGAAGGGGGATGGGGGCTGCCCTGCCTCAGGGCTCAGGCATCAAAGGGCAGTATGGGCCACGGTGAAAGAAGGGATCCAGTGTTCCCTCCCATTCTGGGAAGGAAGGCATTGGGGGTGCGGAAGGGCCCTGAGCTCAGGGTGGATGGGCATGGGGATGAGGCAGCACGTTTAGGGGCAAATGGACGTGGGGACGAGGCAGCAGGTTTGGGGCAACTGGACGGGAAGAGAGTTTGGGGAAGTGCCGCTGGGGTGGAAGCAGGTGCTGACAGGGACCCACTGTTCTGGGGGAACCTGGCCCTGGGGCCGTGGCCTCAGCCCTCACAGGCCCCAGTGGAGCCTCAAGAATGCAGCCCAAGATGCGGCAGGGAGAGGAGGAGAGGGCATGCGCATCAGTAGCGCCAAATGCAGTGGGCGGCACGGATGCCCGAGAACAGGGTTTTGCACCATGGATGTCACTGGCAGCCCCAGTGGAGGGCAGAGGGAATTCGGACTGGGTCAGCACCCAGTGAGCGGAGGGGCAGGAGGGACCATCAGAGAACCGGGGGTGAGGACAAGAAGAAATGTCAAAGGGCAGGTGGCCTGCAGGGGCAAGGGGCTGCTGGGAAGCTGCAGCGGGGAATGGGGGCAGACGGACGCTGGAGCAGCACCCTGGAGCAGGCGAAGGGGTGGGAGGCTGGACACAGGGTCATCGAGGGGCGGTGGAGGGCTGGCATGGGCACCAGGGTGGGCTGTGGCAGGTGTGCCCGGGTAAGGGGCAAACTTTGAAATATTTCATTGGAACAAGATGAAAAGTGGCAGAATTATTGAAGTAGTAGCAATCAGTCGTGTTGATGTTTCTAGCTGAGGCATTTCACTATGGAAAAATCAGAACTTTGTCTTTTTTTGTTCTTTAAAGAGACAGCCTATTGCTCAGGCTGAAGTGCAGTGGTGTGATCACAACTCACTGCAGCCTCGACCTCCTGGGCTCAAGCGATCCTCCCACCTCAGCCTCCCTAGTAGCAGGGACTAAAGGTGCACCACCATGCCTGGCTAATTTTTTTAAAAACATTTGTAGAGACAGGGTCCCACTGTGCTGCCCAGGCTGGTCTCAAACTCCTGGGCTCAAGCGATCCTCCTGCCTTGGCCTCCTGAACTGCTGGGATTACAGGCGTGAGCCGCTGTGCCTAACCTCAGTCTTTAATTTAAAAGGTTAATGCTAGTTAGCCTCCCAAAGACATTATAATAAGAATGTCGATCCGTCTTGGACATGTTTTAGTGGGACTTGTTCAAGTACAATAGGCACGAAGCTATGGTTTCCACCAGACACGTCTGAATGCCGCCTGCAGTACAGGTCTGGTCACGTGGAAGTTAGGGTTGCTTAACTTAAATATCCTCGGACTGTGTCTGTTTTAGGCCTGGGGATGGGACACCTCGGGAGTGCCAAGCACCTTGTGCCGAGATGAATATTGAAATGGACATTTCTACTGGTGAAAACACTGGGTCATCAACCCGGTCATGGCAGGTCTCTGGGTTTAAGGTTGGCTGCAGGGATCAGAGTTCGAGCCTTCATAGTCTGTCTACATGCAGCTTCTGTGTCACTTTGGCCTACAGCTCTGACAGTCGGGAGGGATTATTCCTTTCATCTGGTTTGCATAAACAGATGCGATGGGAAGCCGCTCTTGCTGGCGTCCAGTTCTTGGCAGCTGAGTGAGGGAGGGATGTAGGGGTGGGGGCCTGGGCAGAGAAGCAGGGTCCTGGGAGTGAGTGAGGCTGAGCACAGCTGAGTGGAGCATATGGGATGCACAGGGTGTCTGTGGTGTGCTATAGCTTGAATGTGTCCTGTAAACGTTCACGTGTTGGAAATTGAATCCCCAATTTCATCTGCTAATGGTACTTGGTGGTGGGGCCTTTGGGAGGGCGAGGGTGGCCCCCATGATGGCTTTAGTGGTATTATGGGAAGGGAGACCTCAGCGGGCATACTTGCTCTGTCTCTCATGGGCTGCCTCTGCCATGCTGTGCTGCAGCAGGAGGGTGCTCACTCAGAGCTGGAGCTGTGATCTTGGACTTTCCGGCCTCCAGAACCTCTCATCTTTATAGATTACCCCTTCAGTGACAGCAACAGGAAATGGACTGAGACAGGGTTATGAAGCATGTGGGGTAACCACGGTGCTCAGGGTTTGAAGCGTGTGTGGGCCATTCCAGGGGCTGTGGGCTGTGCCGAGTGCTCTGGGAGCTGGCTACCAGTTACGTCCTGGGCACCAGTATAGGCACTGGGCAAGGCCCCAGGGTGTGTGTGCTGACAAAGCTCAGCTGATCCTGGTCATATCACTAAAGGTGAAGCATCCCCACAGGGGAGGTGACACTCTCCCTCCTTGGTGCTAATTTTTTAAAAAACATTTGTAGAGACAGGGTCTCACTGTGCTGCCCAGGCTGGTCTCAAACTCCTGGGCTCAAGCGATCCTCCCACCTCGGCCTCCCTAGTAGCAGGGATCACAGCTGGGGCCAGCACCCACTCCTGGGTCCTCTGCTTTGAGAGACTCTCTGATCAAGGCAGGGAAAGTTTGAGAAACGTGGCTTTTGAGAGATATTTGAGGGCACTGTAGTAACAGTCATTAAATAGAATTGCTGTGTTTGTAATGACAGCCACCTTTTACCCCGGGATTCAGCCACTCACTCGTCTCATCAGTCTCTACCTCCCCATGAGATGGGCACCGTTATCATCTCATTTTAGAAATGAGGAAACTAAGACTCGGCTGACACCACGGAGCTGGGTGGAGTCCAGGCCCCTCTGGCAAGGCACTACTGGGACTGACAAGCAGGGAAAGTGTGGCTTGCACAGCCCCTGCCTCTAAAGCTCCACAGGGAGGGCACTGGGGGTGACAGGCAGAATACGCTCTGGCCCCAGGTGGGTACATGCGAAGCGCTGGTTGGGGACGGAGCTCCCAGGTCCACACCCCGTGGGCTGTGTCTCATCCCCTCCTAGGCCACATCATCAACCCTCAGGAGACTGAAAACAGGACCCATCTGAGAAATCGGCTGGGAGGGCCCACAAAGGCTGTCTGGTCACTGCCCCTTTATACAGATGAGGATGCTGAGGCAGAAGGGCCTGGCCCAGGGCTGCAAAGCAAGGCATGGGGGGTGGCAGCAGGCGGGCAGGCTTACCCAGGTTGTCTGTCACCTGGTATGCATCCCTCAGGTCCTTCATGCGGAAGCCGATGACGTCCACAAAGTCCTCCACCAGCCGGAACAGCTCCTTGGCGTTGGGGCCCGCCTGGAGGGCAGGGGGGTGAGCAGCCGAGGGAGGAGGCCCCACTGTCCCTTAGCCCCTGCCTCCTTCCCTTCCCTGTCCCTCCTTTTCTTATTGGCCATTTCCTAACATTTTGAGGAAGTGGGGCTGGTGACCTCTGAGTACCCCACTTTGGGGATGAGAAAGCAGATGCCCAGAGGGGCTGCTGTGCCCCACCCATGGGAAGCCCAGGATTGGGGAAAGTCTCTGGATACCCACAGCCCCCATGCCGGGTGCTGCCCGGGCTAGGAGTGGTGGCTGGCTGGAGGTCAGCCTGGGGGAGTGAGCACTGCCCACTGCCCCAACATGAGGAGGGCTCTATGTCCCAGCTGCCTTGGCATCCCCATGTGCTCAGTATTTTCTGGAACCTCCTCACTGAGCCCCAGGAAATAAATGACTGTCCTTAGACAAATGAGGAAACAGGCTAGGAATGCTGAGCTTCCTCAGTGCTGCCAACACCAGCAAGAGACCATCCTGAGATCCAAACCCAGAGCACCCGGCGGGACCCCACCCCAGGCCGACTGGAGACCAGGGAGGCACCAGCTGTGCCTGCACCCCTCCTGAGGCTGCTGACCGTAGGGGCCCCAGGCCCTACCAGCTGGGCCTCCTCCCACTTGTCCCGATTCTCCTCTGCCAACAGGTTGCTAAGGATCTGGACAAAGTTCTGGAAAGAAGAGGAAGAAGGGCCAGTGACAGAGAACAGGGCACAAAATCACCGTTCACTGTGACCAGGGTCAGGATTCAGTGTGTGACCAGGGTCAGGGCTGAATATGTGACCAGGATCAGGGCTCAGTGTGTGACCAGGGTCAGAGCTCACTGTGACCAGAGCCAGGGTTCAGTGTGTAACCAGGATCGAGGCTCAGTGTGTGACCAGGGTCAGGGCTCAGCATGTGACCAGGGTCAGGGTTCAGCATGTGACCAGGGTCAGGGTTCAGCATGTGACCAGTGCAGTGTCAGGGCTCAGTGTGTGACCAGGATCAGGGCTCAGTGTGACCAGGGTCAGGGCTCAGTGTGTGACCAGGATCAGGGCTCAGTGTGACCAGGATAAGGGCTCAGGGTGTGACCAGGGCCAGGGCTCAGTGTGTGACTAGGATTGAGGCTCAGCATGTGACCAAGGCCAGGGCTCAGTGTGTGACCAGGGCCAGGGTTCAGCATGTAACCAGGATTGAGGCTCAGTGTGTGACCAGGGTCAGGACTCAGCATGTGACCAGGGTCAGGACTCAGCATGTGACCAGTGTCAGGGCTCAGGGTGTGACCAGGGTCAGGGCTCAGCGTGTGACCAGGGTCAGGGCTCAGTGTGACCAGGGTCAGGGTTCAGCATGTGACCAGTGTCAGGGCTCAGTGTGTGACCAGTATCAGGGCTCAGTGTGACCAGGATCAGGGCTCAGTGTGTGACCAGGGTCAGGGCTCAGTGCGACCAGGGTCAGGGCTCAGTGTGTGACCAGGGTCAGGGCTCAGTGTGACCAGGGTCAGGGCTCAGCGTGTGACCAGGATCAGGGTTCAGCATGTGACCAAGGTCAGGGTTCAGCAGGTGACCAAGGTCAGGGTTCAGTGGGTGACCAGTGTCAGGGTTCTGAGTGTAACCAGGATCAGGGCTCAGTGTGACCAGGGTCAGGGCTCAGTGTGTGACCAGAATCAGGGCTCAGTGTGTGACCAGGATCTGGGCTCAGTGTGACCAGGGTCAGGGCTCAGTGTATGATCAGGATCAGGGCTCAGTTTGTGACAAGGGTCAGGACTCAGAGTGTGACCAGGATCAGGACATGGTGTGTGACCAGGGTTGGGGCTCAGTGCGTGACCAGGATTAGGGCTCAGCATGTGACCAGGGTCAGGGCTCAGCGTGTGACCAGAGCTCAGCGTGTGACCAGGATCAGGGCTCAGCTTATGACCAGAGCTCAGCGTGTGACCAGGGTCAGGGCTCAGCCTATGATCAGGGCTCAGTGTGTGACCAGGGCCAGGGTTCACTGTGTGACCAGGATCGAGGCTCAGCGTGTGACCAGGATCAGGACTCAGCATGTGACGAGGGTCAGGGTTCAGCATGTGACGAGGGTCAGGGCTCAGTGTGTGACCAGGATCAGGGCTCAGCATGACCAGGATCAGGGCTCAGTGTGTGACCAGGATCAGGGCTCAGTGTGACCAGGGTCAGGGCTCAGCGTGTGACCAGGATCAGGGTTCAGCATGTGACCAAGGTCAGGGTTCAGCAGGTGACCAAGGTCAGGGTTCAGTGGGTGACCAGTGTCAGGGTTCTGAGTGTAACCAGAATCAGGGCTCAGTGTGACCAGGGTCAGGGCTCAGTGTGTGACCAGGATCAGGGCTCAGAATGTGACCAGGATCAGGGCTCAGTGTGACCAGGATCAGGGCTCAGTGTGTGATCAGGATCAAGGCTCAGTGTGACCAGGGTCAGGGCTCAGTGTGTGACCAGGATCAGGGCTCAGTGTGTGACCAGGATCAGGGCTCAGTGTGACCAGGGTCAGGGCTCAGTGTATGATCAGGATCAGGGCTCAGTTTGTGACAAGGGTCAGGACTCAGAGTGTGACCAGGATCAGGACATGGTGTGTGACCAGGGTTGGGGCTCAGCATGTGACCAGGGTCAGGGCTCAGCCTATGATCAGGGCTCAGTGTGTGACCAGGGTCAGGGCTCAGTGTGTGACCAGAGCTCAGTGTGTGACCAGGATCAGGGCTCAGCTTATGACCAGAGCTCAGCATGTGACCAGGGTCAGGGCTCAGCCTATGATCAGGGCTCAGTGTGTGACCAGGGTCAGGGCTCAATGTGTGACCAAGATTAAATGTGTGACAAAGGTCAGAGTTCAACCTATGACATGGGTTAGGGCCTGGGCTGTGGCCAGGGTTGGGGATCCATCTCTAAGGTCGAGGAGGGCTCCCCAGACACCTTCCCGACACCCTCTTCCAAAATGCCGCTCGGGGAGCCCACCTGTACGTCCCCAGGGGTGGGGCTGTAGTACGCTCTCCGGAAAATCTCTGTCATGTTCCTCAGGACATCGATGGTGGACAGCAGGTCCCCACTGTAGCTGGTCCCGTCCTGAGAGATCTCCACCAGTGTCTGGATGACCTCCGAGACCCCCTCCCCAGGCAGCCCTCGCTGAGCCTTGGCCAGGTGCTCCCGGGTCTGCGGAAGACAGAGAGGGCGGGTGCCTTCACCTCTGTGGAACATGTCCAGGCAGCCACCCAGGATCTCCCATGCCTAGGACCCTCTGCAGGGTCCCAACCTGTGTGGCCAGGGTGATTGGGGAGGGGTTGGAGACCCCCGGGAACTGGCCCTCACCATCATCTGGATGTTTCTGTAGTCAATGGAAACACAGCGGATGTAGGTGGGGGGCTCCCAGTAGGCGATGCCTTCCTCGTCCAGCTCACACCGTCGCAGGATGAGTCCTGGGGAGACCATCCCCTTCTCAGGTGGATGCCCGCTGCCTGGCCCAGGAATCCCACCCTTGGCCCCTGGCAGCAGACCTTCTGGAAGGGACCCTGTGGCCCCCAGAAACAGGGACTCGCCCATGGCCTCACGCCGAGAGCAGAGTCCACGCAGGGACCTCGTTCCCTTCATCAACACATTTCCAGCTGCTACCTGCCCCAAGGACTCAGGACCTGGCAGGAGCTAAGCCTTCAGGAACCCCACTGCATGGAGGTGGAGATCTCGGCCGAGCAGGGCCTTCAGAGTTCAGCCATGACCTCCTTCGGAGCCCCTTCTAACCAACCCAGAGCCCTGGAGGGAGCCAGCACCCTGGGCCCCTGCCTGGCTGCATCCACAGGGCTACAGGGGCCTCAGCCTGGCCCAGAGACATGGGGGCAGCCTTGGGGTGCTGCTGGGCATTAAGGGGACAACAGCCTTAAACACGGCACACCCTGTGATACAGAGCTCACTCCCAGGACATCATCAGAGAAACAGGGACAGCTGAGTGTTTACAGGGTGGCGGCAGCCACAAAGAACTGTCGCAGCCCTGACACCTGACAAGAGCCACAGGACTGGATGCAGATGCTGGTTTAGATGGGGCCAAAAATGAGCGGCACTGGGAGACCCTGCCACGCATGCAGACCAAAGGCCAGGGGAGGCACGCCACCGTGCGGCATTCACGTGCTTCTTTTTGCTTCTCAGCATTTGCAATCTGCTACCGAGAACATGCCCTGTTCTGTAATCAGAAGAGCGAGGGAGGAGCAGCAGCCGCAGCTGGCAACACAGGGCCCCTGCCACCGTCCCCCACACCTCCCCACAGCAGCTCTGAGCAGAGGAACCCCAACTGCCCTCATCCTACAGATGAGAACACTGAGGCTCAGGGAGGTTAAGGCAGTTTCTGAATGTCACACAGCAAACAAGGGCAGAACCAGAGTTTGAACCCAGGCTCCCATCCTCTCTGCCTGCTGCCTGTCAGGGACATAAAGCACCTGCACTCCTTCAAAAAGGAGGAGCAAAGGAGGCCTGCCCCTAGTGCAGCGAGCCCTTCCCCGTGGAGCCCTGCTTTCTCCTTGAGGCTGGCATTCAACAGAGACCTCCTCTTCCTGTCCCCGCAAGCCCCGGGCAAGGGCATTCACTTCCCTGTGCCTCAGTTTCCCAGCTGTAAATGGTGGCGGCTTCTTGGGTTGCTTAGACTCCGTGGACATCTTGCGTTAGGGCTGAGCATGGGTGCCAGCCCCTAGCGAGTGCTCAGAACAGCAGCTGCCACAGAGTTCTCACACGGTGCCCTGGGCTCGCGGCCCCACCACCCCGCGCCAGCACACGCAGGCTGTCTGGGCTCCGTGTCTGGGCCGCCTCCCAGTGCTGACAGCACCTCAGCGTGGGCATCACCGTGAGGACAGGACGGGAGCCCCCATACACCACGTGCTCTCCAGCCCTCACCTGTGGCGTTGCGGGGACACCGGACAGCAGCCACCTCTCCCGCTGGGGTCTCCTTCCAGATCACAGCACCAAAGTTGTCCTCATCACAGATCTCATGGGGCTCTGCCAAGGGGCCCGGGACAGGGGTTCAGGAAGGGGTACTGAGAGCCGGCAGCTGGCTCTGGAAGGTGCAAGGCGCCTGGAGCAGGCATCATTATGAGGACAGGACGGGAGCCCCCAACACACCACGTGGGTGACAGCTGAGCCCAAGCCCGCCCAATCGCCATCAGCCCTCCCCAGAGCCCAGCCCAGGTAGGAGGGGCCTCACCGGGACACCGCTGGGTGCCGCACTGCCGGTACTCATCCTGGGGGCCCTGGCAGGCTGCTCCCCCGAAGAAGGGCCCAGAGCAGACACGCTCCCGTCGCTGGCTGCCAGCCCCACACGTGACGCTGCAACTGCCCCATGACGCCCAGGCCTGCCACTTGCCATCCACTGCGGGGCGTGGCCAGACACAGGGCACAGGCGACAAGAAGGGCAGGGTCCAGGAGCCACAGTGACAGGAGGACACAAAGACAGGGACCCACACAGAGCCATGCGGCAGTGAAACATAGGGACCCAGGAATGTGGGGCAGGAGGTCAAAGAAGGGAAATTCAGACCAGGAGAGGAGAAATCAGTCATCAGCCTGATACAAAATAAAGCAAACACCCCACATGCAGCCAACCCCACCACCCTCCACACCTCACTGTGCACCCTACTACCCCACGGCCACCCCACACTCCACTTCCCCACAGACACCCCAAGTCCCACTGTGCACCCCGCTACTCCACGGCCACCCCACACTCTGCTTCTCCACAGACACCCCAAGTCCCACTGTGCACTCCACTAATCCATGGCCACCCCACACTCCACTTCCCCATGGATACCCCAAGTCCCACTGTGCACCCCACTACTCCATGGCCACCCCACACTCCACTTCCCCATGGACACCCCAAGTCCCACTGTGCACCCCACTACTCCACAGTCACCCCACACTCCACTTCTCCACAGACACCCCAAGTCCCACTGTGCACCCCGCTACCCCATGGCCACACTCAACTTCCCCCAGAAACACCCCAAGTCCCACTGTGCACCCTGCTACCCCACAGCCACCCCACCCTCCACTTCCCCATGGACACCCCAAGTCCCACTGTGCACCCCACTCCTCTCCCCATGGCCACCCCATGCCCCACTCTCCTCATGGCCACCCCACACCCCACAGTGCACCTCACTCACCCTGCAGCCACCCCATGCTCCGTTTCCCCCACAGCCACCCCAGACCCCACTGTGCACCCCACTCCCTCCTCAGTCACATGCCGGGGCCCATGGTTACCCCCACCCGCTGTGGGGCCTGTCCCCTTCCTAGAGGCTCCTGCTTGTTAGGTGCCCCCCGACCCCAGCCTGGCGCACCCCTGACCTGGGCACTGCTGCAGGAAGCAGTCTCGGGTCTCCACCCAGTGGCCCTGGCACTCCGCACCCCCGTAGGAAGGCCCGTTGCATTCACGCGTGCGCTGCTGTCGGCCCTGGGAGCAGCTGGCGGAGCAGGCGCTCCAGCTCGACCACTCATTCCAGTTTCCATCCACTGCCCGGCCCGGGGGAGGAAGGAGACACAAAGTGGGCGTGAACACCCGGCACCCCAATGCCTGGCTTGGAATGTGGGTGTGAGCACCCTGGGTGCTACCACCCCACACCCAGCCTGGGACATAGATGAGAACACCCTGGGGGCCACCACCCACGGCCAGCCTGTGACATGGGTGAGAACACCCAGGCTGGGACACGGGTGAGTAAACCCTGGGGGCCACCACCCCACATCCAGCCTGTGACATGGGTGAGAACACCCTGGGGGCCACCACCCCACACCCAGCCTGTGACATGGGTGAGAACACCCTGGGGCCACCACCCCACACCCAGCCTGGGACATGGGTGTGAAAACCCTGGGGGCCACCACCCCACACCCAGCCTGGGACATGGCATGAACATCCAGCCTGGGATATGGGTGAGAAAACCCTAGAGGTCACCACCCCACACCCAGCCTGGGATATGGGTGGGAAATGCCCCAAGGTCACACCTCAGTCTGCTTCCTAAACCCAGTCTGAGGTTCCAACCTCTGAGCACCCTGAGGTGGGTCTGGAGTGGGCAAAGCTGGGCTCCTGGGCCTGGCCGGTGGCCCACTGTGACCTCCCCTTTCTTCCCTTCCTCCCTGCCCCTACGCCCTCCCTCTCACCTACCAGGGCACAGGGCAATGTTGCAGAACTTGGTTTGCTTCTCAGGGCCCTCACAGGGGTTGCCCCCAAACTGGGGGGGCCTGCAGGTGCGCGTGCGATCCCGAAAGCCACGGCCACAGGTGCTGGAGCAGAGGCTCCAGGGCGACCACTCATCCCAGGCACCATGCACTGCAGAGGGACGGAAGGTGCTGCTGCCCACTGCGGCCACCGCCCCCGCTGCCCTGGCCCCCCGCTGCCCTGGCTGTCCGCTGCCCCAGCCCAAGGTCCCACCCACCTGGGCACACGGCAGAGTTGTTGCACAGCCGCTGCTCGCGCAGGGGTCCGCTGCACTGCGTGCTGTAGGAGGAGGACACGCAGAAGCGCGTGCGGGTCTGCCAGCCCTCGCCGCAGGTGCTGGAGCACACGCTCCACGGGGACCACTCCTCGGCTGCTGGGTCACCTGCAGGCCCCACTACAGCGTCACAGGCCTGCCGCCCATGGGGCTGCAGTCAGACCGGGGCCAGACCCCGCAGCAGGAGGGCTGCCCTGCTGGGGAGCAGGCAGCGGGGCTGGGGCAGAGCCCCCGGGCCTTCGAACCAGGCTGATCTCAAGAACTGGCCATTTCCCCTACAAGGCTGGGAGCCCTGAGGGCCGGCCTGTGCCATCCCTGGGCCTCTGGGGTCTGGCCAGGGACACGTTTCTTCACCTCACACCAGTTCCCCTAATGCCAGGCAGTCAGGAGACAAGAGCCCTGCACCTAAGGGTTTAGTCTAGTTATGGCATGTTATTCAAGTTACTACCCATAACTAGCTGCAATTGATAACTTACAGTATTTTCCCAAAGCCCTAGTCCCACCCACCCCCCTCCCGCCAGCTCACCGGTCTGGGGGGCTGGGAACCCAAACTGCTGCAGCTCGTCCCCCAGCTCCTCGCGCCGCCGGGCATCTGTGGACCGCAGGGACTGGCTCCGGGAGCTGGTGCGCCCAGCGGCTGCAGGACGGGCTTAGGTCAGCACAGGAGCGGTTCTTTGCCCCCGTCCTCTCTCTCTGTGGCCACAGTGCTCTGAGTTCGGCAGCACTGGGCCACCTGGCTCCACTGGGCAGCTGGGAGCCAGGGACCAGAGTGCCCAGCCTGGCACCAGCCCTCATCTGGTCACCAGGGGACCCTTCCTGTGGGTCCTGTCTCCCATACCCCGCGCCACCTCCCTCACTGCCTCCACCGCCCACAGGCCAGCGTTCACCTGCAGGACGGCTGCTCTCCCGTGCCTGGCACCCCAACAGCCCCCTGCCTCCCTTCCGCAGCCCAGCCGATGCCCCGGGGCCCTCCCCAGGCTCCTGAGAGGAGCTCTTCTCCCCAGGAAAGTTCACCAAGGAAAAAACAGCCCAAACAATGACAGTCTCATTACAACGTGATTTAACTTCATGGAAGCAGCTAAAAAATGCATGGGGTCATTAGAGAGCCTTATTACAGAAATACATTCTGGAGGCAGTATCCGGCTGGGGCAGGCGGGCTGGCTTGGCCAGAGGTCCCACAGCCAGCCTTCCGCACACCCTCCAAAAACCCCAATCCACAAACCGGAAGAAAGCCCCAACTAGTCCCACCCAGCCCCAAGCACCACCCTCTTCGGGGCCCTCACCTCTGCTCCCCCGGCTAGGCCCCACTCCCACGGGCCAGCCCCGAGTTTAGGTCCTGCTTCTCAGAGCCCAGACCCACCCTATTCACTCTTCCTGCAGGCCCCGCCCAGCGTCTGCCAGGCCCCGGCCCCGGCCCCGCCCCTACCTGGTCCCGCCCCCAAGCCCCTCCCTCCACCGGCCCCTTCTGCTCGAGGCCCCGCCCCGCCCCCACGGGCCCCTCCTCTCCAGGGCCCCACCCCCCTCTCCTCCCTCACAGGCCCCGCCTCTCCAGGGCTCCGGCTCCGCCCCGCCCCGCCCGCACTCACGGCCGCAGGCCTCGCGGTTGCACTGGCGACCCTCCTCCAGCACCCCCTCGCAGCCGCCGCCCTCCACGCCCGGCGCGGGCAGGCAGGTGCGCGTCCGCGTCTGGAGGCCTCCCCCGCAGTCCCGCGTGCATTCGCCCCACAGGGACCACAGCTTCCAGCCGCCTGGGGGGAAACCAGAGGGCGGGGATCAGGGCAGGGCAGGGGCTCGTGGCCTGGACGGGTAAGTCATGGGGGTGCTAAGCCCGCCGAGGCCGGCCCGGGTGGGGAGGGGCCGCAGTGCCGGGGAAGGCCTGGCCTGGGAGGACCTGGGGGTCTGGTGTCTACCCAGCTCCCGGGCCCCCTCTGGAGAGCTCAGGTCACGTCTGAGCCTGAAGGGTCCCCGTGTGCCAGCCGCCACTGGGCAGGTTTGCCGCCAGGATGATGAAGGGATGACGACCTCCGCCCACCAGAGGGCTGCCTCAGAGCACAGCGTCCTGATGGTAAGCAGAGGGTAGAGGGGCCTGGCCTCCAAGGCTCTGGTTCCTGGCACGCCTGGAAGCCCTCTCCAGGCTCCGTCCAGTTTCTGGCCAGGCCCTGCTCATCAGAGCCTCAGTTTCCTCATGGGCTCAGCGGAGGGTCACCACCCTCATCACCAGGGCTCCACATTTCACACCCCAGCTGTGACCTGGAGCCGCTTCTTCACCCCACGCAGGTATACCAGTGGTGATCAAGGCCTCACACCTGGTGTCCAACCAGGGCCTCGAACCCAGGGCACAGCCTGACGGAGCCTGCCCTGGACCTGGCCAGCTGGCCACCCGAGGAGGGAGCCTGGGATAAATGCCTGCAGGCGCCTCCCCGCCACGCCCCTGCCCTGACCCCGGCCGCTCTGTTCAGCTTCTCTAGTGAGTCTTTCTCCATCCCTGCCCCGACAGTCCCCGCGGCCTTCATGGACCTGTGTTCCCCTAGCAAACCAGACCTCACGCCCCAGGAGTCTCTGCTCCCGGGGGGTCCTCGTGCTGCCAAAAACACTTTGGGCTGCTTGGAGTGCCCATGGTCCTGGAGCACTGGGTAGCCATGGAGGAGCACAAAGCAGGAGAGGGCCACTGCCATCTGTGGGCCAGAGAGGGGCAGCAGCACCAGGGGGCCGGGAAGGGGCTGCCGCGTCCAGGCCTCCCGCTCGGGCCTCCTGCCCAGCACTCTGGGCTCATGTACACCCTGTGCAGCAGGGTCGGGCGACTTGGAAAGGGCATGCAGCCCTTGCCAAGTGCTGCTCCTGGCTACGGTGGCGAGGAGACAGCTGGCGGCCACCACGAGGGGACCCACCATGGAGCTGGGGCCGCTGCCACTGGGGAACACTGGGGATCCGGCAGCTCGATCCCAGGTACAGCAGGGGAGGCCCCAGGGGCAGCAATCAGGCCAAGCACAGGCCACCCCGACCCACCAGAAGGGCCCCAGGGCCTCTTGGAGCCTCAGGAAAGGGGCCCTGCCTCCCTCAGTGGGAGTGTGGACTGCAGGAGACCCCAGGGTAGCTCCAGCTGCCAGATTCCCCCAGTGGCCCCACCACCCACTGGCCTCACTCCCATCATTTACAACATGAGGATAATGGCTGACCTCCCAGGACTGACAAGTGGGAAGTCAAACAGCAAAAAAGGATATGAGAGGACGGCGTGTGGCATTGTCACTTGGGTCAGAGTTGACTCCCGGGGCCCCACTTTGATTTTCAGCAAACTCAGTGTCCAGCCAGAGTGCCCCCCACCCTGCCCCACTTCCCCACACCTATGCCAGGAATGGCCAGCAGGGGGTGCCAGGGGCATGGGGATGAGACCCAGGAGAGGGACTTGACCCACCACAGCTGTGGGAGGCCTCATTTTCTCCCTGGTGGGGTCCATAGGGTGGGAGGAGTCTTCCAGGCCCCCACACCTGCTGCAGAACCCTCTTCCTTCACTCACAGAGCCATACTCCCACAGGTCCCAGAGAGGAGAGCACCTGGCTGAGGGTGCACAGCAGTTGAGCTGCCTCCTCCATAGCGTGCTTAGCCCGTGCCATGCCAGGAGAGGTGGGGGACTCAGCACGGCCTCCAGGGCACAAGGGCGGGACAGGGTGGCACCTGCCCACAGCATAGGAACAGGTGACAGGCCCTTCGTGGCTGCCCTGTCACATGCCCTAACTCAGGACAAGGAGAGGAACCTGGACTTGAACTGGTGGTCAGATTCCAAACGCCCCCATCCCCCAGACTAAGGCCTCCTGCCAGGACTGTCTGGGGCCCAGGTGCTCCGGGCCTCAGTGGTCTCATCTGCTGAAGGCATCCCACCACCCCGATTCTGAGGCAAAGGCACAGACGGGGTCCTAAGGGGCGGGCCTGACAATGGGTCAGGGTGGCACGTCCTGCGGCACCCCCCTCGCCGTCCCAGCCCAGCCCCCATGCGGAAGCCTGAGTGACGTGGAAACTGGCAGTGGGCGGGAGAGAGAGGGTGTCCAAGCCAGGCTCATCGGAGGATGCCACTCGGTTCCCATGGCAACTGCTGCAGCACGCAGCCTTTCAGGAGAGACCCAGGTTAGGCCTCAGCTGCCAAAACACCCACTCATTTCAGGGCTGGTTACCTTGGTGACCCAGGTGGTGAGGATGTGGTAGGGGGAGAAAGGGCGGGGGCACATCAGGAGAGGCTTCGGAGGGGCGGGACACTGGCCCAGAGGATGGATCACCCTGCCCCCACAAACCAAGCCTGACCCTGGTCACATACTGAACCCTGACTTTGGACCCGTGCTGAGCCCTGATCCAGGTCACAAGCTGACCCTGGACGCATACTGAGTCTCGATTCTAGTCACACACTGATTCCTGACCCTGGTCACATATTGAGCCTTGATCCTTATCACAGACTGACCTCTGATCTTGGGCACAGAATTCCTGATCCTGTTATATACTGAGCCCTGATCCCAGCCACAGACTGATCCCCCATCTTGGTCACACTCCTGCTACTAATGAACACTGAGAAAATGGTAGCTGCTATTTTTATTCTTGTTTTGTTTTTGATGTGTGTCCCCTCACTTAGCTGACACTCAGTAAATGTTTGTCTAGTGAATGTATCAATGCCAGGATGGAGCCCCTGGGGTCCGCAGTGCAGGGTGCAGAGGTGTTCAAGCCACGCTTCACTGGGTGGCCACAGTGTGTCTGAGCTGGGTGGACAGTGAAGGGCAGCAGAGGAGCAGCAAGCAGGCTGGGGGGTGGGCCGCCCCTCCAGGACCGGAAAGAAACCGCCTTTCTTCCCCCACTCAATGCCGGCTCTGTCTGGAAGCCTCATTTCCATCTCATTAAGGGGATGAATAGAGCCAATTAACGGCCCCAGGCAGCCTGGCCACCCAGGGGAGAGGGTGCTTGGTGAGAGGCCTCCTGGTGTCCTTCCCACCCTGGCGCCCCAGACTGGAGGCTGTGAGCTCCCCACAGCCCGCACCCCGAGTTGGCTGGGATGGGGGTGCGGGGGAGCACAGGGGGCGTCCCTCCCTCCAGCTGGGCCTCCCTAGCTTCCGGGCTGTTCTCTGGAGGAGAGCTGTGCACTTCTGTCTGTTGCCAGCAGAGGTCTCCCGACTCCAGCAGGTCGGGCAGCACCGGGGCTGGAGGGTCAGTCAGTTCTGCCATTCCCACCCTGCTCTGCCACCAGGTCCCAGGCACCCACAGCGTGTCCGAGGGATGACCCCACCTCCAGCCCAGGCTCCAAGTTAGGGTTTGTCCTGGGGCACCCAGACTCCTCTGAGACCTAGACCAGGGCCCCCTGCACGGACGTGGAAGGGAGGGCCCCGGAGGGTGGATGGGGCGCCTGGTGGCCTGACTTAGCCCACCTGCTGCCAGCCGCTCCTACTGGAGGTGCCCAAGTGGCTGGTCCCCCTTCCTCCCGCCACAGAGGCGGGCACCAGCAGATCTCAGGATGGGGCTGAGAAGCCAAGTCCACCATCCGGCAGGCCACTTCCCAGGTGAGCTAAGAGCGAGGAGCCTCGTGGGGCAGCGGGGCTCCCCGAAACCTGTCAAGCCTCCATCTCCTTAAAGCCTCACGTAGGCCCTGCTAGCAGGTACTGTCCCGTCTCTAACTCTCAGGAGGGAAACTGAGGCTCCCTGAGCTGGCCGAGTCTTGTTGCTTCCTTTTCTTGATCAGGCAGGTGCTCCTTGGCCTGAGAATGGTGCCCTGTTTACAAGCCTGAAAGCCCAGGGCCCATCCCGGAGACCTTGGACAAGTCTCTGCCCACCGCCCGGGCCCCGACCCCGGTTGTCTGCTGCCAGCTCCATGTCCTTTCTCCCCATCTTTCTGGGAAGTGGAACCAAAATACAGTGCCCTGATTCTCAGCCTCTCTCGCAGCCAGGCGGGCGTGGGGTGCGTTCTGGCTCTGAGCGGAGGAGGTGAAGGGCTGAAGGCATGGTGGGCCCAGCATATCATTCCCATGGGGCCCCATCCTGCCATCCCCATCTGAAATGGGTGTTGTCTGTGATGGGGACTGAAGCCTTCTTGTTTTCTAGATTTTTCTAAATTGGCCCTTGTGCAAAAAGAGTGGCTCTCCTGTCCAAGCCAGAAACCCCTGACAGTGGAGACCTTGGCACCTTCCCAAGCCCCTCGGTGCTCCCTGTCACCATGAGACTACCTGGAGTCCCAAACTCCACTCCAATCCTGACTCCTCTCCAAATTCCAGCCCAGGCTTTGCCGCTCCCTCTGCCCCTGCACACCCCAGACAGGCCTCCAGATGCCTCTTCCCAGGACTTCCGGGGCTCCTGGGGTTGGGGCTGAGCCTGACTGTGTCTCCAACAGCCTCCAGAGTGAGTGTGGGGTCACTGGGCAGGTGGGCCTGGGCTGAGCCTGACTCACCCTGGAGGCAGGGCAGGGAGGGGGAGGTCACCCCATCTCCGTGGCCGGTCACAGCCCCTCGGCCAGCAGTAAGCCTCCCACACCCCTGCAGGATCCAGGAGCCCAACGGAATGTGTGGGTTCACACTCCACACCCAGTTCCAGCCCAGCCTCCCATACCCACTCCCTGTGGGCACACAGAGGACGCACACAGGGACACACAGGGATATACACTCGAGGACACACAGGCACACAGACCACACACAGGGAAGCAGGGACACACACACACAGGGACACACACCACAGAGGGACACACACACAGGGACACATACACTAAATTGGCCCTTGTGCAAAAGGAGTGGCTCCCCTGTCCCTCCTTGTGCAAAAAATGGCTCCACACACACCACACGGGGACACATAGGGACACACACACACACGAGGACACACACACTTGCTCCCAGGCCCCAGGACGCTGCTTTTTCATGATCTTCCATGTCGCTCGTGCAATAAAATTCTTTAATTAAAACATGAATATTTAAAACAACCCTTGAGAGAAACGGCCCCACTCACCCTAGGCGGAAAAATGCAAAGGGAGGCAGTGGGGAGGAAGTGATGAGAGCCAGAGAGAGCCGGCAGGAGAGGGGCCTGACAGCCTGGGGGGCGGTGGGGCGTGGGGCAGCACGAGGTGGAGGGGAACAGTTGCTTGGCCTGAGGAGTGTTTGCAGAGTCTGACGCGTGACGTGGCCATGTGGCACTTGGACAGGCCGTGCGGGGGGCAGGGCTGAAAATGGGCCACGGGCTGGCCTGGGCTGCCTGCTTGCTCCTGCACTTGGCTGTGTGTTGCCTGCTAGGGACATGGACGGATGGACAAGCCTGTCCCAGTGTCCCCAGGTCCCACAGCGAGGGCACAACGCTCCCTGGGCACAGGTCTCAGCTGGCAGGATCTGGGGTCAACTCTGCCTCTGCTCAGCTGTGTGTCTTCTGAATGGTCACCTGCCTCTCTGGTCCTCATGCCACCCCATCCCCCCCACGCACACGCACGTGCACACACAGAGACATACACACATACATTCACACAGGCACTCACACATTCACACACATGCATGTGCATGCACTCACATTCACACACAGGCACGCACACATTCACACACATTCACGTGCACACACACGCACTTGCGTTCACACGCACGTGCACATACACACATGCACGTGCATACACACACATGCACGTGCACACACACATTCACACATGCACACATGCACACACATTCACACACATGCACGTGCATACACTCACATTCACACATGCACGTGCATACACACACATTCACACATGCACGTGCATACACACTCACACATGCACGTGCATACACACATTCACGCACGTGCACACACTCATTCACACGTGCACACACTCACATTCACATCTGCATGTGCACATACACACTCCCACATTCACACACATGCACGTGCACATAGACACTCCCACATTCACACACATGCATGTGCACACATTTACATTCACACATGCACGCGTGCACACACATTCACTCACCTGCACGTGCACACACATTCACACACATGCATGTGTGCACACATTCACATTCACAGATATGCACACACATTCACACATGCACATGTGCACACATTCACACACATGCACACACACACACATGCACGCATGCACACACATGCACACACGCACAGCTCTGAGCAGAGCTCACTGCAGACGCCCTAGTGTTACCACTCGATGGCAGCGTCAAGGGGCTCTGCCATCAGCCTGCCACTTACAAGCTGTGTGGCCCTGGCTGCTGCCTTAACATGTCTGTGCCTGGTTTTCTCCAACTTGGACTGACTGAGTGCCTGCTGCTCCCAGGTACTGTTCTACACGTTGGGGGGCACGTCAGGGAACTGGCAATGCCTGCTTTGTGCTGCTTACATCCTGGCCTGGACAATCAGAAGTGGACACAACAAATAAGGGAAATTATGCAGTGTGTTGAGAGGTGACACATGTGTGCAGAGACAGAGGCAGGATAAAGGGTCAGAGAGTGGGCCCAGAGCTGCTGCCATTTTCAACAGGACGGTCAGGGTAGCCTGCAATGAAAGGTCACATGTGCGTGAGGACTGGAAGGCGGGAGCCCTGCGGGTCTCTAGGGAAGACTTCCTGGCAGAGGGAACAGCTGTGTGAAGGCCCTGAGGCAGAGCGTGCCTCCACAGGAGCCTATCTCCCGTGCAGGTGCCTCTGGCACAAAGTAAACACTCAATAAATGACTATTACTACTGAGATCACTTTTGCTGCTGTGGTCCTGGAAGCATCAGGGCCTTCTGGGCACAGAGCGTGGGCACTAGGGTCCGAACTGTCTCTGGGCCTAGGAGACGACATTCCACCCCATCCTGCACAAGATGACAAGCTCCCTGCTTCATGTTGCCAGCAGCCGAGTCAATATGCCCTCTAGCCGTCTTTCCACAAGACCAACGGCCCCTGCCCCACAGCCTTTACCTGTGTTCTGTCAAAAATCGCTGCACAGAGCCCAGCCTGGATACATACATTCACACCGTGCATGCATGTCACACACACACGCACATGAGTAATGTACTGCACACGCACACACACACACACACGCACCCACACTTACATGGGGGCACCCACACCACATATATGCATGAGCACATATGCACACATGTATGCCATGCATGCAAACGTGCACATGCCACACTTGCACACGCACATGCATGAACACGCACACACAACACACTTGCATGAATGCATGCGTGAACACACATCCTCCCACCTCTTTCTGAGCACCACCTCCAAACATTCCCTTTCTCAGAATCTCCGTGCACACCTCAAGCTGCTCGAATATCCCTGCCTCCAGTCTGTCTCTGCTCCCTGAGCCCTCTAGAGTCTCCCTGCCTAAGAATACGCGAGCATATTGATATTTCATCGTCAACATCGCTTCTGCTTAGAAACACTTCACCCCAGTTCTCATTCATCAGGGCAATCTAAGAAACAAGATATTTTTACCCTTCCTGTTTTAAAGATGAGGGGCCTGAGGGGATGAGAGACCTGATGGAATTGGCCCAGGGACATACGGCAAGCCGGGTCAGGCTGGGATTTGAACCCAGGCCCTGGGGCTCTGCAAAAGTGGCTCAGAAGCTATTTTCAAGCATCCATTGCCCCACCCTGGCCCTGTCCTGGTGCTCCAGTTGTCAGAGCTGCCTGTTCACATGACACTGCCAGCTGGCTACCTCACAGGCAGCTCACACTCAAGTCCCACTCTGACCTCCAGATCTTCTTCTCCTCTGCAACCCCCAGCCCCACTTCCTCAACTCAGCTGACATCCTCATTTCTGGCGGGACACCTGGGAGGGGTTCCCTGCCCATGTCCACATCCTTTCATCAGTAAGTCGATCATCAGCTGCACCCCAAGGCCCTCCTCTTCCCTCCCACTGCTGCTGCAGCGTCCTGACCAGGCCAGTGGCAGTCCCCTCCTGAATGCCGGCACCGGCTGCCAGCCCGTCCCAGGCTTCCCCTCAGGGCTGACATCTCTTCTGCACTCACAGCCCAACCATCTGGCTCTTCTGCCCAAAGCCCTGCTAAGGCCCTTGGGTTCCCAAGATAACGTGGGATCTCCCACGGGAGGCCCGACCACCTTACACCATAGGGTGCCTGCACTCAGTAGGTGCCCAGTGAGGAGTGAAGCTCAGCGCTCCCTCCGACACCCACGTCACACAGTGCCCCAGCCTCTCCACGCGTCACATGCGTCTGTCCCGCCAGCTCTTTCCAACAAGCTCCACGCTGTTCCGAGCACTATTAGGAATGGCAGAGCTGCTGCCCCCTGATGCTGCTAACGACCAGCTCTTCAGTAGTGGGTGTAATCTTGGGCCGGGCCCCTGAGACCCATCAACTGGAGGAAAACGCTCTGCAAAGGAGTTGGTATTCTGCCAAGGAAGGAACCAAGGCTCTGAGGGGTGAAGTGACCAGGAGTGGCAGACCAAGATGCACGGCCAGGTGTGCCTGTGACCGCTGGGCCCAGTCCTCCTGCAGCCTCCCACCTCCCAAACCGTCCACCACCCCATCTCTACTCCCTGAAAGAGCCCTCCATATCTACTTCGTTCTCTCCCCAGTCCCCCTGACACTCATCCCTGCCACACCACAGAAGCCGCCCTCACCAAGGCCACAGTGACCTCCACTCTGCCTGGTGGGGGCTTGGTCCTCAGCCCCTCCCACCCAGCCGCTGGCGGCACCTGACGCAGCTGAGGTGCCCACCTGTCCTGACACAGCATGACCACTTGGCTTCCTGGCCCCCCACTGCCCAGGGGCGCTGCCTCCCTCCTCCTCGGGCCACTGGAGGGCTGGGCCAAGCCTCACGCCTGTCCCTCCTTCCTCTGGCCCCTCTCTAGCCCCACTCACGGCCTCACAGAGGCTTCTTATCTGGGATCCATGGCCCCGTGTTGTGGGTAGAACCATGCTCCAGCATAAATGGCTTCCTCTGTAGCCCTGCGTAGCCTATTTTGTGCCTTTAAACACAAAATTCTGAGGAGTCCATAGGCTTCACTGGCCCCAGAAAAGTCAAGGCCCCTGGGTACCCCTAAGGGTCCCATTGCCCCAAGATGGCCCTCCAGCCTTGAGTATACAGCCCAGCCTCACCCCCGAACACCCGATGTATGCAGTCAGCCCCTGCCTGGCATTGCAAACTCAAACCCCTCCAATCCCCCAATCTTCCCAGATGCTAACACCAAAACCCTGGGCTTCCTTCTCTTTCTTGCACGTCACCCGTCAGCAAGGGGTCTCCATGCCCTAGGTGTGTACGGGACCCATCTCCTGCACTGAGGCCCACGGGGCCTCCACAGGGCTCTACCCCGAGGACGCTGCTCCTGCGCACGCTCCTGTCTCATGAGCAGGAAAAGCCAGTGTCCCAGAGGCTGGCAGCCCCACAGGACTGGCCCCTGCCCCTCTGTGCTCTCCGGGCACAAAGCCACCCAGGACTCGCCACTTGCCGTTCTCTCTTCCTGGCATGAGGTTCCCCCACCTCTCGCAGAGCTTTGAACAAGGTCCCTCGTCCTCGCAGCCTCCCTGACCTCCAGGTACAATGGCAACCCTGCCATGAGGGGCCAGCCCTGCCCGGTTCTAGTGCAAGGCTCTCATTGCTGCCTGAGGCCTGGCTGCTCGTGTCTTCGTGCTTAGGGCCTTCCTCTCTCCCTTACGCAGCTGCCTGAGAGCAGGGCTCTGGAGGGTTTTCACTGCTGCAGCCGTGGCCCCAGCACCTAGAGCGTGTGGCAGAGGTGATTCATCCACCGAGAGCATACTCAACCCGAAACCTCATCTGACCACGTCTCCACAGAGCCCACCTGCCGACCCTTCCACGCAGCCCGAGTCCCCAGGACCATCATCCAGCCCCAGAGGCTCCTGCAGTCCCCAGCCCCAGGCCGCTGCAGCCTCTGGCCCATTAAAGTTGTCCTGCCGGAGAGAAAGGGCGGGCCCTCTCCCAGCCAGGAGGATGACCCTTTCCCATCCTGGAGGGAATTAGGCCTTCAATGCTCAACCAGCACCCGCCGTGTGCCCGGGCTGGCCCTGCACACCTGCAGTGACCTTCACTCTTACTCTGTGCACGGGTGGATGGAGCAGGCGCCTGGGAGGGTGCCAGGGTACACACTCTCCAGACAGCGGTGCTAGCAGGGCAGCCCTGCGGAAGAAGACCCCGGTCCACCTCCCCTACCCACCCACCTCCGCCTGCCCGCCCACCTCCT
This sequence comes from Homo sapiens, assembly GCF_000001405.40. Lineage (NCBI taxonomy): Eukaryota > Metazoa > Chordata > Mammalia > Primates > Hominidae > Homo > Homo sapiens. The sequence continues at coordinate 142,465,081 of NC_000008.11, read as the reverse complement.
CTGTCCGCCCACTTCCCCCATCCGCCCGCCTCCCCTGTCTGCCCGCCTCCCCTGTCTGCCCACCTCCCCTGTCCGAAGGTTTCCCCGCCAGTCACTCACCTGTGGCGCCGTGCCCGCCCCGGTCCTGGGTCAGGCTGGTGAGGCAGTTTTCAGGGCCACCAGCCACCGCATCTCTCAAGCAGACATCCCCGCGGGGGGCCAGGGGTCCCGCGGCAGGGCCGCCCGCCTCGCCGCCCAGGCAGGCGCAGGGGGTCTGCATGATCCCGCAGGGGTGCGAGCTGCGACTACCGGCCAGACACGCGTCCAGCCAGCGGCACAGCATCTGGCAGGCGGCACGGCTGGGGTTGCGGTTCCCCACCACCAGGTACTCCACGGAGAAGTCGTCGGTGGGGCCCGGCGGCCCGGCCCGGGGCCGGAGCCCGTCGTGCTGGGGCGGCTGCTGGCGCCGCATCTGCAGGAACTGCTTGCTGGCCTGCAGGAAGGCCAGGGGTGCGGAGGGGTCGCAGAGCCGCAGCACCTCGTCGAAGCTCTCCACGCCCAGGTAGGTGCGCGTGGACTCGAGGAAGGAGTCGAACTGGTAGGTGCGCACGCGGCCGGGGCCGCTGCAGGGCACGGGCGCCTTGGCCACCTTCATGTAGAGAGTGTAGCGCCGCGGGTCCGGGTTGCGTAGCGTCCAGGAGCAGCGCGAGGCGTTGGCCGGGAACACGGCGGCCGCGGAGAAGTAGCCGAAGAACTTTCCCTGCACCAGCGTGGCGCACGGCTCGGGCCCGGGCCCCGCGTCTGCTCCGGCGGCCGCCCGCGCGCGGCGTCCCAGCAGCAGCAGCAGCAGTAGCAGCGGGGCGAGGATCCAGACGGGGCCCGGGGCGGCGGCCTGGCCCCTCATCCTAGCTCGCGGGGCCGCCGGGGTTCCGCGGGCTGGGCAGGCAGGCGCGGACCAGGTCTTGACATGCCAGGGTCCGGCGGCGGGCAGGGCCGGCCCGGTGGGGGCAGGGAGGCGGGGCAAGGGTGGGATGGGAGAGGGCCCCGCTTCAGGTGACAGAGAGGGCAGCAACGGCTTCTAAAGTCCAGGGCCCTGGTGCCAGCCTGTGGCCACCAGCAGCAGCTGGAAGAGAAAGAGCAGAGGGTCAGAGTGAGCACTTGGGGAGACGTGGGCTCTGGGCATGGGGGTGGGCTCTCTCAGAGGAGGCAGCTTAGCCTGCTACCAACGAGGGCAGGAGGACTTTGGGCCGCAGACACAGGCCCTGGCACCCTCCCAGGCACCTGCTCCGTCCACCTGTCTGTCTGCCACTCACCAATGTGACCACCTGCAGGGGCAGCGGCCCAGCTTGGGGAACAAAGTACCTCCGCCTCCACCCAAGCCTGAGCAGGGAGGGGCTGGCAGTCCACCTGGGGCTTTTGGTGGTACCCCTTTGCCCACGCAGCCTGGCGTGGCTCCCGGGGGCCCTGGCCTGCCTGCCCACTCGCTCACCACGCTCTGCGTGGCTGCCCCTCTGTGAGTGGAGGGTGTAGCTCTCTCAGGCTCTGTCTTTCCTGCTGACCTTGGTCCCTCCTCTCTAACCTTCCTCCTTCCCAGGAAGATTCTGCAAACCCCGTGGGAAGGGAAGTGGGCCCGGAGCACAGGAGAAAGGTTACTCGGGCCATTCCCCAGCCTCCCGTCTGGCCCCCGAGCCCTTTCTAAAGGCTTGGAGAGCAGGAAGGGGGTGCAGAGCCTCAATAGCAATGACTGGATCTTTGGGGTGAGGGGAGTTCAGATTTGGTGCCCCCCCAAGACTGCCCTCTGCAGCCTCCAGCAGCCTGTGCCCAGCTGGTGCTCCTGCCAGGAAGCTCTCTTTCGGCCCTCCCACGTGTGCCCTCGTGCCCTAAAGCTACAGGCACAGGGCCTGGGGAGGGATGGAGGGGGGATGGAGCCACCAGGAGCCACCTCACCTCTGCCCTTCCTCTGCAAGGCTAGCATTACTTCCTATCATTCATGATGGGAAAACTGAGACACAGAGAGAATCCATAATTTACCCGTCACAGTGAGTGGGTCGGAGAACCCATACGTGAGCCCCAGGCTGACCCTAAATTTGTGCCACCAGGAGACACCTCCCAGCTCCAGGAGAGGGCCCAGGTTGAGTGACTGCCCACTCACAGCGCCACGGGTGAGCAGAGGTACAGTGAAGGCCCTGGATCCGGGGCTGCCCTGGGCCCAGCGGGCATCCACCTCGCTGTGGACCTTGGCAAGTTCCTTCTGCCTACAGACCTCAGTCTCCTCACCACCCCCAAGGCCTCTGGCCAGGCCGTCCATCCCACCCAGCAGTTGAGCCTGTGCAGGAGGGAGGGGAGCTGTAGCCAGTCCCCCTCCCCCAGGCCACCCGGCCTCCTGGTGGGGATGCCTCCGCTCTGCTGACCGCACAAATGCCGGTCGCCCGCCCACGGGACTTGCCGCTTCCTGCTGCCCAGGCCCAGCTGGCTGGCAAGACAAGGTCGGTCACTGCTCTGCAGTCCCCTCCTGGCGTCCTTCCTGCACAGCCTTGTAGGCAGAGCAGGGAGCTGGGCCCAGGCAGCCTCGAGGTCTGGCCCCAGCCTGAGCAGAGGCTCTGAGCCCATGGGAGCCAGGAGGCCGGAGGCTGGACTTGGGCTGTGCTCCTGACTGCACAGTGGCCTCGGACACATCTCTCACCACAAAGCCTCGGTTTCTCCATCTGTAAAGTGGGATGGGCACCCCACTGCTCTCAACAAGAGATTAAGAGCTGGGTGGGGGAATTTTAGCCAGGGGGCTGCAGGAAGTGCTTCCAGCAGGGGGAGGAAGCTGGCTGGGGCTTCTGGATCTGGGAACAGACATGGCCCAACCTGGCCCTCTGTGGTCTCATTCCTGGCAAACATTCCGGGCTCCCAAGAGAAAATTTTTTTAGAAAGGGACAAACCTACAAAACAATCTTCCCATCCTGGCGCATTCGTGGCAGACCTGGGAAGATGCTGCCATGTCCCCTGCCTCCTGGAAGCCCTCCTCCAGTCCTGCCCCCAGACACGCTTGGCTGGGTGGGCTTGGACAAGGCATGGAAAAGCCGGGCTGTCCTGGGCGCCCCCTCACCATCTCATGGAGAGGGAGCGGCTGTGGGCAGGTCCCACAGCCAGAAGGCCTCCCCAGCCTCACCTTGCGCTACAGTCCCGGGGTGAGCCCAGTCCTGGCTGAGTGTCGGCAGAGCCTGGCAGAGTGCCAGTCCCACCTGGTGCTGAACCCACGTGGCCTTGACTCCTCCACAGGTCAGCCAGCCTCACTGCCCCATATGCCCCTCCAAGTGCAAAGGAGGCCCCAGGCAATCCTGTTAGCCCTGACCCCGAGTTGGTGTCAGCCCCAGATGCACCACCTTCACCCCAGAGGGACCCGCACAGCTCAAGATGCCAAGGCCCACCTTTCCCCTCCTCATCCCAGGCCCTGGCAGCTCCACCCCATAGCATTCCCAGGGCGGGGCAGGTTCTAGGGGCCTGCGGTGCCAGGAGCAGGCACAGGAGCTGGGGTGTACAAGGACCAGCCTCTGTGGGCCTGCGGCCGGGCACGGAGTCTAGGGCCTCGGTCATCCCACCTGGAAACTGGTACAGCCTGGCAGCCTGGAAGGGGAGCGCAGCCTCATAAGCCCAGCTGGCCACGACGCGGCTGGTGTCCGCAACGCCGTGTGGACTGTGCAGGCCTGGGAGGGGTGTCCCAGGACAGGCTCCAGCTTGGTGAGAAAACACGGAAGAGTCCATCCCAGGTTCACAGGGAGATAGGATGTGTGCCAGGCACTCTGTCACTGAGGCACCCTGTTACAGATCCATTTGACAGATGGGCATGCTGAGGTCCACAGAGGGGCCATGCCTTGGTGGAGGCTCACAGCCGGTACTGGGCACCTGAGCCTGGAATGCAGCTCAGGCCTGCGGGTCACCGCCCATGCTCTCTGCACAGCACGGCCCAGCATGGCCCCAGAGCAGGTGGACGAGGGCCTACCCCTGCCACTGTCCCCGGGCCCTTGAGAGCTGAGCCGAGTGGAGACCTCCTGGCATCCCCTAGGGCCCTGGTATCACCGGTCGCCCCTCATTGTCACCAGCTGACTCCACGCCTTGAACCCTCTTAGGGTATGAGGCCCACCCTGTAGGCAAGAGGTGGCAGAGGGGATCAGAAGCAGCCAGTGCCCCTATCAGAACCGCCCCTTAGAAGGGCCACCCTGGCAGTGCTGGGGTCACCCTGGGGTGATGGCGAGGGAGTGGCATGAGGGCCAGGAGTGGCCATGGGGAAGGAGAGTGCTCAGGAGGTGGAAGGGGGAGGCCCCAGGACCAGCCAGGCATGGAAGGTGCACACGGCCCACTTCTGGCCTGGAGAGGGAGGAGGGAGGAGGTACCTTCAGGGAGGAGGGGCTAAGGGCCAGGCAGCGCAACTGCCCAGTGCCCTGGCAGGGACCTGGGGCCTCGGCAGACTGTCTTGGGGCCAGGAGATGGCCCAGAAGTGTCCATCCCTGGGATTCTTAAACCTTGAAGCCCTGGGGTTCCACAGGAGGGACCACAGGGGCCATCAGCAAGTCAGGGGGGTGTGGGGAGAGAGGGCTCAGGTTACTTCCCGGCTCCCCAGCATCCCCTAGAACATCTCGGACTGAGCTGCTCCCCGCCCAGGCCTTGGGAGAGGCCATATTGGCCGGAAGGCCGGCCCAGCTGATATGAATTTGAGACCCACAGAACTGGCCCAAACCTGCCTTTTCTGGATGGGCCACTGGGCAATGCTGGGCAGGAGCCCAGGCCGTTGTCTTGGCTGATGGCCCCTGAGCCTGCCAGTGGGCACGGGCCTCCCCACCTGCCACACTCACCCCCTGCCCTGCCCCCAGCAGACCCACCCATCCCTGAGCCAGCCGAGGTCTCCTGCACCCCACCTGCCCGCCACCCTCCAACGGGGCCACCCCGGAGCCTTCTCACACCAAGGCAGGCCCAGGCGGGCAGAGAGCTGGCCAAGGCCGGGGGTGACCAGGGACCATCTCTTCAGGCTCCTGTCCCCCCCACGCCAGGCCCGAGCCGGGCACTGCAGCCCAGGTCACATGGCTGCAGTGTTGGCCGACAGTCTAGCTGAGATGGGGTGGGGCGTGCAGGGGAGACTCCTGATCCCTCCTGGCACCCAGGGTGGCATCCAGGAGGCGTCAGCGCCTGAGTGGGGCCCTGAGGATGAGTGGGTCCCTCTGCCTGCTGGGGGCAGGGGCGGGCCTGTGTAGTGTCTGGGCCAGGAGGAAGGTCAATGTGGACAGGGTCACAGGAGACTTCCAGAGAGCAAATGGGGGAGGGGCTGGTGGCCTCTGCTGAGATGTGGAAGGGGAGAAGCAGATGTGTGTCAATGTGTGCACAAATGCATGTGTGCATACGTGTGTGCCTGTGTGTGCCCGTGCATATGTGTGTGCATGTGTTCCTGTGTGCCTGTGAGTGTGCATATGTGAGCATGAACACACACATGCGGCACATTTGTACAAGGCCACGTGGCTGTGGGACAGCCTGGGCTTCGTGCTGTACTTGCTGGGATGTGAGGGCAGCGGGGACAGAGACGGGGCTGGGAGAGGAGGGTGTGCCCCAGAGGGTGCATTTAGCCAGAACCACACACAGTCACGGCCTTGGAGAAAGGGGTCCAGGCCTGAGCCAACAATGGCTCCACCCTGGGGCAGCTGCTGTGGTATCTGCACAGCTGTACCTCTGGCCTCGGCTCCCCTGGGCTGGCTCACCCTCCTCCCCTCGGCCACACCAGCTCCCAGGTCCCCTCGGTTGGGAGGATCCCCTGGGTTGGGAGGATCCCCTGGGAGCCCCGGGGGTTGGACCTGGCCCTGGTCCCTCAAAATCCATGCTCCGTGCTTCTCCGTCAGATGCCTTGATTTCCCCAGCAGGCTTTTCCAGCCTCATCCTCCAAAGGCGTGTTCCATGCAGCAGTCAGGGACCCTGAAGGTTGAGGCCGGGCTGACCCCTGAGCCCACCCCATGCCAGGCCTCCACTATGAGGACAGAAAGCTCCGGGCATCCCGGCAACAGGTGACAGGGTGGGAGAGGCTCATGGGTTGCCCCCATTGCTGGGGGACCAGTGTGGGCGCTGGCCACTCCTGTCTTTAAGTGTTACAGTTTAATGGCAAAACTGTCACCAACTCTCTTGCAGAGAAGTGGGCGATTGTCTTGGTCCCCGAACCACAGGCCACTTCTCTGGTCATTGGTTTCCATATCTCGACCTGGATAACAGCAGCTCCCGTTACCCACTGCCCCTCAGCTTCCCAAGGACAGTGACCAATTACCAGCAAAGCCCTCACAGGTTCCTGCCTTTCTCATCACCTTCTCCAGGGTCAAACTGCCCTTGTGGTCAGGAAGTTCTTTCTGGTGTCTAGCCCCCATCCCTTCTGCTGCAGAGGAGGCTGGCCAGCTTCTGCGAGGTGGCCTCAGGGAGGGCGGGGGGTGCCACTGGTCTCTGGGCAGAGGTGACAGGGTGAGGGCCTGGGCTGGCAGACAGGGGACCCAGAGAGGTGGGGCAGCAGGAGCTAGCCACGCTGGGCCGGGAAGCAGAGTTGGGAGCCACAGCGTGGGGAAGAGGGCACCAACGTTCACTACACACTGACCGCAGGCCAGCAACGGGCCTGAGATGATATACGAACCCCTCCTTCAATCTCACAGCTTCTGCATGAGGTGGGCAAGGCAGTAACCCCCATCACAGACACCCTCAGACGAGAGGCACTGCACCCGCCTCCCGCCGCCATCCTGGGCCTGTGCAGACTGCACACACGCACCCCACCCTGCCACCAGGCCTGGGTTCCAATCACACCCTGCACCTCGGTTTCCCCACCATCCAACCAGGGGCAGTGGATGCTGTCCAAGGCCCTTCTCTCAGGGGCACTGGGGCTCCTCCATGAGGCTCGGCACCCCATGCCCGCTCTGGGTCCAGTCCACACTGGACAGACCCGACCCTGGGCCCAGGCCTCCTGCGTCCCCTCCCCGCCCACCCTAGGCCACCAATGGCATCCCCAGACACCAGCCACAAAAGGCACTCTGTTGTCCTGCCGGCCCTCTGAACAGTGCCCGCCTGTGTGTCCTGAGAAAAGACTGCACGGGGGGAGGGGCGGGGTGGGCGCCCTCGGCACTGACTGCCCAGGGGGCTGGGAGGCAGACGGCTGGCCTTCCCCGCTCAGGGTGCCCACGGCCCCCATTCAAGCGGCCTGGTACCGGAAGCAGAGGCAGCACGGTCCCCCACCTGTGAGGTCCTGGCAGGGCCCCTGACATGGGCCCAGGACAACTTATTTGCGTGTCTCAGGGGTTCAGAGCCATAAGAAGTGGGCCAGAGAGTCAGGCACTAGCCAAGTCGAGGAGGGGGTGCCGAGATAGCCTCCCCCCGACAGGGTGACCCCCAGATGCCACCTGTCCTACCCCAGCTTGTGCCAACCACACCCCCACTGGTCAACCTGCAGGGTAGCTAGGCCTGCCCGTAGAGAGCCCAGGTCACGTGCCACCCACAGCAGAGGCAGGCCCGGAAGCCTCTCTTAAGGGTGGGCAGGGCTGCCAGCAGGGTCGGACCCCCTGGGGGTGCGCCCCCAAGGGTGTGGGAGCCCACCATGTTCACAGAGCCTGCCAGGCCCAGCCCCACCCAGCTGCCTGGGCACAGGGGTGCCCAAAGAATCTGGCCAGAGCTGCTGGCGGGGAGAGAAAGACCCTTCTTACAGAGACCACTGTGGGGCTGAGGCAGAAGGGGCCCTGTCCTGTGCCAAGCTCCGCTCTGGCCAGCCCCATGCTCTGCCCTGGCACACAGACCTTCATCTGACCCCCCACCTGCAGAAGGCAAGGTGATCACAGCCTGCAGTTCCCCAGACGTGGATACAGGCCCAGAGGGACCGACCGGCTCCTAGTGACTCCAGGGGAAGATAGGAGCTGTGTTACCCCTCATCTTACCCAACTGTCCCAGACCACCTTGGCCCAGCGTCAGAGGCCAGCTTTCCAACGGCCCTCAGGTTCCGGGCCTCACTGCATCTCCCGTAGTCTAGGGCTCATCACCCCAAGCCACCTGCAGGCCCTAAAGATGCTCCCCGTGCTGAAGCTCCTCTGTCCCCGCCCTGCTGCACTGAGGTTCCAGGCACACCCCGGGGCCGGTCTGAGGCCAGAGTGAGGAGGGCTACCTTGCCTAGAAGTTGCCCTCGAAGGCAGGGCTGCCCACCAGGCTGGTGAGCCCCTAGCAACAGTATGGGGACCTGAGGAGGAGGCTGCACTCAGCCTGGACTCCAAAGTGGCTGGTCTCCTGGCTCGAGGACCCCTGAGAGGAGGCTGTATCCCGGGAGCAGGCCCCAACCCAGGCCTCCACCCCACCACGGCGGGCAGGCCGCGGTGTTATGGTTATGTGGCAGTGGGGAGGAACAGCTGCAGCCAGGGCCCAGCATTTGGGAGGAGCGAGACCGAGGGAGAGAGTAGGTGTGTCCAGTAGGTGAGCAGCCTCGGTGCAAGGAGGGGCTAGAGGATGCATCTGTGGCCGTGTGTGCTGCACATATGTGTGCGTGTGTGCGTGTGGTGAGTGCAGGTGAAAGCTGTGCAGGTGTGAGTGGTGTGTGTGTGTGAGCGAGTGGGGAACAGAATGTGCGTGTTCCAGCTGAGTCGCACACGTGAGTGTGCACGTGGCATGTGTGCTTCGGGGGGGTGAGGAAGTGTGTGCACGTGCAGGGTGTGTGCATGCTCCTTTTGTGAGTTATTACAAGTGTGTGTGCACACTGTTCAAGGGCTGTGTGCACATGCGTGTGTGCAGGTGTATGTGAGCAAGTGTGTGCGCACAGAGTGAGTTGCCAGCATTGGGTCTGCACACGTCTTTCAGGTGTGCGAGGGGCAAGGCGGGTCTATGTGTGCATGTGGGCGCGCTGTGGTGGAGAGGAAGGCTTTCTGGAGGAGCTGCCCGTGAGATCTGGAATGGGCACAGGGACAGGCTCTCTGGGGCTGGGGAACAGGGAGGGGGTGCAGAGTGCAGGGGCCCTTCTCCTCCTCCCTGAATCGCATTCCTTTTCCCCGGGGCTCTGAAATCCCATTGAAATGCGTTCCTCTGGGGTGGCCATTACCCCCGAGCTGGAACTGGGGCCTCACCAAGACTTGCCTGGACAGCCCTACCCTCCCTGGCACTACACAGGCGCTACCCTGGACGCTCTGGCACTCTCCGGGACAGGCAGGTAGGGCCACCCACCCTCCTGTCACAGAGATGCCAACTTAGCCTCAGAGAGGTGCTGGCCCAAAGACCAACCGTGTGCCCCCAGGGCCCGGTGGTCGGGGGTGGGGTGTGGGCTTTGGAAGCCTCCTTCCCCGCCTTGCACCCAGGCCAGTGCCCAGCCAGCACCATCTTCTCAGCCTCCTGGCCGCTCCTCTGCGTTTCTTACTTCAAAGACCCCTCAACCACATGTCTCAGTCAAGAGTCAGCACCCCCAAAACTGGCCCACAGCTGAGTGAGGAGTGGGGGACAGGCACCAGGACACAGGTTCTGTCTCATCTCAAGGTCCACCCCAGTCTCTGAGCTCCCAGTAATCCCTGGGTCCTCCTGACCTCAGCTGTGCTGGGCCGGGACAGCCCAGTTGCCTGGTGGGCTGCAGGGGACCAGCCTGCCGCATGCTCCTCTCCCAGGAAGGCAAGTGGTTGGGGGCCTGACAGCGAAGCTGCAGAGAGGACTTCTGTCGTGCCCTTCCCCTGACCAAGCCCCAGAGAGGGATGCCCGAGAGAACAGAACGCCACAAGCAGGAGGACAGCCATGGGGGCGAGTGAAGGGGACAGGAGCCTAAGGTGGGGGCCAAGGTGACAGCGATCATGCTGAGGGAGGTGGCTGTGAGGGGTGTCCAGGTGCTGCTGAGGCGAGTGGGAGTGATGGGGGGAAGGTGTTTGTTGGCTTTGGTGTTGGGGATGGAGGTGGGGTCAGATAGGAATGATGGTGCAGTGTGGTGCCGGCGGCAGGGTGCGGCTGAGGTAGCCTCGGGGGCAATGGTGGTGGGGGTGATGGGGTGGGGTGAGATGGTAGGGGGGCAGTGAGGGTGCTGGTGTCAAATATGAGGGTGCTGCGGCTGGCGATGAGCAGGACAGGGGACAGAAGGGGTGGGTGTGTGCATGTTTGTGTTTGTGAAACCCATGCAGGGAAGGAGGGAGGAGGGGCAGAGGTCTCCACCGGTCCCTCCAGGCAGGGTAGCCCCGAACAAGAGCCTGTAACGGGGTAGCAGAAGGCAAGAGGACCAGGGCTCTGTGGAGGAAGGAGGCTAGTCCTTTGGTACTGATCCTATTTTTTGTTGCTTCCTCAATTAACAGAAATGAGTTAGTATGAAAAAAGAAGAGAGGGAGGGTGGGGCAGGAGTGGAGACGTCCGGAGCCGCCTCCTCAGTGGCATGTGCTTTGCGGGGGAAGGGGGATCCTCACCTTAACCCCGAGGAGTGGAGCACAGATGAGGAAAGGAGGCGCTGGGGCCTGATGAAGGTCACAGAGCAGAACGCAGGGCCAGCACCCCCTGGGTCCCACTGCCAGTCTCTGCCTGCGGGGGCCTCCCTGCCCCATCCCTGGACATGAACATCCAGGCTGTGTCTTCTGGATCGTGCGGTCTGTAGGTCTGAACCTCCGCTCCTTCCCCTCTGCGTGTGTAGACAGGCACACATCGCGGGGCGGGGGTGCCGTGTGCACCCGTGTGCACCTCACGGTGTGCTCGTGCTGACCCATGTCCTCGTGAGCCCACAATGGGACACAGGTTTTCGGGCCGTGGCACCCTGGTGTTCCGTGTTTCTTGCCTTTGTGGGGACACGCGTGCCTGCTCTGGGTGTCTGCCTGCACCTCACACCGGGGTGTGTGTTGGTTTTGGGTGGCGTCGGGGCTGGCTGCCGCCCGCCCACTGTGATGAATGTGGCCTGCGTCTTGTGCAGTGCAGCTGTGGGCGTGGCAGCGGCACTCAACAGGCTGTGCACTCAGCCTCCTGACGCGCCCTATGACCTGGCGGCCCATGGGGCGCCCCATCTCTTTGGCATCCCCATCAGGCCAAGCCACCAACCCTGTTCGAGACCCTCCTATGGCTCCTGACAGCAGCTCCCAGAACATGGGCCAAGACCTTCAGGGCTCAGGTCTGGTCCGGACCCCTCTGCAGCCCCTGTCCTGCCTCCCACCTTCCTCTCCAGCTCTGGTCTATTTCTCACACCCGCACAATGCCCTGCCCCAGGGCCTTTGCACTGCCGGCTCTTCCTTCTGCCCGGACCTCTGACCCCTTCATCACCCACCCACCTGCCCTTCCGTGGGACACCTCCTGGGTAAGCCCCACTTCTAGGCCTCTGTAGGTTGCCTTCTTGCACTCCCCAGAGCCTCCTTGGCAGAGCTGGTCAGGGGCTTTTTCCTGCATATTCCCGCAGCCTTAGTGCTTGGGGTGGGGGATTGCACAGGACCACGCCCTCCCCCTTGCCCCCTGCCCCCTGCCCTGCTCCCAGTTCGAGGGTGTTCACATGGGCACCCACGCGTCTAGTGAGTGCCACTTCCTCTGTGTGCACGCCGGCTGTCTACAGGGGGATCCCAGGCCTGTGCGTGTTTACCCAGAAGTCACAGCTCTGCCGATGGCGCAGCTGCAGCCAGGGAGGCCGGAGGCTTCCAGAGGACAAAGGGAGGGCGTGGGCTCGCGGGCCCGGAGGGGTTAACAATACCCTCCTGGTTCGGGGTCTTTGCTGAGGGTCAGGTGTTGGAGTTTTCCTCCCAGGGGTCCATCCCGTGCACACAGAGCAGACCCGGGGGCAGCCCAGAGCCAGAGCCGACGGTAAAACGGGGTTTGACTAAATCCTGCCATCCGGGGCCACACCGGCGCGAGACCCGCCCCCGTCACGCACACACATGTGCAAGTCTGCATGCCTGCACACACGTGCCCCCAGCCTCCCGGACGGGCACGCACGTGCATGCGCGCCACACATGGACACCAGCACGCAAACGCGCGCTCACGCCAGCGCACCGCACACGGGGACCGGGCCGGGCCGGCGAGGGGGGCTCCGGCCGAGACGCGAGGCGCGTCACGGGACCCGGCGGCGGGAGCGGACGGCGAGCGAGCGAGCGAGCGGGCGGGCGGGCGGGCGGGAGGGAGGTGGCGGCCGGGGCTGCCCAAGATGGGGCCGGAGCCGCGGGCCAGGCGCGGAGGAGACGGAAGGGGCGGGCAGGGCCGCGCGGGCGCGGTGCGGGCGCCCTCTCCCGGCAGTCAGCGGCAGCGCGCCGGCCCTCCGCCTTCCGCCACTGCGGCCCCGCGCCGGCCGCCTGGGCCTGGAGCCCCGCGGCGTCCCCGGAGGACGGGCTCCGCGCCCCACGACCCACTCCCGGAGGCGGGGTCGGGCCGACCGGGGGCGGAGGACGCCGCAGGAGGCTGCTCGGACCCCGGGCGCTTGCTAGGCCCTCCCTGGGGCCCTTCATGCCAGGCCCCGCGGCTGTGTCCGCAAGCGCAGATGGTCTCGGGACTCGGGCCACCCTGACGCCGCAGACCCAGCACGCTGCGGACCGGGCACGTTGGATCTCGGGACAAGTGCGGAGGGTCGGGGGCTGGAAGGGATCCGAGAGCAGAGCCCGCGTCCCCATTTCACGGACGCGGCCACCGAGGTCCGAGAGGGGCCGGAGCCTGCGGGAGAGGGAAGGGCCTCCGAGGGCTCCACAACTTGGCTGCGCCCCCTCCCTAGCCCGGGATCCGGATGAGTGCTGCCTGAGGCCGAGGCGACGAATCGCCCTCTATCCGCCCCTGCGCGGGACCCCGGCAGGAACAAGCGCCCGTCCCTGGGATCGGAGGCGGCAAACCCCAGGCTCGAGCCCCCCAGCGCAGCGCCCACCCGCGGAGCCGCGCGCCTCTCTGGCGCATCCCTGGGCTTCGCGGCTCGGCCCTCAGCCGCCGGGTCTCCCGGGCCAGCCTTCTGCCCCCCAGATCGAGGCGCAACAAGTCTGAAAGCAGCGCCAAGGAGCAGCTAGCGAGCCGAAGGGAGGGCGTGGGGCGCCGGGCGCTCCGGGATCCCCGAACGCGCGCAACGTCCGCCTCCGGGGACCGGGCGCGGGCGGCAGGCGAGCGGGACTGACTCGGCGGGCTGCGCACACCCCCTTCCAAGGCCCCGACTGTGCGCGGACGGGGGCGCGCCCAGGAACCCCCGCCCCCTCCTTCGCCTGCTTGACCTTGCTGGGTACTCAAAGCCGGACTCGGCGGCACCCCGGCGTGCGGGCGCAGAGTTTCGCTGCCGCCCACGGGAGGGAGCGGCTCGACCTCCCTCGTTGCCTCCTCGGCAGCCGGGGTCGCAGACGAGTGGAAGGCATGAGGGTTCTAGGAGACGTGACAGTCGCCTCCCCAGACCCCACACACCGTATACCACCTCCCTCCCAGATAGAAAAGGGACCCAGCTCCCCTTTCCCCCGCCTCCGCCCGCGCGGCCTCTGCTGTTCCCCCGCGGCGGCTCTCGCTCCGAGGGGGCGTGTGTTTGTGTCTGTGGGGAGAGTACCGAGGGTCTCCGTGGGTTCCCAGGATGGAGCGGGAGAGCAGACCTCCCAGCTCCCTCCCCAACACAAACGACAAGCGGCTCCTCTGGGGCGGGAGTGCAGGCCCCCTACCCGCCCACACGCCTTCCTGCCTTTCAACTACTCCGGAGTTGCAGCCCAGGAATCTGCGCCCCAGACCCGGAGGAAGAACGGGGAGGTCGCGGCGGGGACGGGTGCTGAAAGAGGGCTGGCTTAGGGCTCTTCGGGTCCCAGCCTAGGCGCCTGCGCTCCAAGAAACTTAGAAGCCCAAAATAAAAGTGGAAAGGGGTAAGGTGCCCAGCGGCCTGGGGCTGGGGTGCCAGATTAGGCGTTCTCTTCAGGCTGCCGGGGAGTGGCCAAGCAGGAGCCGCCGCGGCCAGGAGGAGGGACGCGGGCTCGGAGCCGCAGCCTCCGTCAAGCCCTCCCGGTCGCATCGCTTCGCGGTGATTCTCAGCTCCGCCGCCCCCTCCCGAGGCCGGAGGAGCTCTCTACCTCGCCCAGGGGGCCGCGGGGACCTAGGGAGAGGGCTCCTGGCCGGGTCCAGAGCTCCCAGCCTCCCCAGGAGGGGGCGGGGGCCGTGCTCGTTCCTCGAGGCAGCTCCGCGCGGCTCCAAGCTAGCGCGGCGACGGTGGAGGGCCGGCGGCCTCTGCTCACCGGCGACGCGGACCCGGGAGTGCTCGGCGCCCGGGAGTGCTCGGCGCTTGGAGCGGAGACGGCATAGGGCCGGCCCAAAGTTGAGAGCGGCTTATCCGCGCGGCCTGTCCGACCCAGTGGAAAGGTAGACAAGGAGGGAAGAGCCAGGCGTTCGCGTGGGGGTGGGGGGCGCAAAAATAGCCCTCCGCCCGAAGTGGGGGAGAGTACCTCCAGGGAGTCTCCACTGCCAATGCCAGGTCTACAGGCGAGGGCTTCTACGAGCGAGGGCTTCGAGAAGGAGTCTGGGGTTTTCTCCTGCCTGCCCCGAGCTCTGTGCGTGGGGGGAGGACGTCTCGGGCCCTTACAATGTCTGTAGGGGGCCCTGGACGTGATTAGCAGGAGGGGGACACGCTCGGGGGCTCTCCGGAGCCTGCTGCGTCTATGTGTGGCTGTTGGGGGCCATGGGGGGCTCCCTTAGACCCCCGCCAGCGTCTGTGTGTGCTGGGGGTACAGCGGGAACGCCCTCCCCAGCCTGCCCTGTGCATGTGATGAAGAGGGGTGCCAGGCTGTGGTGTGTGGATGGGGAGGAGGCGGCGGCGCCGAGGAGCCTCTCCTGCGTCCAGGGTCGCCCCCTCCTCAGCCTGCCCAATGCGGGCTCGCGGGGACCTGCCACATTCCATCGCCACCGCTGGAGAAGGCAGGGGGCTGAGGGGGTAGGGGGTGGGGGTCCAAACTCCTGAGCTCTGAGCGCAAAACCTCGGAGCTGCGAAGCCCCAAACGGCGAAGTTAGGAAGTCTGGGCGCCCGCCCCTCCCCCGACCCCCTCCCACCCTCGCTGCGCCCCCACCCGCCGCGCCCCCAGCCCCCCGCCGGAGCCTTCCTTACCTTCCCCAGCAGCAGCGGCCCCGCCGGCGAGGACTCGATCCGGCGAGTTGCAAATCCCCGCGAGCGCCTCGCGTCGCCGGCGGCTGAGCCGGGCGCCCGACCGGAGGTGGGGGGGGCTCCTCCAGCCGCCGCCGCCCCCGGCCCGCTCTGGGCCTCGCCGGGACGCCCCCTGGAGAGCACCCGCCGGCGCACGCAGGCCCCCTCCCGTTCCCCCGCGCCTGCTGGAGCCCCCCGGGCGCCCGGAGGGTCCGGATGCCCGCGCTGCGGACGATGCTGGCGCGCGGGCCCGGGCCGGGCCAGGACGCGGCGCGGCCGCCTGTGCTCCCGGCTCTCCGGCTCCGCGCTCGCTCCGCCGGGGCCGCCGCCAACGCCGCGCCCGCCGCCGCCGCCTGCGCCCGCCGCTCCCTCTCCGGCCGCCGCCGCCGCTCCGCTCCTCTCGCCTGCCCGGCTCTTCTCGCCTTTTTTCCCCTTCCTGGCGAGGGGGGGGGGGGGGCGAGCCAAGCCGAGCCGGGGGCGGGGCGGCGCGGGGAGGAGGAGGAGGCCGAGGACGAGGAGAAGGAGGAGGAGAGAGGCGAGAGCTGCTTCCCCCCACCCGGCTGCCGGCGCTCCCCAATCTCTCGCTCTCTGAAACTGGATCCCGAATCGGGAGCCAGAGACTGCATTACGGATTACATCAGGCTTTATAGAGCTTCCAGATCACACATTAGAGGGGGAGCGCTAGCGGGGGGCGGGGGTGTGGGGGGAGGGGAGCGAGATAAGGGGGGGCGGATAAAATGCACACACGCGCGCACACCTAGGAGAGCCCGGTGCCTGCCCCGCGCAGCAGAGAAGCCAAGAGTTGGGTTCCTGCTCTCGGCCTTCTCCAGGAGCAGGGGAGTGGCCCCACTGGCTGGCTGGATGATGGATGGTGGACGGCAGGACGGACACACAGATGAATGGAGGGAAGGAAGTGAGGGGTTGTGCCTAGGCAATGCAGGTGCGTGGGTGGATGGACGGTGGACGGATGGATGAGTTGGTGGGTGTAGATGGAAGTGGGGTGGACGGATGGATGGACGGATGACTGGAGAGCTGGCGGGAGGACGATGGGGATTGAGGGAAGAGATGGGTGAGGATGGATTGAGGGAAGAGATGGGTGAGGATGGACGGGATAGGTGGGTAAGTGGATGGGCAGCACCCAGTGGAGGTCTGCTTGGCTGAAGGCTGTGCAGGTGCAAGGACCAGGCATGGATGGGGGTGAGAGCGGGCTGAGTGGGGGATGGGCAGGAGAGAGAGTGGAGGCATAGACTCCTGACCCCATCCAAGAGGGTCAGAGAGTGGGGGCTGGGCGGGGACTGGGTAGGGCCAGTTGAACTGCTCGGGGGGGCTTGTCCAGTTCTTCCTCATGGACCCTGTGCTGAGAGATGTTGAGGGGAGTGGCTGGGGAAAGAGCCAGGAGATGGATTTGAAGGTGAGGTCGAACCCACCACTGACCCTGGGTGGCTGTCCCCAGGCACTTCCTCCCATTGTCACCATCCGCCCTCCTTTGACTTGATGACATGGGGGACCTCCCAGCCCCATATTCAGGTTTCGTTCTTCATCAGCTGATGGAGATGGCCGCTTCGGCTGCCTTGGATCATCCACGGCCCCTCTTCTGCTTCCAGGACCGCTGGACAGGTACCCAGAGGGAGCCTTCCCAGAAGGAAGGACCTTGGAGAAGTGACTGCGGGATCCTTCTCCACCAAGATGCTTCTGCCTCAACCCTTTTCTCCTAGCTCTCAACGTGTGGTCCACTCTGAGTGCAAGTCCCCTTGTGTGGATGTCCAGCACTCTGCACACTGAAGCATCTCAGCAGGTCACGCTGCTGCTGCTTCCCAGGCCCACCGTCGGCCTGGCTGCTTCTGTCAGCCCATCAGCCAGTCTCCACTGGGTACCACCACTGCCACCACCAACACGAATTCACAAGGACCACCACCACCCCTACCTGAATGTCAGCACCCACCCCACCCTGTCCTCCCATGGCCCTCAACGGCAGTCACCACCGTCAACACAGGTCACCAGGAGACGAGGGAACTCAAGCCCACCGAGCCCCTGGGCATGGCGCACAGCTCGCCGGACACTGTTGTGTCCATATCAGTCCCCTCCTCAAGGCTGATCTGTGGCCAAGGCTCCTAGGGGTGTCCACAGGGACTGTGAGAAGTTGCCCAGAGACACAGGCCACAGGGCAGCCAGGAAAGGGCGGGGGCAGTCCGCTTCCCGGTCCAACCTCTTGGGCAGTGTCACACCTCCTTCCTCCTGGGGGAAAGGCCTTCTTCTCCAAGGCTTTGACAGGATTGTTGACAAAAGGGCAGGGTGCCCGGGCTGCCTCTGAGGATCCCCTGCGGAGCGGCACCCCCTCCTCCCAGTCCTGGCGGCGATGCCCTGCCGTCTCCTCGCTGCACCAGCAGTCATGGCCACCAGGGGGCGGCTGATGTCAGGCCAGGAGGCCAGCAGCTCTGAGTCAGGACTCAGCCTTCCTCCTTGGAGCCCGGAGGGTGGCAGCGATCCCGGTGCCTCCACTGGGGAATCCAGCCCCAGGTTCTCAGGGCTGGGGCCTTCTCCAATGCGGCCATCCAGGGTGATGCGGTCTCCCGTCTGGGCCCAGCTTCTCGGCAGGGCCTTTCCTCTCCCAGCATGGGGCCTTCTCTGCTTCCCTCCCCAACTCGCCCCTTTTAGAAAATCGCCCTCTCAGCCCAGCTCCTGATCCAGGAATCAGAGGGTTCCACCTCCCACCCCCGGCCCAGCCCTCAGCCCCTCCCCAGGGAGGGAGAAGGTCAGGCGTAAGGAGTTCTGCCCACCGAGACCAGCTCCCAGCAGGGCGCCCGGAAGCAGTCCCGCTCACCCCACCTCAGCCCCGTCTCCCTGTTGGCACGTGTGTGTCTGAATGGCTTTGAAGGTATCTTCCAGCCTAGACACTCCGGGATTCTAGAACCTAAACCGGCGACTGGCTTTCAGGAGGCTTGCCTCAGTGTGCACCCTGAACTCCCTTCCCCTCACCTGCTCACCCCCCTCCCTGCCTGCCACTGCATGTCTCACGCCCAGATCGGCTTCCTTTCAGGGTCCTGTCCACAGCCTGAAGAACCCAGGGTGGGCCCAGCACTGGGAGGCTGGAATTGACGGTCCCTGCTGGGGACCACACCCAGCTGGATGCTGGGCCCTAGAACCTCCTCGCGCAGCCCAGAGGGATTGTAACCCATGGTATCTTCTCAGTGTTCTCCATAGCCACAAAATGATCCCTGGCCACAGCCACTCAGCTGTGACCCTGCCCCCGACATTGGAATCAATGACCACTGACCTTGGTCACACGCTGAACCTTGATCCTGGTCACACACTGAGCTTGGTCACATGCTGAACCCTGATCCTGGTCACACACTGAGTTTGGTCACACGCTGAGCCCTGATCCTGGTCACACACTGAGTTTGGTCACACGCTGAACCCTGATCCTGGTCACACACTGAGCTTGGTCACACGCTGAACCCTGATCCTGGTCGTACACTGAGCTTAGTCACATGCTGAACCCTGATCCTGGTCACACACTGAGCTTGGTCACACGCTGAGCCCTGATCCTGGTCACACACTGAGCTTAGTCACATGCTGAGCCCTGATCCTGGTCGTACACTGAGCTTGGTCACACGCTGAGCCTTGATCCTGGTCACACACTGAGCTTGGTCACACGCTGAGCCCTGATCCTGGTCACACACTGAGCTTAGTCACATGCTGAGCCCTGATCCTGGTCGTACACTGAGCTTGGTCACACGCTGAACCCTGATCCTGGTCACACACTGAGCTGGGTCACACGCTGAGCCCTGATCCTGGTCACACACTGAGCTTGGTCACATGCTGAGCCCTGATCCTTGTCATACACTGAGTTTGGTGACATGCTGAGCCCTGATCCTGGTCACACACTGAGCTCTGGTCACACGCTGAACCCTGATCCTGGTCACACACTGAACTCAGTCACATGCTGAGCCCTGATCCTGGTCACACACTGAGCTTAGTCACATGCTGAGCCCTGATCCTGGTCGTACACTGAGCTTGGTCACATACTGAGCCCTGATCCTGGTCACACACTGAGCTTAGTCACATGCTGAGCCCTGATCCTGGTCATACACTGAGCTTGGTGACATGCTGAGCCCTGATCCTGGTCGTACACTGAGCTTGGTCACACGCTGAGCCCTGATCCTGCTCACACACTGAGCTTGGTCACATACTGAGCCCTGATCCTGGTCACACACTGAGCTTGGTCACATGCTGAGCCCTGATCCTGGTCATACACTGAGCTTGGTGACATGCTGAGCCCTGATCCTGGTCGTACACTGAGCTTGGTCACATGCTGAGCCCTGATCCTGGTCACACACTGAGCTCTGGTCACACGCTGAGCCCTGATCCTGGTCGTATACTGAGCCTGGTCACACGCCGAGCCCTGATCCTGGTCGTACACTGAGCTTGGTCACACGCTGAGCCCTGATCCTGGTCACACACTGAGCTCTGGCCACACACGAGCTTCCATCCTGGTACAGAGTGAGCCCTGATCCCATGGCCGCTTTACACATCCAGAGCTTTGG
This sequence comes from Homo sapiens, assembly GCF_000001405.40. NCBI lineage: Eukaryota > Metazoa > Chordata > Mammalia > Primates > Hominidae > Homo > Homo sapiens. The sequence goes on along the minus strand of NC_000008.11, from coordinate 142,445,524 downwards.
TCCCAAGGCTAAGTGTAGACTAAGGCGTCCCTGATTGATGGGAAACAGAAAGGGGGGTATGAGGCCTCAGAGTGGAGCAGCAGGAAGTGTGCCTCAAAGTCCTGTATGTCCAGCCATTTTCACATAGGACTGTCCCATCCTCAGGGAGGGGGGTGTTTGTTTGAGGCCACAGGGCAGCCAGGGCAGTCTACAACCCAGCTCCGTGACTCCCGTTTCATGGTCCCCCAGAGCTGTCTGCAGGGACCCCCAGGGCAGAATGAGGGCACTTTGTATCAGCCAGTGCTTCCTAGGGCTGAGGTCGCATGGGGGCGCAGGAGGAAGGGGACCCCTGGTCCTCTCGAGGTACTCAATGGACTTTGCCAGCCACAGGCTGAAGGGCCTCTGTGTGGGGGTGACCAGAATGGCGAGTACTTAGGGGATTCACATGCAGAGGAGTTAACTGTGGACGCAGCAAGTCTAGGTTAGCCTCCCAGTCAGGACCCTTGGAGCCCCTGCCTACCGCCATACAGGACCCGAGGCCTTGCCCTTGCCCAGCCTGTCCTGGTGCATCCTGGCCCCCCTCCCACCCCCAGCTCAGCCTGAAGGTGCCCCAAACTGTGCAGATGTTGAGGAAGGATGGGAAAAGAAGAGACTGTCAGAGAGCAAGTGATAGTGAGGGCAGAAGCTCCTGTTAACAAGGTTCTAACAGTGTGGTGCACCCGGCCTCCTTTTCCAGGAAGCCTTCCCTGGTCTTCTGGTTGGCAGGCATGGCCCCTTCCTGTGTCCCAGGCACATTGCAGGTCCTCTGTCTCAGCACACCCATCAGCCAGCAAAGGCAAACATGGCCAGGACCCTCCCTAGTTCCTCTGCCCAGAGGCCCCATCTGCTGCCTGGATTCAGAGGAGGAAAGCAGCCAGTCCCTCCACCCAGGGCTCTGCATCCCAAGATGGGGGACAGAGACAAGGCACAACCTGGCTCCCGGGCAGATGCACAGCCAGCTTCAATTCTGTGACATTCTGCAGTCCCTCTGTGGCTCTCAGCCTGCACCCAGGCCAGGCAGCGTGGGGACCCATGGAGGTGACTCTGGCGTGCTCTGCTCTCCAGCCATCCCAGTTCAGGGCCTGAGTCATGGGGAGGAGTTGCGAGGAGGTGGCCTCCTGGCTGCCACCAACCCAGGTTTCCAGGAAGACAGAGAGGACCCAGGGAGGCTGCCTTTCCCTTCCCCCATCCCCCATCCCCTTCCTCTCTTCCTCCCTGGCCTCCCCTCGCCTCTGTCCCGGACAGCCCACCCCTGGACTGGGGCCAGCAAAGGTCAGAGAAGGCCCAACCCTTAGGCCCAGGCATCCGAGTCCAGAGCCAATCTCTGGATGCCTCTGTCCATGGAACTGCCTGTGATGGTGGCAGCATTCTGTGTCTGTGCCGTCCAGCATGGCCACCACTGGCCTTAGTGGCTACCAAGGGCATGAAGTGTGGCTTGTGGCCTGGGGAACTGAATTTTTAATTTGACTGACTGTAATCCATTTCCAGTGAGATAGCTACGTGTGGCTGGTGGCTACTGTATTGGAGAGTGGTCATCCCAGCCGGTCCGCCTCCACCCAGGTCCTGAGGCTTCCTCCAAGGTGGGGTTCCCAGGCAGGGGGTGTGTGACACTCGTCACTGGCTGGACTCCAGCAAGTGCACCTCCTGTGGCTCCAGGTCGTGCCACCCAGCACCCCTCCCCACACCAGGGACCCTGGGGGCACCTTGGAAGGAATGGCTGGGTGCTGGCCCCTCCCTGCTCCGGCTGTGAACTTCAGACCAGTGGCTCACTCCGCCTGCACCTTCTCTGTTTTGCCTGTAAAGAGGAGGCAGCAACAGGACCTACCTAGGTAGTCTGTCTCATGATTAAACGAGCACCTGTTGTCCTGGTCTGGACCGTGGTCCTCGCTCTGCAGCCGGGGCCGCCTGCCCTCCGTGTGCACTTCCCCACCCAGGCCCGCCCCCGGCTCTGGCTCTCCTGCCTGCACTCACTCAGCCCGGCCCTGCTTCCCTCCCTCTGGGTTGGCAGGCATGCTAGGCACAGGTGGAGGCTTGACCTCATACACCTGGTCCCCCTTCTGCTCCGCACCTTGAGCTCCCTACCCCCACCTGCCTCCAGTGCTGCAGAACTGCGATTTCCCAGGGATCCACTGTGCACTCCCTCATCCTAACCCCCCTACAGCCCTATGGGCCCACCTGGTACAACCCAACCCCGAGGGAAGCCTGTGCTAGCTGGCTGAGGGATGCCCCAGTCTCTGCTCCCCCGGAAGGGCAGGGATCCAGCGTCCCCACCAGACTCCAGCCTGTTCCAGCCCTCACCCCAGCACTCCTCCCTGCGCCTGCCCTTGGCCCTCCTGCTCCAGCCTCAGCCCAGGCACATTTGGAAAAGTCTTCTCCAGGGCCTTACTCAGAAGAGGTGGGAACTCATGGGACATTGTTGCCCCAAATCTCGGGACAGCTGCCTCCTCTCACAGATTAAGGAAGCCACTCAGGAGATGCAGGCCTGGAAAGGCTGAGGTCCCTGCAGCCCACGCAGGGTGTGTGTTTCCTGTGGGGGCCCCGGGGGATGGATGCCAGGGCAGGGCTTGCCTCTTGAGGGTTCCTGCAGGCTGGGACGGGGCAGAGGTAAGGCGGGGGTGGGTTGGGTTTAGTGGGAGCCAGCGTCCAGGCCTGCTTTGTACTCTGCCAAGCCCCGCCTGGGATGGTGGCTGCCCCACTGATGCTGGGCAGGGCCATTTCCCTGTGCTCTCTGGGAAAGGCGCAGAGAGTTGCAGGCACTGGCCAAGGCCATGAAGCAGGCAGGTCTTGGTCTTGGGCTCCCGGACCCGGCACAGGCAGCTGGGGAGGGAAGGAAGGAAAGGCATCTCCCCAGCACGTAGTGGGGGCACTCAAGGCCAAGCGTGCTGGGGACTTCCCTTGCCCTGTCCTCTCTGCCCCTGGAAAGTCTGCGAGGCCCAGGCCCACTCCGGGCAAGGACCCTTGGCTGTGGGGCAAGGTGATGCCCAGGTTCCTCCTGGCCCTGGCACTGACGCTGATCCCTCAGCCTTCTCCCAAGGCCAAGGCTGAGCTTATGTAACCCAAGTGGCCTGGCCCACTCCGCAGGTGCCCTTCTCTGCCAGCCCTGCCCTCTCTGGGAGAGGAGGAGGAGGCAGGGCTGGGGGTATTTTCGGGCTATTTTCAACCACTCATTTTCACAGCTCTCCTTGTGAGAACCAGGCATGATTGGCGGGTTTTCCTAACAACCTTGTGGGGACTGTGCAGAGATGCAGGTCAGGGAGAGGCGAGGTGGCACCAGCTGGGCAGCTGCTAGGGCTACAGGGCTCCTGAGGCAGGGTTCCCTTGGGGTCTTCAAGACCCCTTCAAATGGTAAACCTGGGTGTGCATTCTCCTGATGTTTCCTCAGCAGCTGTGCTGACCAAACTGACTTTGCTCCCTGTCTCCATCTGTCCTCATGGCCATTACCAGAAGTGGCCAGGCATGGTCCCATTCCATGGAAGAACCGTGGCTCAGAGGGGTCATGTGTCTTGCTCAAGGTCATGCATGACCAGGGACCAGGATTGACACCAACATTTGCACTCTGACCACAGCAGGGCCCGAGTTGTGGACTTGTTCTTGGAGGAGAGTCTTCAAGATTGACCGGGCAGAAAGGGAAGAAGAGGGGGAGTGTTGCCTGGGGAATGTAACCTCCTGGGCCAGGAACAGCACAAAACACTCCAGAGCCTGTTTCCAGTCCCCACAACATCCTGGCTGAGGCCTGACCCTGTTCCTAGAAACCTCTGATCTCTCATCACCATCTGAGCCCTGGTCCTGGGCACATATTGATCCTGATCCCTGATCACTGACTGAGCTCTGACTCTGGGCACATACTGGTCCTGATCCCTGATCACCGACTGAGCCCTGACTCTGGGCACATACTGGTCCTGATCCCTGATCCCAGACTGAGCCCTGATCCCTAATCACTGACTGAGCCCTGACTCTGGGCACATACTGGTCCCAATCCCTGATCACAGATTGGGCCCTGAGCCTCTGGATATGCTGGTCAAACCCTGAGGATGGGCATCAACTGCCACCATTCATCCAGTATTTATCATACCCCTCTTTTAGGCTTGGCACCCTGCCCACACCAGCCAATCCTTCACCCCATCCCCATAGCCCTTGCTCCAAAGCAGAGGCTGTGTGGACTTCAGGGCCTGTGCAGGCCACTGCCCCAGCTTCCCCTCCAGGCTCTCATCTGGACTTAGTGAGCCATAGGAATAGGGGATGCCAAGCCAGCTCTGGGAGCTCTCGGTGGAGGGAGATTAAGCGTTTAATAAACACTGCAGTGAAAATCAATGCAATCAGAGAGATCGAGGTGCCAACAGGAGTGGGGGCTGGAGGTGGGGCTCACCAGCTCTGCACTCTCACCTGCTCACACTCAGTGCATGTCAGGCTCCAAGTGGTATGGACAGCAAGTCAGGGCAGGCTATGTTCTCTTCCAACCCGAGCTGTCTCAGGCCCACCACTCAACAGCGTGCACTCCCCCACAAAACATCCTGTGCCACGCTCAGCACAGAGTCCCCGGGCATCCAAAGAAGGCCCTCGGCCCCTCTTGGGTATCCACACCCCAGGCCTTGATATCCAAGCCCCACCAGGGCTTCAGCGGTCACTGGGGGGGGGGTGACCGGTCTGGGTACCCCAGGACACAGCCCAGCCTGGGAGCTGGGTAGACAGAGGGCAGGAGGCACACAACCCTATGCCAGAGCATTTCAGAGGAAGGCCTCAGACCCACTGGGGGGCATGGAGTGACATTCTGGGGGTCCTCATAGCCCTGAAGCCTGAGAGTGACTCAGGGGAGGATGGAGCTGGGCCCGGGTCACATGACCAAAACCCCCACCCCTAATGCCCTGAGCCTCCAAGGCAGTCCCCGACCCTGCTGGGCTGTAGCCCTCTCTTCCCATCCACTGTGCCAGCAGGGCCTCAGCGGAGGTGGTCCCGTGTCCTCACTGGGTCCCCTCACTGTGTCAACAGTGGTGACACTTTGTGCCCCGTGTGTGTTGACAGCACCAACACCGGAGCCGTCATCTGTCCCTCTTACAGAAAGGAGAGCCGAGGCTGGCCCTCTCCAGCTGTAAGTGCCGGAGCCAGCTGGTGAACTCTGCACCCACCCCCATCTGACCCCTGCCTCCCCACCTGCCACAGAGGGGTTCACCGCCCCCATGCATACGTTCACTGGGGAGGTGGTGCCTGATGAGCCACCCGTGGTGTAAGACCCACAGCTAACCCGTGTGCTTTGCAGAACCCTGGAAGCCTGGAGGTAGAGACGAGGGCCCCATCATGGAGGAAGCTGAGGCTCTGGGCAGTGAGGTGACCTCCCTGAAGGTACATAGCCACAAGTGGAGAATCCTAGACATAAGCCCAAGTCCCCAAGACCTCGTGAGCCCTGGGCATCCCTGCACCCTCTTCGGAAGGTCAGGGAGGAAAGGCTTCAGCTCAGAGGCCTGGGGTGCTTTTTTCCCTTCCCAAGAAACTCAGAGGGAGGCAGTCTCAGGAGGAGCTCGGCTCCTCTATATCATGGGGCCCCTGGGGCTTCCATCTGTCCTCCCCCTTTCCTCAGGTGGGTGCCACTGTGGGGGCAAAATGGCTGCCAATCTCCGGGCATCACATCTTCCCACGGCCACCTCTAGAACAGGGAGGGAAGAAAGGAGGGAAAGATCTTCCCATGGCCACCTCTAGAACAGGGAGGGAAGAAAGGAGGCGAAGAGGCTTCCGCTTGCATGTCTCCCACTTCTTGGGGTGGCTGGGATGAGCGTTGGGCCAGCTAAGGGCAGGTGTGGGGACCCCACGAGAGGGGAGATTATGGGTGAATTGTGCCCCTCAAAGATGCATATGTTGAAGTCCCAACCCCTGTACCTAAGAACATGGCCCTATTTGGAAATAGAGTTGAGATGGGAAATAGAGTCACGCTGGAGTAGGGGAAGCCCCTAATGCAATGCGACCATCTTTTTTTTTTTTTTGAGACAGGGTCTCATTCTAGTACCCTGGCTGGAGTACAGTGGCGCAATCTTGGCTCACTGCAGCCTTGACCTCTTGGGCTCAAGCTGTTCTCCTGCCTCAGCCCCTCAAGCAGCTGGGATCACAGGCATGTGCCACCATGCCTGGCTGATTTTTTGTATTTTTTGTAGAGAGGGGGTTTCGCCATGTTGGCCAGGCTGGACTTAAACTCCTGGTCTCAAGCAATCTGCCTGCCTCAGCCTTCCAAAGGTCCAAGATTACAGGCCTGAGCCACTGCTCCCAGCCAACTGATGTCTTTATAAAAAGAACATCATGTGGAGAGACAGACACTCAGGGAGGCCACGTGGAGAGACACTCAGGGAGGCCACACAGAGTGACAGACACTCAGGGAAGCCACATAGAGACATGGACACTCAGGGAGGCCACGCAGAGAGACAGATGCTCAGGGAGGCCACACAGAGAGACAGATGCTCAGGGAGGCCTTGTGGAGACACAGACACTCAGAGACAGGTAACTCAGGGAGGCCATGTGGAGTGACAGACACTCAGTGAAGCCACGTGGAGAGACACTCAGGGAGGCCACACAGAGTGACAGACACTCAGGGAGGCCACATGGAGAGATATGTAATCAGGGGGCCATGTGGAGTGACAGACGCTTAGGGAGGCCACACAGAGAGACAGACCCTCAGGGAGGCCACACGGAGTGACAGACACTCAGGGAAGCCACATGGAGAGACAGATGCTCAGGGAGGCCACATGGAGACAGACACTCAGGGAGGCCATGTGGAGAGACAGACACTCAGAGACAGGTAACTCGGGGGCCACGTGGAGAGACAGACACTCAGGGAAGCCACGTGGACACATAGACACTCAGGGAGGCCATGTGGAGAGACAGATGCTCAGTGAGCCCTCATGAAAAGACAGACACTCAGGGAGGCCACGTGGAGACACAGACAGTCGGAGACAGGTAACTCAGGGAGGCCACGTGGAGACAGACACTCAGGGAGGCCACGTGGAGATGGAGGCAGAGGCTATAATGATGCATCTGAAGCCATAGATCACAGAAGATTGCCAGCAACCTCCAGAAGTGAGAAGACAGGGAACACATCCTTCCCCAGAGCCTCCAGAAGGAGCCAACTCTGCTGACACCTGGGTCTTGGGCTCAGTGCTGCCAGAGGAATGGGGATGAATTTCTGAGCTTGCTACTCAGCCACAGCAGCTCTAGGAAAGCAAGGCAGGGAACAGGTCTCCCCCTACCCAGTCTCTCTCTTGCATCTCATTGGTCAGAAAAGGATCACATGTTCCAAGCTGACCAATCACGGGAAACGAAACAGGGTTGCTTCTCTGGTCCAGATCAATCGTGGTTCATCCCCTGGATGCGGGGGCGGGGGGGTCTCTGCTGGAAGAGTCAGCCAGGTTCAGGGGGCAATGGCATGCAGACAACTCCCAAAGACCACCCACATGCCAGGAGACCAGGGCACCCTGAAACCCTTTTCTCTAGGGGACAAGAAGTTGCTTGTCAGAAGGGCAGGAGTTGTCCAGGGTTTGGGTAGCTGGAAATGTGGCAGATTGGGCTTTTCAGAAATGAATGCAATGATAGCACCCATGATGCTGACACTACTCCACCCGGGGCGGGGTCTGCCTCTCCTTCCCATGAATCTGGGTGGTCTTGGGACTGCCTGACTGGAGGTGAGGCTGCCTGGCCTAGGTTCTTTAGCTCCCACCTGGTCGCTAGAGGACTCACTTTTGGAGTCCAGAGCTGCCATGTAAAAACTCAACTTTATTAAAATTAAAAACTGCTCTGCAAAAGACAGTGTTGAGAGAATCAAGAGAGAAGCCACAAGCTGGGAGAAAACATTTGCAAAAGACACACCCAATAAAAGACATAATGGAAACATCCGAAGAATCCTTACAACTAAACAATAAGAAAACAAACAACCCAATTTAAAAATGGGCAGAAGATCTGAAAAGACACCTCACCAAAGATACAAGATAGCACATAAGCGCAAGAAAAAACATTCAATAGCATATGTCATTAGGGAAATGCAAATTAAAACCACAATGAGATACCATGACACACCTATTCAGATGGCCAAAACCTGGAACAGCAACAACACCAAATGCCGGCGAGGATGTGGAGCATCAGGAACTCTCGCTCATTGCTGGTGGGAGTGCACACTGAGCCAGCCACTGGGGAAGACAGTTTGGCAGTCTTTTACAAAACTAAACGCGCTCTTACCTTATAATCTGGCAATCATGCTCCTTGCAATTTACCCAAATGAATTGAAAAGCGAGGTCCACAGGAAACCCTCCACGTGGATGTTCATAGCAGACTTATTCATGGCTGCCGAAACTTGGAAGCAATCAGCACGCCTGTCAATAGGTGAGTGGATGAGCGAACTGTGATACATCCACATAAGGGAATATTAACTGCTAAAAAAAAGAGCTATCAAGCCATGAAAACACATGGAGGCATCTTCAATGCATATGACTAAGTGAAAGAAGCCGCTCTGAAAAGGCTATGTACCGCGTGACTCCAACTCTACGACGTTCCGGAAAATGGAAGACTATGGTGACAGTAAACACATCAGTGGTCGCTGGGGTAGTGGGAAGGGAGGGGTGAATGGGCAGAGCGCAGGGGTTTTTAAAGCAGTGAAGCTCCTCTGGGTGCTGGTATAAAGGTAGATACGTGTCACACACATTGGTCAAAACCCGTAGAATGTGCAATACCCCGAATGAAGCCTGATGTGAACTGTGGACTTTAGTGATCATGTTGTATTATTGGCTCGTCAATTGTAACAAATGAAGCACACTAATACAAGCTGTAAAAAATGGGGGAAACTGGGTGGGGAGAGGGAGAGAGTATCGTATTTTCAGATCAACAATAAGCCTAACACTGCTCTAAAATGTAGTCTATTGAAACAAAGTGCTGCCCAGAGCTCACCATGTGTTGAGGAAGCCCAGGCCACTTGGAGAGACCACACTGGTCACTAGCCACAGCTGGTCACTAGCCGTACTGGTCACTAGCCGCAGCTGAGGCCCCGGAGACAAGCCGTCCCCCCAGGCCTGTTGGAAGTCCTGACCCACAAACTCCACAGACACCGCAACCCCGTGTTCTCAGGCTGGAGGTCACGGGCTGACTTGCTGCAAGGCAGCACTAGCTGGCGAAGAGGCCTCGGGCGAAAGGGGAGCAGGAGGAGGGTGGGGCTGCCTTGGAAGGTGTGGGTGCCTGGCTGGGGAGTGCAGCCTTTATCCTAGGCCTGGGAGCCCCCAAAGGGCTTGAAGTAGAGAAGTGGATGGTCAGATCCACAATCCGACAGACCACTAAGCAGTGAGACCCTCTAAGAGGCAGGTGCTGGGCAGGGGTGGGCCATGGGCATCTTTGGGGTGCTTGGGACAGGGGTCTGGGCAGGGGTAGGAGTTGAGGAGGCATCAGGGTGGGGGCATGAAGTCACCCTGAGAGACTGTGTGCCCAGGAAGGTGGAGGAGAGGAGGTGACACCACTTTGACCCCCTCTGTCTCCTGGACACAGGCCACTCTTGTTTTCCAGTGCCCCTGTGCTTAGATGACTGGTCCCAGCTGATGGAGTGTGGGGCCATGAAGGCTGAGCTTGCAGAAAATTCCCAACCTGCTCCATGCACCCCCTGCTGCCTGGGGGCTGGTGGGGTCACAGATGAGGAGCCTGGATCCTGGTTGTTGTGGGGTAGAGACTATCCTGCCACCGCAACGACCCTGATGAGCAACAGAAAACATCTATGCAGTTTAAGCTGTTGCATATCTGCCGTGTTATTGCTACAGCAGCCCTGGCCTGCCTGCTCCAACTCACACAGAAGATTGGGGACGAAAGAAAGGCCTGGGGTATTTCTGGAGCAGGCAGTGAGAGGAATGCATGTGCAAGAGTGCACATGTGAGTGTGTGTGTGAAAGTGCATGTGTGAGTGTGTGAATGTACATGTGTGTGCAAGAGTGTGTGCATGTGACTGTGAGTGCACGTCTGTGCATGATAGTGCGTGTGTGTGAGTGTACACGTGTGTGCAAGTGACTGAGCACACGTGTGTGCACGATAGTGCATGTGTGTGCGAGTGTACACATGTGTGCAAGTGTGTGTGCATGTGACTGTGAGTGCACATCTGTGCATAATAGTGCATGTGTGTGAGTGTACACGTGTGCAAGAGTGTGCATGTGACTGTGAGTGCATGTGTGTGCATGATTAGTGCATGTGTGTGCGAGTGTACACATGTGTGCAAGAGTGTGTGCATGTGACTGTGAGTGCACATGTGAGTGTGTGAAAATGCATATGTGTGTGCGAGTGTACGTGTGTGCAAGCGTGTGTGCATGACTGTGAGTGCACGTCTGTGCATGATGGTGCATGTGTGAGTGTACACGTGTGTGCAAGTGGCTGAGCGCACGTGTGTGCATGATAGTGCGTGTTTGTGCGAGTGTACACGTGTGTGCGAGTGTACACGTGTGTGCCAGAGTGTGTGCATGTGACTGAGTGCATGTGTGTGCATGACAGTGCATGTGTGTGTGAAAGTGCATGTGTGTGCGAGAGTGCACGTGTACGAGCATGCACATTGTGTGAATACACATGTGAGCATGTGTTGGTGCACGTGTGTGTGAATGGATGTGTGAGTGTGTATGAGTGCACTGTGTGTGCATGATGGTGCATATGTGAGCGTGTGTGAATACACATGTGAGTGTGAGTGGATGTGTAAGGACGTGAGTGCACTGTGTGCCTGATAGTGCATGTGTGAGCACGTGTGTACGTGTGAGTGTGTGTGAGCACGTGTATGAGTGTACGTGTGTGAATGCACATATGTATGTGAGTGGATGTGTGAGCATGAGTGTGAGTGCACGTGTGTGTGAGAGTGGGAGTGTAAGCATACATGTAAGTGCACTGTGAGGATGGGTGCACGGGACTGCATGTACCCAAGCATTACTCTGCCTCAGTAGCCCAAGGGAGGGTCCCTGAGCCCTCCTGCATGCCCCGCCCACCCAGCACCAGCAGAAACTTGGCTCTAACATCCTATTAGAACAGGGACCTCAGTGGCCCTGCAGGTGGCCTCAACACAACCAGCTTCTTCGAATGCAGATTAATTTTTTTTTTTAAAAAAAGGAAGATGAACACGGGATTTGACACAGATTCCATCACAGATGACTTCATGGATGGGCGCCTTCTGCACACAGACTGACATTTGGGGCTGTCCGAGGCACTGTGGTAGCTCCTGGCTGCCTGATGGGTGGACGTCTCTGGCCCAGGTTCCCCACGCACAGGCAGAAGGTGGGTTCCCCCAGCTGGCCACAGCTGTCACTACAGCAACCAGGAGCCTTTACGTGGGGTCCAGGTGACGTGGGGGTCAGCTTCAGGCTCTTGGCTTTTGTGCCAGCCCCAGCAGAGAGGGCCCTGGAGATGGGCACAGGGCCTGGGCTTGGACTCTGGAACCCTGTCTCCCCGAGAGGGATGTGCACACCAAACCCTGCCCCACCTGAAGGCACAGAACAGCCAGGGTGCAGCAGGACTGTTAAATCCCTTCTCGGAAGCCCCAGAGGACCCTCTCACCCATCACTCTGTGGATGAGCCCCAGGAGGCAGCCTGGTCACCCACATGCCCCTGGGAGGGATCCTCAGTCTGTGAGGGGCAGAGCGCGCTGGAGGGCTCCCAGGAGCCGTGACATGTGGGCGTGAGCCAGCCATTGTCTGCCCCAGACTCCTGTGGGTTCCAGGAAAAGCGGGTCAACTCTTCAGGGCTGTGAAGGGGCCGCTGGCCTCCTCACCTCCAGTGCACCTTGCCCCAGGCTATCTTTCCTAAGGGCTGCTGTGACCTGCCACTCCAGGGCTTCAGAGCCTTCGGTGGCTTTCTTTTCCTCCCATGAAGCCCAAGCCCCTCCCCACTCATGAGGCCTGTCCTGGTCTACCTGGCTGCCAGCCCCCCTCCCTCATCCCCGAACCCTGCTGGTCACCACCCCTGCCAGGCTCTCTCTTGTCCTCTTAGTCCTTGTTCTGCTGAGCCCTTTGTCCAGGACGCCCTCTCCCTTTGGGCTGCCTGGACCACATTGTGCTAGGGAGAAACCTCCGTTTCCCCGAGGTGAGGGCAACCCCTGCCTCAGTGTCCTCACGTCACTCTCCATATTGACAGTCTGTGGCCTGGACCCGTGGGATGGGACCATGATGGGGAGACCCTAGTGGGGGGATCATCTCCTCTTGTGTCTCTCCTCAAAACCAGAGTTCCCACCATAGGAGGAGAGTGCGTCCAGAGCCTGCAAGAGTGCCCAGGAAGAGCTGGATGAAGGGAAGGAGGAGAGAGGATGGGGAGTGAGTGGCTGGGAGCTGTTGGGGAGGAGGGAGTCAGAGGCTGATGGGGGAGACAATGAGGGAGGCTTGGGCCTCTGTAAAGACACAGTTGATACTCTGCAAAACAGAGACAGGGCAGCAGCATTGGCCAGTTGAGTTCAATCAGGTACTGATTTGTCAACGCCTTTTCCCTCCTCCTCTGACTTCCCCAACTCAGTCCCTCCCCATGTTCAAAGCCAGCGGCAGGGCAGCCCACCCTAAAGAACCAGGCTGGGATCTTCCAAAGGAACACAGGGAATTTGCATGTTCATTTGCATATTGTTTGCATTCCAGTCAAAGGTGGAATCAATCTTCCAGCTCCTGGGGTCCGTTCCTGGAACTGTTGCCCTCCCAAAACCTGACAAATGTGTGGTTGCTGGGAGGAGGGCTGGGGAGGGGGTCACTACTGGGAATGGGCTTCACACGGTGATCATAACGCGTAACATTTGCTCAGCACTTTACAAGGCACACACACCTTCAAATACTTCAAATTATCTCACTCTCAAACATTGAAAAGCAGAGAGGTTAGCAAGCATAATTCCCCTCTTAAAGGTAGGGAAACTGAGGCTCCAAAATAGCAAGCTGATGCAAAAGATCACACGGCAAGCAAGTAACCTGACAAACTTTCTCCTGTTCTTCCATACCAAACTGCCCAGTAGCCTTTGTCATTTCACCATCTGCCCTCAACTGGGTTTACACAGTCCTCTGCTCATAGCCTAATTGGGAAGATGGTGGTGGTGATGGTGATGGTGGTGGTGATGGTGATATTGGTGGTGGTGATAGTAATGGTAGTGATAGTGACAGTGGTGGTGGTGGTGATGGGAGCGATGGTGATGGTGGTGGTGATGATGGCTGTGATGATGTTGATGGTGATAGTGATGGTGGTGGTGATGATGGGGAAAATGATGGTGGTGGTGCTGGTAGTGATGGTAGTGGAGATAGTAATGGTGGTAGTTGTGATGATGGTGATAGTGATGATAATGGTGCGATGGTGATGATGATGGTGGTGGTCATAGTGAAGGTGGTAATAATGGTGTTGGCACTAATGGCGAAGGTGGTGGTGGTGGTGGTGGTGGTGCTTCAGGGGATGGTAATGATGATAGTAATTGTAATGGTGTTGAAGCAAACGGGCCTGTAGGGTCTGGATGGCCCATGGAGCCAGGAACCAGAATCCTCATGGCTCTCTCCTAAGATGTCTTCAGAGCCTGGCAACTGGCTCGCTCAGTGCTTATGCCATTCTTCCTGTGGTCAACCCACCATGTTTTTCAGTCTGAAGCTCTGGGAGGGTGGGGGAGTCCTGGCCCTTCTGAGCTCTCCCTGCATCCTATTCAGCCCCCTCTCCTAGGCAGCACCTTCTGGTGTGCAGTCTCTCTCCCAGCAGAATGCGGTGGCATGGCCTGCGTATTTGGATTTTTGTATCTATCCCAGTCCCAGCTCACGGCTGGGCCCAGGGCTGCTTGACTCAGCTACTATTTGATGAGTGGGTGTATGAATGGGTCAAGACATAGGGGTGATAGTCAGACAAGGTGGAGCAGCTCCTTATACCTCAAGACTCCACCATCACCCCACAGCCCTCATCCCACTCCTCCACAGCACATGACCCAGCGCTAGCTACCTCCTCCTGCTCCCCTTCTGTCCTCAACTGGAGCTAGGCCCAGGAAGCTGACAGCTCTGTGGGGCCCTCAGGGTCTCTGTCCCCCAGAGGGTCTCAGCCCAAGGTGTGCATGGGTGCACAAGCATAGGTGCACATACACACAAACACATGAAAACACAGACACCAAATGCAAACATATTCACAATCATATATGCACACAAACTGGCACACAAGGCCCTGGATCACATGGCCAGGCAAGGCAGATCCAGCCTGCGGGGATTTTCTCCTGATCCCATGATCCTGCTCACCCCAATGCACCTACATGGCCTCGAATGCCAGGCAAGCCTCTGCAGGGACCCCAAAGGATGTCACCCAGCCGTAGCTTGTGTACTTCCAAGGAGGGAGCTGTGGCTGCCCGGTACCCGTTCCTGAGAATCAGCCAGCTGAGTCTTTCCTGGTGGTGGGCAGAGGGGCAGAGCTGCATGGAGAGGAAAGGTGGGACCCGTGCTCCCTCCTGCAGGGCTTCCACGTGGAGAGACGAGAGCCTTGGGAACCAGCATCCTGGGATGTTTGCAGGGATTCCAAGAATAGTCCACTCCCAGCTCTACCAATGGACGGGCAAGGAGCCCATGACACCCCATTAGTCCCTCTCCACTTTAGGGTAATTTGTACCCCTGCAAGCAAGGCTCCAGGAGCTATCAGCATTTTACACCTCCGTGGTACTTAGTTACTGGGTATCTTTCTTCTTTTAAACATTTCTGTAATATTTCCACTACACTGAAGTGTATGGGGACAACATAACTGGCAGCCATCCCAGTACCCAGCTCCAATGCCTCTTAGCATCTGCCATGTTTGCCTCTGATCTCTTCTGGTTTAGGGGAACAAAACCAAACGCTGCCGTCTTCTACCTGACTTTCCGTGACCCACAAGCCTCCCTCTTCTTCCTGCTGCAATGGAGCCTCTGGTTCCCAAGTCCCTTTCTTCACCTCTCCCTTCCATACACGTCTTTCAGATAGTGCACAGAGGGGCTCCCCTGGCTCCTAAACTCGTAAGTGGCTCCCCAAGTCACACTCCCTTCAGTACTTAGTGTTTTGTGCTCAGTGCTGTGTGTGAGGTTAATTCACAGTGAGGCCTGCAGCTCTGTGCCTCCCAGCTCTTACACATGCCTCAGTCCTTCCAACTACTCTTCTGTCCCTGAACGCCATTCCCAGGATTTCAACTTCCCCAGCTGTTCCGTATATTAAGTGGGTTGTCACAGGGGAAACACAGGTTGCAGGGCCCGGCCTGTGTCTGCCAGGCTCACATGCTGTGTCTCCCTAGAGGAAGCTGCACAGGGGCCTCCTTGAGTATGCGGGGCACCACTCTCTAGGGTGTCTATGGGGGAACAGAAGCACCGGGCCGAGGCCACGCCCAGCCTGAGGTTTACCGGCGTGGATTCTCCATCAGCAGGTGCATGCGTCGCACGTGTTATTTTAGCCAGTCCTGCCCAGCGGTGTGGATGGGCATTTTGTTGCAGTTTTCATTTGTATTTCCTGTTGGCAGATATTCCATTGGCCAAGGAAATGGAGAGGGACAGGGACAAAGGTTGGGAAAGGGCCTGGTGGGGCCTGTAGACCCCGAGGCCCATAGGCACTGGGAGTGGCAGCGGGACGCTGAGGCAGTGTAGGAGGGGCCTGGTCTGGTGCAAGTCCAGGTGCAGGGGCCATGTTAGAAGCATCAGTCAGGGCAGCTGCAATGGCCGGTGGGACAGATGGCCACACTGAGGCCTGGGGCTTTTCTCCATCCCCCTGCCTCCAGCCCCAAGCGCCCTGGGACTTCCTGATGTTGGAATCCCCCTTCTTACAAGCCTCATTTCTGAACCCCTAGAGCACCTCTCTCAGCCAGGTGAACTCTGAGTAAATGAATGACTGAAGGGATGGATGGATGGATGGATGGATGGATGGATAGATGGATGGATAGATGGGTAGATGGATGAATGGATGGATGGATGGATGGATGGATAGATGGGTGGATGGATGGATGGATAGATAGATGGATGGATAGATGGATGGATAGATGGGTGGATGGATGAATGGATGGATAGATGGATGGATGGATAGATGGGTGGATGGATGGATGGATGGATGGATGGATGATAGATGGGTGGATGGATGAATGGATGGATGGATAGATGTATAAATGGATAGATGGGTGGATGGATGGATGGATGCATGGATGGATGGATGGATGGATGAACAGACCAGTCATGAAAAGCTTCTCTTAGGAGGCAGGCAGTTAGCTGTTTTGGGGATGAGGTCTCAGGATGACCAGGGCACACAGGGATGGGCTTTTGACTCCCTGTCCTCTCAGCTCTCCTTGTCCCCAAGCAGGACAGGTGACAGGCCAGGTGCAGCCCCTCACCCTTTGACTCCCGCATGTGGTGCTCTTGGTCAAGGCTCTAGGTCAGGTCCAAGGATGGTGCTGCAGTGGGGCTGGAAGGAGCGTCCCAATGGGAGGGATGCGGTCTCCGTGGAGGACACACGTGGTGGCAGCAGTCCCTGGGGTGGTGCAAAGGGTCTGCCTGATGACCAAGCCCAGCAAAGGGGAATCAGGAGCAAGTCAGAAATAAGCTGGTGCAGCCCAGGATCAGCACAGCATGACCTGCGAGGCAGTGAACTGTCTGCCCCCTGCCTAGCCTCAGGCCATTCCCCTTCCCCAGGTGCTCCCTGTGTACCTGAGACAGAGCCTGCAGAGAGGAAGGCGGTTGAGAGAGTGCCTCAGGCTTTCCCTAGTGCCCTGTCCAAGGCCTGGCTCCAGGGCACACTGCCCCCAGCCATCTCCCCACACAGCCCACTGGCAGGACGGGCGGGGGGCTGGGAAGCCTTGTGGCCCACGACGTGACTCAGCCTGAGATGCCTGCCGGTGACTGCAGAACACTGCCTGCCAGATTAAATTAGGCGCCTCAACATTAAAAATATATATTTATTTTAACTGGTTGGGGTGTTTGGAAGGAGATGAAAGGGAGGGGAGATGAAGAATTACAAATGAGATAATTAAGGAAGCAGAGAGGAGCGCGTGCCGAAATGGGAGTGAGGAGGTGAATTGTGAATTCCCCGCGCTGCACCAATTTAGAGGGTAGAAAAAGGAGTTAGAAGCAAAGAGGAAAAAATAAATAAACAGGCAACAAAAACCCAACCCAGCCAGCCTGAGCCATTTGCATTAGTGTTCATTTAGGAAATTAGCAGACGGGAAACGCTGGGGAGTGGAGTGGGCCCCGGCCTTGGGGACTGCAGAGCCCGCTCAGCCCTGGGTGGCTGGGCCCACATGGGCTGTGCCCCAGGAGCACAGGAGGACCCAGAGGGTGGCCGAGGGAGCCTCGCCGGGCTCCGGTATGGGTCCTGGCCCCTCACAGGTGCGAGCCTGGCCCAGTGACTGTGGACGCTGTGGGAGAGCAGGCCTCCGATACGCAGGGCTGGGACTGCTGACCTGGAAGGTGGTGCCGGGCGTGTCTGGTGAAGGCGCCGTTGGCAGCTAGAGAGAGACGGCGGATGGGGTGACGCCATTACCCACGGTCCCAGTTTTGAGGCTTGACGGTGACGGAAAAGGACGTCGGTGCTGGCCACGGCTGCTGTGGAGGTGGTGCTGAAGCTGATGGGGGTGGCACGAGGTTTGTCAGGAGGACAGTGAAGACGCTGTGCCGATGGAGTGTGCCCAGAAAGACGGCGAGGGGGCCGTCAGGAGGGGCAGCCCTGGTGCTGGTGTTGGCAGGTGACGAGAATCACAGAGGTGCCGTGGAGAAAGGGAGCGAGGATCTTCCCCGAGGCAGGGCGGGCTCCAATCCCAGCTCCAACCCTGAAAAGCCCTGGGCCAGTCCCCACAGTCAAGCCCTGGGCCAGTCCCCACAGTCACGGTCACGCGCGTACAGCCAGAATATCCCACGTGGGAAGAACCGAGGGCCTGGGGGTGGGAGGGAAAGCAGGCTCCGTGCTGAGGCAGGCTGGCAGTGACGCAGGTGGAGGTGGCTGAGAGAGGACAGACGACGCAGGTAATGACGGAGGAGGCGTCCCTCCACAGGGCCAGGCTCGCCATGGGCCTGGGCAGAAGGCACTGTTGGATCCAGCCGCTAACATGGGTAGGTCCACAGCTCAGAGCCCAGATCCTTGGCCAGGATCTGTGGGGGCCCAGGGCATGCCACCAAGGCTATGATGAGGATGTACTCGTACACACACAGACTCTGTGTGTGTAAGGAACGCAATCTCAGCACACGCCCACGTGCACGCCCTCCAGTGCCACATCCCAGCCTGCACTCCCTGCAGTGTCTGGAGTGTGTCAGGCAGGCGATGTGGGTCACGAACGGGCTTGTGTAACTCATTGTAACTCATCCCCCCGGGCTGACCTCCGTAGTACCAGAGGTCGCTGGTGACTTGCTGGCCCCAGATTTAGAGGGTGTGAAGAACAGCAGCTCCCCAAATCCTGAAGAGGTGGAGAAGGTTGTTTTCCCAAAAATAAAAGGAATAAAAGACACAGGCTGTCTCCTGCCCCATCCCTGTCCCTGGCCTGGAGGAATGGAGGCCACATGGGCGGAGGCCGGTGAGCCGTGCTTGGAACTTGCTGATCTGAGACATTCCACACCTTCCCTCCCTTCAGCCACCACGTGCCCCCAAGCATGGTACCTCACCAGCACCAACGGCAGCGAGGGTCTGCACCAGGTTGGTTGGCACAGACATTGGGATTGTGGGACAAAGGAAATCTGGGAGAGGAGGGGGCTTGGCTCTCTGAGACTCCCGTGAAACTGAGGTCCCGCTGGGCCCCAGGGAGGAGCCCCCTGCTCTCTCCCAGAGCAGAGATCTGGAGCTTGCCAACCACCTCCCCAGCACTCCCCTGGGCTTCAGCCACACCAGCCCCTCTACCCGCCTACCCACCAACCCCAGCTCTGAAGCCTGACCACCTGAGGATGTGCAAATCTCCCTGCCTACTGAAGTCTTTAGTCTTTGGTTGGGAATCCAGGTAGGGGTGAAAAGGGGAGGCCCATCCTGCAGAGGGGGAAGGGTGTGGTGCTGGGTTGGCCTGGGGACTGGTTCAAGTCCTGCACAGCCTGAGGCATGGGGGACCCAGAGCTGGATTCCTGACCTCTGCCCCCAGCCATAGCTAAACCCAAGGCTGGCGGGGGCCTGGCAAGCTCTGCTACGGATGGCCGAGGAGGGCATGGCCCTCTCTTGTGGTGTCAGCTGGTCTCCCTCAGGTCTGGCTGGACCCTGGCTCACCCCACGCCCCTTGCACTTCTGCCTCCACTAAATCTGTATGGAGAGTAGGGCATATTGGCGTGTGCCTGTATGCACACCCTCATGTGTATATGTGTGCACCACGTGTATACATGGGTGGGTACATGCATGTGCACACATGTTCAAGTGTACACGTGCAGCTTTGCGCATGCTCCTCGTGTGTGTAGGAGCATACAACATGCAGACACTCTGCGTACATGTGTGCACCCACTTGTATATACAGAATGCATATGCAAGTGCACACGTGTGTGTGCGTGGACATGATATGAGCATAAGGGCACGTGCACATGTACACCACACGCACATGGTGTACACATGGGTGTACAGGGCATGTGAATACACACATGGGGTGCAGGCATGTGCACCGGCATGTAAACACAGAGGTGCACACAGAGCCCATGTGTATATGCAAGTGCACATGTTTGTGTATCCTGTGTGCATGTGGTCAGAGGAAGGCAGCCCTGGGAAAGCTGGGAGGTGCGGTAACTAAATCTGAAGGGTACAGAGAGGCCATGCCATGCTTTCCACAGTTCCAGGGAAGGTGTGAGGTGCTCCCTGAGAATTTTAAATTGGGCCAAATGGAGCCTGGCAAAGGGCCCTGGGGTTGGGACCCAGGGGCTGCCAGGTTATCAGTCCAGGGGGTACCAGCTCTCCTCCTGGTCTGAGGACCTGTCCCCCATGCCCTCACCCACAGTATGGAGCACCCTTCCCTCCTTTCTCCCAGTGGGGCTCCTCCTCTAGGAAGTCTGCCTGGGTTCCCCAGGCTCACAGGCCAGCTGAAACACATGACTCTCCCACTGTATGTGTTGGGAAGTTTTCAGTGGCCTGTAACAGAAAACCCATAACAGAAAACCCAACTCAAGCTGGCTGAAACCACATGCAAGCAGATGGTGGATGGTGGATTAGCCTAAGCAAATGGAAAACCTGATGCTGTTGCGGGTTTTGGATGAAGCGTGATGGGGCCGCAGCTCTGCTCCTCTGACTCTCCATACTTTGCTTCTTTCCGACGTGTTGACTTGGCCTTCACGATGGCTCACTCCACGGAGCAGGATGACGTCAGCGTCTCTGGCCCTCAACTGCATCCCACACTGTTCCTCCTCATCTCTGTCTTATACCTCATGGTCCAAGGTGACTGCTGGAGCTCCAGCTGTCACACTCACCTTCTGTCCATCAGGAAGGAGCAGAGGAGAAGAGCGGCCTACACTGCTCTTTAAGGGTACTTCCTGGAGGTTGCACACATCACTTCCTATGCATCCCATCGGTCAGAAATTAGTCAGGCTGTGAAGTGAAGTCTTTATTCTGGCAACTACTCACCCAGCTTAAGACCCAGGATTCTATTCCCCAGGGGCCACTGGCAGCTCATGCTACAGATGCCACCTCCTAGGAATGTTTGGACTATTAGAGGCCAGATCACCCAGCACAGGGCCCACCCTTGGTGGTCAGCGTTTCCCATGGCTGCCTCCTGGGGGCCGTGGACTCTGAGATGACCCATACACTGTCCTACTCACAGTCAACCCACCGTCTGGTCGGGGGAGACAAACCTCGGACCCAGGGCAGGGGGTGGCCGCAGAGATGGAGAAATGCAGAGGGAGCTGTGGGATCCCTTCTTCAGATACTCCGGGCAGGAAGGAGGCAGGGCAGGCCAGGACAGGGAAGACCTCCCTGGTGGGCATGGGGTCTGTGCTCCGCATACCATCCGACGGCGTCGCTGTGACAGCAGCCCAATGCGGGCTGTCCAGATGACAGAGTGGCTGGCCTGCCGTGGACACAGGAGGGAGAACAAAGCGGGCAGGAAAGCCCAGGGTCCTGGGGCCAGCGCCTGCCCGGTGTCCACAGGCTGGTGTCCCCAGCCTCCACACTCACCCACCTGTCCTGCCCAGCCAGCCCCCGGCAGCCAGACCTCGCCCACGCTGCTGTGTCCTGCTCTCATTGCCTCGCCCCGGATCCTAAGAGCCACGGGTGCTCGTTCTCACTCACCGGCCATGCAGGGAGCTGAAGTGTCATTTAATTAATTAACAGGTCCTCTGCGGCAGCGGGGAGCAAGTTTTCAGCACAACCCAGTTTGACTGCTACACAAGGAGCACTTGGCAGGCAGGCACCTGAGTCCTGGCCTCCGCCCCAGAACGTCTGTTAGTGCAAAGCCAGTTCCCTCCCTAGACGCCCCCCATGCAGGGGCCTGCAGAGAACCTGAGGAGCTCCTGCTTCGATTTCAGGCTCCCACCCGGCACCCTGGCTGTCCTCACCCTGGGCACCGCAGATGCAGGCAGATGGTACACAGTGTTGGTAAAGAACTGGTCTGAAGGCAGAGCTGCACACTGGGAGGGTGACCACTGGCTGCAGGCGGCCCTGCATCCAAACCCAGCCCCTCCTGGACCCACCCCTGCCCTCTGGCTCAGCCTCTAGTCTGGCTCGCTCATCTGTAAAGTGGGGGCAAACATCCCTGCCCCAAGCATGTGCAGATAAATGAGGTGCCTTTCCAGGACCTGGCAGGGGCCAGTGGAGAGTAGATGCTCAGTAAACCCCAGATCCCATCCCTCATTTACTTTGGAGAGCTTCCAGTCTAAGGGGAGGGTGGCCCTGCTGTCAGAGAGCCAGATAGGAAAGACAGAGCAGAGTGAGAAGGCAGAAAGTGGAGGCCAGGAGGAATGCTAGTGTCAGGGGTGCTCAGGGCTGGCTGCTGAGTCCACCGGGCCAATGTCACCATCAGTCATGTCATAGGATGACATCAGAGCCCCTGCCCTGAATGCTCCCTGGAGGAATGTTCCAGAAGCTTGGCCTTCCATGGGTTCCAGTCCTTCTCTGGCTCTGTGGCCTTTCTTCTAAGACAATTTTAAAAATTTAATTCACATGTGGAGTTCTATGAGTTTACACGTACAATTTTTTTGTAGAGATGGGGTCTTGCTATGTTGCTCAGGCTGGCCTCAAACTTCTGGCTTCAAGTGATCCTCCTGCCTTGGCCTCCTATAGTGCTGGGCTCGCAGGTGTGTGCCCCATGCCCGGCCTGTGTTTATATGTAACCATCACCACCATGAGGATACAGAACAGTTTCTTCCCCTGCCCTGTGCCTTCTGCCTGCAGTTGCACCTCCTCCTGCCCCTGCCCCCTGCAACTCCATTGCTGTACATCTGCCTTCCTGAGAATGTCATGTGGGTGGAGTGGCACGTACGCCTCCTGTGGAGGCTGGCTTCTCTCACTCAGCATAACACCATTGGCAACCACCATGTTGTTGCATATCCCAGAAGTTCGTTTCTGTTTCTGTTCACCACTGAGCTCTATCTTGCAGTGTGGATGGATCACAACTTGTTAAGTCGCTCACCTGTTGAAAGATTTGAGTACTTTCCGATTTAGGGCTAATACAAATAAAGGTGCTATGAACATTTGTGCACAAGTTTTTGTGAATATAAGATTTTGCTTAACTTAGGTGAGTACCTCGAATGGGATTTCTGGTCCCTGTGGCAAACGCACGTCTAACTTGCTAAGAAACTGCCAACCTGTCTTCCAGCGTGGCTGAGCCATTTTGCATTTCCATTGTAATGTGACTGAATTCCGGTTGCCTTGAGTTCTTGCCAACACTTAGTAGGGTTAGTATTTTTTTTTAACCCCATTCTTTTTTTTTTTTTTTTGAGGTGGAGTCTTGCTCTGTCGCCCAGGCTGGAGTGCAGTGGTGTAATCTCAGCTCACTGCAACCTCAGCCTCCTGTGTTCAAGCGATTCTCCTGCCTCAGCCTCCTGAGTAGCTGGGATTACAGGCATGCACCACCATGCCCAGCTAATTTTTGTATTTTTAGTAAAGACGACGGGGTTTCTCCTTGTTGGCCAGGCTGGTCTTGAACTCCTGACCTCAGGTGATCTGCCCACCTAGGCCTCCTAAAGTGCTGGGATTACAGGCGTGAGCCACCACTCCCGTATTTTAGCCATTCTAGTAGGTGTGGAATAACATCTCCTTGTGGTTTGAATTCGTATTTCCTTAATGATGAATGATGTAGAATATCTTTCCATGTGCATATTTACCATCCAAATATCCCCTTTCTTGAACTTTGTTGAGGTCTTTTTCCCTTTTTTCCCCCTTAACTTTTTATTTCAAAATAATGATAGATGCACAGGAAGTTGTAAAAATAGTACAGAAAGAGAGTTCACTTAGTTTCACTTCATCTGAGAATGTCTGTATTTCACCTTCACTCCTGAAGACTGTTTTACTGGGTATAGAATTCTAGGCCGTAGTTCTTTCCTTTCAGCATGAAAATTTTCCTCTGCTTCCATCTAGCCTCTGTGGTTTCTGATGAGACATCCAAAGTCATTTGGAGAATTTTTCCTGTTATAAATAATTCATTACTTTTTTCTGCTTTCAAGATTTTTTCTTTGTCTTTTGTTTTTAGCAGATTGATTTGATGTGTCTGGAAATAAATCTCTTTGGATTTATACTGCTTGGGGTTCACGGATCTTTTGTATCTGTAGGCTTGTTTTTACTAAATTTGAGAAGTTTGCAACCATTATTTCTTCAAATATTTGTTTTTGTATTATATTTCTCCTCTCCCTGTGGGCCCTGATTGTATGAATGTTAGACTTTGATATCCTTCCACAGGTCCCACAGGTCTTTCACTCTTTTTATCCCCTGTTGTTTATACTGGGTACTTTCTATTGACCCATGTTCATGTTCACTAATTTCTTCTGTCATCCCCATCCTGCTATTGAGCTTGTACCACAAGTATTTTTGTTTTGGTTAGGCAATTTTCAGTTCCAATGTTTTTATTTGATTCTTCTTTCTCTCCCTCCCCCTCTTGCTGAGTTTTCTATGTTTCCATTTATTTCAAGAGTGTTTGCCTTTACTTGTTGGATCATTTTTATAATAGTTGCTTTTAAGTCTTTGTTTGAATCCTAACAACTGTGCCATCTTGAGTTGGCTTCTGTTTATTGTTTTGTTTCATGCAAAACACAAGTTGTCATTTTCCTGTCCTTCATATGCCAAGTCATTTTGGATCATATCCTGGAAAATTTGAATATTATTGTATAAGGCCTTGGATCTGGTCTAAATCCTGTGGAGATGGAGATAACTCTTGTTTTAGCAGGCAATCTCCCCAGCTTCCTGGATGCAAGTAGTTCTTCTCCTTCTCCATCTCTGTTGCCTTCTCCTTCTCTTTCTCCTCCTCCTTCTCCTCCTCCTTGTCCTTCTTCTTCTTGAGACAGAGTCTTGCTCTGTTGCCCAGCCCAGTCTGGAGTGCAGTGTTGTGATCATAGCTCACTGTAACCTTGATCTCCTGGGCTCAAACAATCTTCTCACCTCTGCCTCCCAATTAGCTAGGACTACAGGTATGCACCACCATGCCTGGCAAATTTTTAAAAATTCTTATGGAGATTGAGTCTCACTCTGGGTTTGAGACCCAGGCTGATCTCAAATTCCTCACTTCAAGTGATTCTCCTGCCTTGGCCTCCCAAAGTGTTGGGATTATGGCATGAGCCAGCACACCTGGCCCTGGCTGCAAGTTCTGACCTGTCTTTCATGGGCTGTGATTTCTATGATATTCATATCTGTCCTGTGTGTGAATACCCCATGGCCATTCTGCAACTTGGGCAGTGTCTACCCCACAGATGGTTTCTCCAAGTGTGTGGTATGCTGTTTAGGGTCCACGCATGCTCAGCTTGGGACTGGTCCTAGACAATCATAAACAACTTGATGATGTCCCCTTCCCAAGCTTCCTCAGTGCCCTCTTATACCTCTGTTCACTGGGATTTCCTCTTGTGGTCTTCTGGCCAAAAGGAAGGTTTCCATTAGGACACTGCTCCATGCACTCCCCATGTGTGGGCCAAGTGGGATGAGGATAGAGGGAAAAACAAAAAATTCAGGCTCACCCCATCTTCCTGTGAGCTCAGATCCTCTGATTAGAGAGGAAGTTTCCCTCCTGGGGTCTGTAAATGCCTGGGGCCCGCCTGCTGCCCTGCCTGTAGGACACTGCACTTGGGTTGCCTGGGGCTGGGGTGTGAGATAACAGAAAGGGACAAAAGAAATGGAAATCTCTCCCCCACTCTTTCCGTGTTAGGAGCCAGAGCTGGAAGGAGCTTCTTCCATCTTCCTCTGTTGGTGCTGATGCCCACTTCCAGACTCAGGCCACCTTGAGTCCAGGCTGGAGGACACCAGTGGGGAGAAAGGAGGAGACTTACCATGGGCTTGGGGCTGCTTCAGATGTAAATTTTCCTCCCCAGTTCACCCGCTAGCATTGACTTTTGAGAGTCCTCAGGCAGCTGCTGCCTGTCCAGGTTCATAGCCTCATTCTGTGGGGGAGGAAGCTGGCGTGTGTGTGCTCCACCTTACCCAGAACCAGAGCCCGGGGTACTTTTACACAGACTCTCCCTCCCCACTGCCTCCACTGCCCAGGGGCTCCCGCCTGTTCCCAAACAGGAGGAAAAGGAAAAAGAGGGCAGGGTTCGTCCCCTCCATCCCTTTTCCATCTTCCAAACAATGAAAAGCCACAGATTCTCCAACTGTGGATAGTTTGAGGCTGGAGGCCATGGCAGCGCCCGCCAACCTCGCCAGGATTCCAGTTCAGGCAGGAGCTGGACACAAGGGCTCTGTTTCTCCTGGGGCTTCTCTTGCGTCTAGACTGCTACAAACAAACCCTTTGGCCTGATTAGCCTCTGTGTGCTCCACCACCCAGAAAACCCTTTGGCGGCTGGGATGGCGGTGAAGGCAGGGCCCAGATGTGCCCCAGTGGGTGCTCCCACCCTCCGCAAGACAGAGACTCAGAGAGGCTTCCAGACCCCAAGAGCCATGGTGAGGCTACCAGAGAAGGCGAAGTGAGAACGGGCCTTCATGGAGAGGGATGGACCAAAGGGCAGGGACAGCAAAGGGTCCTGGTGACACTGAGCACATCCCTAGCTCCAGGCCTAGCTCTGGGACTCAGGCCCAGGAGCCAACATCCCTGGCCTGAAGAGCCTTCTCCACCTGCACACCAGAGCTCTGCACTGTCTCCTCCCGCAGCACCCCCCTCTAGCCCCAAGGCCCCTGCTGCACCTGCTGCATCTGCTGCACCTGCTGCTGCACCTGGACCTGCCCCACGCCCTCCTGACCTCTCAGCCCCCAACTTCTAGGTCTCCTTGACTCCATTCCAATGTGGCTCACCTCCTTTCTCTGCTTCACAGCCCCACTCTCACCTCCCAGGTGTGGCCACGCCTCTGCCTAGCCTTGCACTCTCACCTCCCAGGTGTGGCCACGCCTCTGCCTAGCCTTGCACTCTCACCTCCCAGGTGCGGCCACATCTCTGCCCAGCCTTGACATTTTGTGCTATCCATACCCCTGCCCCAGGGCATCCCACCCCAACCCTGCAGGGAGAGCATGAGGGCTGGCAGAGGCTGTGGCCCAGAAAAGCCAGGACCTGGGCTCTGAGCAGCCTAACCCAGGGGTCTCGAGGCCTCTGGGGAGGCCTGGGCTGCCTATGGTGGGGCTCGGTCACTTTGCCCCTTCCAGCCTCAGTCTCCCCATCCATAAGACATGGGGAACCAGGACTACAAGTTTCTGAGGACTCTGCCCAGCATTGCAGGACAGGGTCACCCAACTCCTACCTCAATGCCATGGCCACTTTGCCTGGGCGGGCAGGGCAGGACACCCAGGGCCCCAAGGCAGAAAGAGGTTCACTGGGGAGGGTGGGGGAGCCTGGGGCTGAGGGGTGAGCAGGTCTGGCTGCAGGGCTTGAGAGGAGCTGGGACCTCCCCTGGTTTATGCTAATGAAGTGACACCGCCCGCCCACCAGGAGCTTCAGGGGCTGCCTGGGAGTGCATTCACATGCCTGCGGTGGGGCAGGGGAGCCCCAGGGACAGCTGGTTCTGGCTTCTCTCCTGGGCTGTGCCATTTCTCTCATTCAGTCACTCAACAAAGTAGGAGCAGAGTCACACTCCTTCTGCATGCCTGGCACAGTGTGGGGTAAAGGGCCTGCCACAGGAGCAAATGGGACAGGGGGCCCGCCACGGTGTAGCCAATGCACCGGCCAAGCTCAGCCTGCTCTCTGTGCCTCGGCAGTGTCCCTCTGCCCCCTCTGCCCTGCGCAGACCTGGCCTCCTGGGGCTCCCGCTCCACCCAGGGGAGCCGCGGCAGCTCCGGCAATGGCCATGTCCCCTCCTACAGGCTTCATCCCTCCTTCAGGGCCTCCTACAGAGCCTCGCCATGGGACCCTGGTTGGCTGATGGCCAGAGACCCCAGCACTGCTTCCTAGAGCCAGGGGTGGTGGGCTGTGATGGCTAGAAGCACCTCTCAGCCCTTGGCAGCTACTCTCCAACCTCTTTGTGGCTTGCACACCCCGAGCAGTGTTCAGCCTCACAGGGCCCAAGAAGCCCTTTAGTTTCCAAGCAGGCCCCACTTCCCAGAGCTCACCACAGCCGGGTTAGCTGCAGATCTCCACTCAGAGGGGAACAGAGCCCAACTCAAGCCTGTTCAAGCAAAAAAGGAACTAGGACCCCGTACATTCCCTGAAACAACTAGCTGCAGGTCTGGGTGGATCCAGCAGCTTGTGGGGGCGGGGCTTGGGGTCCCATCTTGCTCCCCAGCTCTCCAACGAGCTCCCCACTGCTGGCAGGCAGGCTGGTGGCACCAGGCCTTCAAGATGCATGCTCACCAATGCAGTAGCCCCCGCCGAAAGTGTCAGAAAAGGCTGGGAGGCCCCGACCTCGGGAGCATCAGGAAGCGTCCACCCAATTCAAACAGACTGGGGTCCCCATGGGAAAGCAGGCTTCTGCCTGGAGCAGATTCTGAGGTGGGCGTTTGCCTGATGGATGTTTACTGGGGAAAGCTGGTAGGGGCAGCTCCTGTGAGGAGGCAGAGCGGGAGAATGGACTGGGTGCTGTGGTCCTGGGGCCTCGGCCAGCCCCATAACGGCCCCTGGAGCTGGGATGCCCCTGCAGAGCTGTGCCAACCTGGGGCGAGAGGTCCAGGACTGTGTCAGCCAGTCCCGGGGGTTAGGCTGCCCTTGGGTGGGGGCAGCGAGGACATTGCTTCCAGTCAAAGGCCATTCCCTGAGAGGGACCCAGCTAGGAGCTGGCAGCAAGTGACTCTCAGCAGTGGGAACAGGGTCTTCATGGAGGCCATTCCAAGTCCAAGGCCGGGCAGGGGACAGGCTTGGAGCCGGAAAGCAAGCACTCCCGAGGCTTCTGCCAGCCTGGGCAGCTCTCCACGGGGGGTCCAATTGGCTGTTTGTGGCTCCCTTGCCCACCTGAAGCCTGAGGCTCATGTGGGCTTGACTTACAACAGCTGAACTCAAAGCAAAAATAGAGGACGGAACGCAGCCGGGGGAAGAGCCAGGCTCTCAGGAAGACATGGGAGCGGGGAGCCCACACAGGGAGGACCGCACACATCCTAACATCAGCACAGCCCTCGGCAGCGTGCAAAGCCCTCACAATAGCCCTGTGACGTGCATGGGACCCGCGCTGTGGGATGTCGGAAAGGGAGAGTTAAAGCCGGGGAAATTCCAGAGGAGGGCTGGAGGACAGATCCTGCCTGGGGTTTCAGGATTCTGGAAGCTCCTCCTACCTCGGGGCCCTGCTGAACCTGACTCCGGTCACGCAGGTGGCCGGGGACCCTGCTGAACCTGACTCCGGCCACGCAGGTGGCCCGGGACCCTGCTGAACCTGACTCCGGCCATGCAGGTGGTCTGGGGATGGGAGGCAGACAGGCCGCACTGGGGGAGACCCTGCTCCAAGCTCAGAGGGGTGCTGGCTGCCAGCGCAGGAGTGAGCACAGGGCTCCACTGACACCCAGCTGTCCAGCTGTCCTGGGCCCAGCCCTGTCTGGGTCCCTGGCCCCTGCCCCCTTACCCATCCCACCCCAGGCTTTGTACCCAGCTGGGAGGCAGAGACCACGCTGCGAAGCACTGCAGTGACTCACGCGGCTCCTCCTCACTTTATTTTTATCTCCATCGAGCCCTATAAATACAGCAATGATCACCAAATACAGTCAATATTCCCAGCGCCTCCCGCCCCCGGCGCTGGCCCACCGTCACCAGGGGGAGGCCAGTGAGCGGCCCATCCACACAGCAGGGGCACCAAACGGCGGAGCGGCGGGTCCCCGGCTTCCCCCAGGACAGACCCGCATCCCCTTGCCTGGATGGTCTGGGATCCCCCTTCTTTCTTCTCAGTTCTGGTGCCAAGCACGAATAGTGTATTTTCCTCTGCTGGGGACCTGGCTGTCTGTTTTCCTGTCTGAGACAGGAGTGAGAATCAGGGTGGGTTGTGTGCGGTCGGCTCCCAGTGTCTGCTCCGGGTGGTGGGGTGGGCAGGGGCTTTGCTGGTGTTGGTCGCTGCTGCCCTCCAGTGCCTGGGTCAAGGTCCTTGATGAATGTTTTTGGGGTGAGTGAAGGACTGAGCGAGTGCATGGATGGCCTGAGAGCACAGCCTCGCGTGCCCGGGATGAGGGGCTGGGTGGGGATGATGCCACAGTGCTCATCAGAGCACCTGCTGCCCCTCACCTCCCTGCAGCCACTGGACAAGACAGGAATGGTCCCTGTCCCCACCACAGATGGGAAGGCCTCCTTACCTCTGTCAAGGCATGGATGGAAGCTGGGGCCTGGAGGCCAACCTCGCAGGGTGGACGGGAGGCACCCAGGTTGAGGTCGGGGCTTGGAAACCCAAAATTCCACACACATGGCCCCCAATCTGTGCCAAGCTTCACAGACATATTTCCACATGGTTGGTCTCAAGTGCCCGTTTCCTGGACAAGAAAGTGAGGCCCAGAGAGGTAGAGTGACTTGTTCAAGGTCACACAGCAAGAGAGAGCTGAGGTTTGAACCCAAGCTTGCTGAGATTTTTGTCCACGCCCAGGGATGAAGCTCCTAGTGCCTTCAGAATCTGAGTCTCACCTGGGTGAGGCCAGGCCGGTGGGGAAGGCCACTGCCCAGCCACTCAGACAGGCTCAGGGCCCTCAGCTGCTGTCCCCCACCACTGCCACTGGTGCCCCCCATTAGCCCCTGTCCACCGGGTCCCCACAGCCTGAAGTCCTGCCCCAGGCCCCTCTCTGTCACCGTGAGCTCCATACACACTAGGGGGAAGAAGGGAGGGGTAGTCCTCCATGCCAGAGAATCATGGGGTCACACGGAGCTGCAGAGGTGCCTCCTCTCCTGAAGGCAGTCCTGCCACCCACAGCCCCAGGAGGGCCCCTCCCTGAGCACACCAGGGCTCAGGAGCACTCCCACCCCAGCCTCCTTAACAGATCCAGCTGGGAGCTGGTTCTTCCTTGATTGAAAGGCGGGCTGCAGGCAGGCCCCTTCCTCTCCTCTGTCCATGTGAGAAAGTATGTGCATGTGTGTGAGAACATGAGCATCTGTGTGTGAGGGAATGTGTGCATGTGTAAATATGCATGTCTGTCAGTGTGAGGGGGTGTATGCGTGGGTGTGAGAATGTGCGTGTCTGTGCATGTGATGGAGTGTGTGCACATGTGAGAACATGAGTGTGTGTGAGAGAATGTACATGTGACAGTGTGTGCATGTGTGAGAACATGTGTGTCTGTGTGTGTGCATGTGTAAACATGCATGTCTGTGTACGTGATGGAGCATGTGCATGTGTGAGAACGTGCATGTCTGTGTGTGCATGTGTAAACATGCATGTCTGTGTACGTGACGGTGTGCATGTGTGAGAACATGAGTGTCTGTGTGTGAGAGAGTGTGTGGATGTGTAAACTTGCATGTCTGTGCATGTGAGGGTGTGTGTGCATGTGTAAACATGCTCTGCATGTGAGGGGGTGTGCGCACATGTGTGAACATGTGTATCTGTGCATGTGAGGGAGTGTGTGCACGTGTACATATACATGTCTGTGAATGTGAGGGGGTGTATGCATATGTGTGAGAACATGTGTGTGTGTGAGGGAGTGTGTGCATGTGTGTGTGTGTCAGAACTTGAGTCTGTGTATTTGAGGGAGTGTGTGTATGTGTGATAATGTGCATGCCTGTGCATGTGAGGTAATGTCTTCATGTGTGTGAGAACATGCATATCTGTGTGTGTGAGGGTGTGCATGTGTGTGAGAACGTGCGTGTCTGTGTGTGAGGTATTGTGTGCCTGTGTGTGAACATGAATCTCTGTGCATATGAGGGAGTGTGTGCATGTATGTGAGAACATGCATGTCTTGTGTGAGGGAGTGTGTGCATGTGTGAACACACGTGTCTGTGCATGTAAGGGAGTGCATGTGCATGCACTCTGTGAGGTGTGTTCATGTGTGTGGGGAGTGTGTACATGCATGTGGGAACGTGTGTCTGTGTGAATGTGCATGTGAGGGAGTGTGTGCATTGTGTGAAAACAT
Source organism: Homo sapiens (assembly GCF_000001405.40). NCBI lineage: Eukaryota > Metazoa > Chordata > Mammalia > Primates > Hominidae > Homo > Homo sapiens. The sequence goes on along the minus strand of NC_000008.11, from coordinate 142,414,086 downwards.
GCATGTGTGCATGAGCTGTGTGTGGGATATTTGTGCATGTGTGTAAGGGAGTGTGTGCATGGCTGTGAGAAATATGTGTGTGCATGCACTGTGTGTCTGCACGTGTTATTCAGGGAGCATGTGCATGTGTATGAGAATGTGTGTGTCTGTGTTGCATGTGCTGTGTACATGTCTGTGCATGTATGTGTGAGAACGTATGTGCATATGCTGCATGTCTGTGCATATGTGTGTGTGAGAGAATGTGAATGAGTGGTGTGTGCGTGTGCGTATGTGGGTGTCTGTGCATGTGTGTGTATTTCAGGAGTGTGTGAATGTGTGGTGTGTGTGCGTGTGTGTCTGCTTGTGTGTATTTCAGGAGTGTGTGACTGTGTGGTGTGTGTGCTGTGTGAGATGTGTGTGTGCGTGTGTGCATTGCAGGGGTGTGTGACTGTGTGGTGTGTGTGCGTGTGTGAGAGTGTGTGTGTGGGTCTGTGTGTGTGCATTGCAGGAATGTGTGTGAATGTGTGGTGTGTGCACGTGTGTGTGTGGGTCTGCATGTGTGCATTGCGGGAGTGTGTGAATGTGTGGTGTGTGTGCGTGTGAGTGTGTGTGGGTCTGCGTGTGTGCATTGCAGGAGTGTGTGTGAATGTGTGGTGTGTGTGCGTGTGAGTGTGTGTGGGTCTGCGTGTGTGCATTGCAGGAGTGTGTGTGAATGTGTGGTGTGTGTGCGTGTGAGTGTGTGTGGGTCTGCGTGTGTGCATTGCAGGAGTGTGTGTGAATGTGTGGTGTGTGTGCATGTGGGGCAGGGTGGATGTGTTTAGGGGAGGACCTTAGCAGTGTAGGAATCTCACTCTACAGCTTTGTGAACACCCCAGAAGGCCATCACACCCTTGAGTTTTGGGGGCATACTCTGACAGCTTGGTAGGAGGGGCAGGATGGAGGAGGAAAGGCAGGAGATGGCCGTGGGGAAGGGGAGGTGTCCTATGCCTCAATGGAGAGATGGAGGCTGGGAGGAAGCCACAGGTCCCCCCCAGCCCCGCCCTCCCCCTGAGGCACCCCCCGCGATGTTATAAGGTCTTAGCACCTGAATTCTTTCTTCATGGATTAACGCCCCCCGCCTCCCGACCATGTTTTTCTACTTGTTATCAAAGAGAAGGTGAATCTAAATTGCCTTTCCCCGCCCTACCCCTCACAGGCCAGGCCAGGAGCCCCTGCTGCACTGGAGTCATGCCTGGCACTGTCTTGGCTGCCTTTCCCGGGAGCTCGGCCCCGAGCTTCTCCCTGCTCCAGGCCAGGGCCCACCAAGCAGCAGGTGCGCCCCCCACCCCGCACCTGGCGGCACGGGAGCCTGGTGAATGCATGACAGGTTCAAGGGCCTCTCGCAGCTACCCTGCTTCACTTACAGGGAAAGTGAGGTCCAGGGAGGTGGCAGTAATGCTCCAGGGCTGCCCCAGGCTTCGTGGGGGCAGTGCAGTGGGTTCAGTCTGCGGGTCTGGAGCCAGGACCCAGTGGGGAACAGCAGCAGGGCCCCGGACTCCTGGGTGGGCAGGCAATGAAGCCTTCCCGACACGGCATTGCTTCTCTGAGGGGCAGTGTGGGCTGGGCAAGGGGCAGTGTGGGCTGGGCGAGGGGCAGTGTGGGCTGGGCGAGGGGCCACCTGGTTTGCCCCCCTTGCCAGAAGCCTCAGTTCTGTCCTCCCGCAGGGAATGGTGCCCCACACTGAGAATCAGAACTGAAGACACAGCACTCATTTTCCAGATGGGAAAAGGGAGAAACAGCAAAATACCAATGTTGCTCAGGGCCGCGCCTGCCGGGCTGGTCTGGACCCAGCTGGGCTGCCTCTCCCTTGGCCTCCTGCTGTCGCCACTGAGCATCACCTGGGCATGGCCACCCTGCCAGGGGCTGGATGCTTGTCCAGGGTGGTGATAGCTCCTTCCTGGGCCCTTCCCCATGTGGCACAGGGGAGCTGTGTTGGGTCCGCACCGCTCATCTGTCTTCATGATACCGGTGAGTTCTCTCCCTGCAACCTTGATGAAAACACAGAGAGAGGCCTGGGCGGTCAGGACGATTCCACCCAGGAATGCTGCCCCGTGGGCTGGAGGCCACCATCCCATGGCCCCTGAGGCCCTGGGAGCTCTCGGCATGCAGCCCAAGGGAGCACCCTGATGAGATCCAGCCACGATGACTTTTCTCTTGACGTCCACGACCTCCCAGGAACCAGAGGTACTTGTCTGTCCTGGTGCTGGGCCCCTCCCAGCACTGCACCCAGGCCCCTTGGAGCTGGGGAGAGTGATGGGGTACAGGCCCCGGGTCACAGGGGAGAATGTCTGGCCCTCCCCTCAGCACCTCGTCTGCTCTTCAGAGCCCATTTCTCAGCCACGGGGAAGCTGGGGTGTCTGGTTCAGAAAGGGATGATGGCGCTGCAGAGAGCGGTGGGGACCCCAAAGGCAGGGGAGAGGCCATCCTGATGAGGGCAGGGCTCAGGCCCCTGGAGATTTTCCCGCAATCCAGTGGAGAGGGAAACGCACTGGCTGGGGAGCCAGGAACTCAGTTCTGCCCCCACTGCTGGGTAGCTTTGGGGGCCACTTCCCTGCTCCAGGCCTCAGTTTCCTCCAGAATATTCCAGATGATCCTCAAGACCCCTTCCAGGTCAGTCACTCTAAGTCTATCATTCATTAATTCACCTTCTATCTAATTCATTCATCCAACAAACACACAATGAAGAGCAGTAATGGCCAGGTGCCAGCAAGGAGGAGTTCCTCCATTTGGGGGTGGGGGGACAACACAGTCAGCACCCAGCAGGCAGGAAGGTTGGGCCTGCAGAGCTTAGAGGAGGCCCCAGAGCTGGGCCGAGGGGTCAGGAAGGCTTCTTGGAGCAGGTGGTAGAGAGTGTGCAGAGGTGCAACCCTAAAGGATGAGCGGGTTACCCTCCAGGCAGAGGCCCAGGCTGTGCCAACACAGGAGTTGGACGCAGGCGTGTGGAGAACCAGGAGCTCTGGCTGCTGTAGTCAGAGGCCTGGGACACTGGGCAGGTGCTTGGATGTAAGCCTGGCATGACGCATGGCGCCAGAAGGCCTCAAGCAGGCAGTTTCCCAGGGAGACCAGGTGTGTAAGCCAAGCAGAGAGGGGCACTGCTGGGCAGGGCCTGGGGCCGGGCACACCCCGGCAACCTCGAGGACCCCTTCTGCTTCCATCAACAACCTAGGAGGTGCCCCCCCCACCCCCCACAGTTGCTTTCAGCCCACACACAGCACTGTCGTGAGCTTTGGCAGCACGCTTGCTGGGGAGGGAGCCCCTGGAAGTACAAACTGTTGTGATTTTGCAAAACGCTGTTCTCCCTGATTTTTACCTTAGCTCGTTAGCATCTCATTACCGTGTTTCCCTGTGTGCAGAAGTCGGGGTGTTTTGGGTTTCTGAGTGGGCATGGAGGCTGATTTCAGCACAGCGGAGTCAACTCCAGCTTCTGTGAGTATAAGAATGTTTGTGACTGTATGTGAGTATCTGGGAGTGCATTTGTGTGCAGATGTGAAGAGAGGTGGGGGCCAAGGGTGGGAGGAGGTGTGGGCAAGTCCCTACATGCCATGTCTGGAATAGGAGTTGGGGCAGAAAGTGATGCAGGAGGTGGATGTGGCAACCTTCTCCAGCAGCCATGTTAGAGCCACATTGCTCCTGCCTGGCAAACTCCTACTCATCCTTCAACACCCAGCCCAAATGCTCCTTCTCTGGGAAACCTCTCCAACATCCTGGACAGAACGTAGTGTTTCCTCATATCACCTTCTAACAACAGTCTCATGGTCCAGCGGTGACCCCTTTGGCTGGTCTGCCACCTCTTCAACTTCCGAGATACCCTGAGGGCATCATGCTGTGTTCCTTAGCTCCCATGCCTGGCTTTGGTGCTTGGGCATCCATGCAAGATGTCAATGGCAAATGCTCACCCACACACAATGCATGAGCTCGCATGTTCCAGGGCTTCCAGAGGGCCAGGCCCTGTGCTCAGCACTGTTCCAGGTTTCTCTTGCATCGACTCACTCAAGCCTCAGGTTGGCTCCACGGAGCTGGGAACTTTTTGGTGTGCATAGCACCGATGAGGAGGCTGATGCGCTGGGCCACCCAGCAGGCACACGGTGGAGCCAGGGGTCAAACCACACTCCCTGCCTCCAGGCTGAAAGGGCCCCAGGGATTGTCTGGGAGGCTGGAGCTTCTGGTGGCTCAGCTGGAGGGAGCACAGAGCAGGGAGGAGGGATATGAAGTGCGTCTGTCCCTAAACCGACCCTCATTACCGAGAGAATAATACGTGCCTTTGCAGAGCAGCTCATAGGATAACAGGTGGGCTGTGTCAGTGAAATGCGTCCCAGCATGGGGCTTCTTCAGCCCCTGCCCCTCAAGGGACGGCTTGGCTCAGCTCCTTGAAGAGCTGCAGAGGCAGGGCCAGGAGGGAGAGCGCTTGCCCTCGGCCCTGCCCTGAGCGCTCACCAGGTCTCCCCCAGGGGAACCCAAAGGTCAGGGCGCAGTCTTCTGCTCTTTCTGCCCCCAGCCTGGGGGATGAGGGCATGTCTTGTTCCTCCACAGGCCCAGGGCTGCCCACTCGAGGTGGCAGAGGTGGCCGCCTTCTCCCTCCCTGACACTCAAATGATCCCCCTGTCATTTGCTCGTCTTCCTCATCCATGCACAAGCTCCCCATTCATCCCCCTCTCCGCAATAGGATGAGGCCTCTCTCCTGGGACACGATGCCCCTTCCTCAAGCGCCCCAAGTGGACGTCTAGAATGCAGGAAGGGGAGGCTGAGGGCCTGCAGCAGGCGGCCCCTTCCCCTCTCTCCTTCTCTTTTCACTCAACCCTTGTCCACTCAACTCAGTGACTCCCAGGACAAGAACGAGAGCCTTGGGACCTGTTCCTTCCCTCTTGTGGCTCCGAGGCTGCTGGGCGGCCCTGCCTCCTGGCCACAGGCAGATGTACAGGGAAGGATGGCAGGGCGTGCTGCACCCACTCCCGCACGGGGCCAGCCACATGGGCCTTAGACGACAAGAGGGGTCGGAAGTGTGGCTGCATCAGGGGGAGAATAGGGGAGCATTCAGGGAGCAGCTGCCGCCACAGTCACCATCGTGTTCATGCTTATGCCTCTCATCGCGGGCTCTCACACGTGGGTACATGCCCTCAGCCCCACTCACCAGTGGCTCCTGATGGTTTCTAAGGTGTCCACCAAGAAGCCAGGTGCCAGCGTGCACGTCTAGGATGCTCACTGCCCAGCGTGCATGTCTAGGATGCTCACTGCCCAGCGTGAAGTGTCCTGGTCTCATTTGGGTACCAGGTCTAAATCCAAACAGCGGACACACAAGAACCACACATTCAGAACCAAAACGTGTGCTGTTGACTGTAAAAGAAGTGGTGAATGATAGCATTTTCAAAGTCCCTTCAGAGGCTGGGTGCAGTGGCTCATGCCTATAATCCCAGCACTTTGGAAAGCTGAGCCAGGTGAATCGCTTGAGTCCAGGAGTTTGAGACCAGCCTGGGCAACATGGCGAAACCCTGTCTCAAATAAAAAAACACAAAATACAAACAAAATGAGCTGTAGTCCCAGCTACTAGGGAGGATGAGATGAGAGGATTGCTTGAGCCTGGGAGGTCAGGGCTGCAGTGAGCTGATTGCACCACCGCACTCCAGCTGGGCAACACAGCAAGACCCTGTGTCTAAAAAAAAAAAAAAAAAAAATGGAAGCAGAACAAAATAAAGTCCCCTCGGCTCACTGGTTACTCCACAGGGCTATGACTTCGTGGCTGTTACAGGCTGAATGTGTGGAGAGGGGAGGTGCCATGACGAGGAGGCAGAGACCAAGCCTGGGGTGAGGTGACATGGGCTGGGCCCAGAGTGGCCCGGTGCTGGTCTGAGACCCTGTACGTGTCCCTCCCCTACCAGGTTTCTCACCTGTGGAATGAGGAGGAGCCAGGAGATGGGCCGTCTGAACCCTCCCGACCCCAAGCAGCTGGAGGGGTCAGGATGTGTCCACAGAGGGGAGTGGGACGTGGACGTTGCTGGCTCCTCTCTCGCCATGGTACTCACAGCTCACCCCCCAGAAACGCTACCCCTCAAGACTTGCCCATTTTGGTCTCCTCATTGATGGGCTTTCCCTGATCCCCATCCCCCCGGGTGCCCCCACGCCCCTGATCGCTCCTGCAGGGCCTCAGCACAGGTTCCCAGCACACACGTGTGTGATTTGCAGGTTGTCGACATTGGCCTGCCTGCCAGGTGGTGCACAGGGCTGTGTCCTGATGCAGAGACTGCCAGGTAACCCCAACCTTCCCTTTTTACTCAGTGCAAGAGTCCAGCTCTTAGCTGAGAACACAGCCCCTGGGGTGGAACATGTCCTAGCCTCCTCTGCAGCTCGAAGTACCCGAGACCCAGCTGTGGCCAAGGGGGGCTGTAAGCAGAGGTGAGGTGTGCAAAATCCAGGCAGCATCCCTAAAAGCACGGGTTGCAAGGTTGGGAAGAGTATGCCAATGTTTCCTCCCTGCTGGCTGAAAGCAGACATGATGGCTGGAGCTTCAACAGCCGTCTGGTACCGTGAGGCAAAAGGCCTATTTGGGGATTGATGGGGCAACCAGACTAAGGGGGCCTGGGGTCCTGATGATTGTGAGGCCACCTTTCCAGTCCTACTGCCTACCTGGACATAAAAATATCACATTAAAAGCAACCGTCAATCAAGCCACTGTTATTTGGGTTGTTCTGTCATCAGCAACCAAATCAAACTGGATGCTATCCCCAGATCCTAGCATGTTGCGCGGCGTGGAAGTAAAGCTTGTTCAATGAGTGAAAGAGGAGACAGGCTTTGCCGATGAGATGAACTGTGGCAGGAAAGAAACGGGCAGCTGTGCCCAGCAGCAGGCCTAGCAGTGGCTGTGGAATCTGGGGGGACTGCACCCTTGCAGGGCGGAGACTCCTCCTGTCCCCACGTCCCCACCTGCTGATCTGAGGCTCATGGATGCCAGGAGGGGGTCGGGGAGTGGGAAGCATTCCCAGGAAGGGTGGCAAGTGTCCTTTCCTGGACGATGCATCAGCAAGAACAGCACTCCACATGCTTGTTGATGGATTTTCTATTCTTTTACTTCATTTTTCTTTTTGTCACTCCTGCTCCATGTTAAACACCTTGGGAGGCTGTTATGCACATCAGGATGGAGTTGGTTTCTAAGAGCCTGGTCTCTGATGACGCAGACTGAGTCTTGAATGGTCAGACCACTGTCCTGTGCTGGGGCTGTGTCAGGCCCTTCCCAGAGACTCCCACGTGTCCCCTCATGACACTGCCTCTGCGTGGGTGACAAGGGAATGGACCGCCACCCTCCCACACACCCCATGCCCTTGGTTCTGCCCAGCCCTTTACCAACCTCACTCTTGGGCAGGCCTCATGACCGCTCTGCCCCTGCATTGCGGCTTTGGTGAACAAGCCTAGAGAAGGTGTGCCTCAGGCTGAGCATCACACAGCAAGACAGGGCTTAGTCTGGTGTTAGGACCAAAGTTTCTTCTCCTCCTCGTCTTTTTATTTTTTAAGATGTGGTTGGAAGCCCGGGCTGCATGGGGACATGTGGAAAACAGGCACCTGAGAGTGTGGCTCCCGCGCCCTCATGCCTCACAAGCTCCTCCAGGCTGTTCCAGGTGTGGGGCACTGTGTGTTCCAGGTGTGTGGGGCCATGACGCGCCCTTGGGGCCTGCCCGCAAGGAGCCATCGTTGTTGAGGGGCAGGACGCAGCTAATAGAACGATGTCCCACTCCCGTGAGCTTAGGAGCCCAAATCAGCTACAATGGAAGTGGCACTGGCTTCAGTTACAGAAAACCTGACGAAATCCAATGAGGCAGACCCATAAAGGGAGCAGGGGCTTGTTCTCCCCATGGTGATGAGTCTGACGGTGCCATTGGGGCACCAAGGCAGCTGCTCACATCCTCAGCTTGGGACCCTGCCCCTTGCTGGCCACATGGCTGCTGTCCTCGGGATGCCGTGCCCACACTTCAGGCTGGAGCCAGGAGAAAGGAAGACTGTCAGTGAGGTGGGTGGCCACAGCTGCCCCTTCCAAAGGACCAGGAGGCTCGATTGTGCCTCCTGCAGTCATCCCCTGGGCAAACAGTGTCACAGCTGGCCCAGCTGCTGGTGAGGCTGGCTACATTGATGCCTTGAACAAAACTGGGGTTCTGTTGCTAAGGGACAAAGGAGGCCTGGGTAATAGTGAGGGCGGCTCGGCGGGGTTGGTGGGTGCAGGAATCAAGGACTGAGTGCCCGTGGGCTTTGCTGGAGCAGAAGCTGTGCTGGGAGCAGAGCAGGAGGTGCACAGGCCTTCTCCTGTCCAGGCAGGGGCTGCAGGGGAGCAAGGGATGGTCTCCTGAGCAGGTGACATTGAAGCCAGGCAGCAGAGGGTAGAGAGGAAGGGTGGGAGGGTGGGGAAACTCACGACAAAGCCATAGGTTGACACTGACCTGGAAATTCAGCTTAAACCCTGAGAAGTCCATGCTACTATTCAGAGAGGGAGCATTTCTGAGGTTGGCTTTAGTGGGTGCTGCCTCAACGTTCCTTCCGAAGGCCTTGGAACCACCCCCTAACCTTGTTGCCCACATTCCCTCTGGGACCTGGAATGGTAGATCCAATTTGGGGGGTGCCAGCTGAGGACCAGGCAACCCCCACCCCCTTAGGTAACAGAACTCAGCGTCCTGGGGCCAATCCCACTTATTCACCCTGTTGGTCTCACTGGTTGGCCAAGGGGTGGGACCAGAGTTCTTCCCAGGGAGTCCTGCTTCTCTGGAGGAAGGAGGGAGCCCAGAGCTGCCCGAGGTCATGTGATGACCTCTTCCAGGGAGGGGCAGAGATGAGGGAAGGGAGGGGAGCCCCGGCCCTAGGCCCAGGCAGCTATTGGCTATTTCCCTCATCCCTTCCTGAGGACCCCTTAGCATCCTCCTCCCCCTCCCCATCGGCTCAGCCTGAGGGAGTGGGCTCCTGGCTCTTCCACGGAGAGGTTTACCTTCCCTGACTTGCTGTGGGGCACTCAGGCGGGCTCATCCCAGATTTCGGAGGAGCCAACAGGTACGGAGCCCCTCCTCTGGTGGTTCCTACCCACGCTAGACCATTCCCCCTGCAGTGTCCAGGCACAGAAACAGCCCCATATACGCCTTGTATGGTCAAGAAAGCGGCTCCTGGAGGTGGTCTGCCCTGGGAGGAAAGGGCTTCACTTTCCCCTCCTTTGCACACCTGAACACGGAGCTGTCAGAGGAGGCTGAGTGAGGTGGCGGCCAGACAGACAGCGCCAGCCACGGAAGGGGAGGTGGGCACCGTGCCAGGCACCCGGCATCCTCAGTCCAGACTGACAGCTCTCAGACAGGCATTGGTCCTGGCGAACCTTCCCCTTCAAGTGGAAGCTGGGGGGTCAGCAGTCATGGGCATCCTCCCTGGTTAGGAGCCGGCTTCCCTGCACTCTAGCTGTCCTAGCCGAAGAGTGAAGCCCTGTCCAAATCATGGCGAGGCTGCAAGACAGGCACACACTACTGCCTCCTGGGAGCCCAGGGGAGACTGAAATACACCAAGGCAAGGAGCGTGGGTGGGCCCAGGACAGGCCGGCCTGAGCACCAGCCCAGGAATGCTGGTGGGCATGTGCCCCTCTTCCCTCCCACCCATGTGTGCACACATTTGTGCCATATACTACCGTTCCCATGTTTGCGCCTGGGCACACACTTGTGCCAGCATACACACACTTGTGCACTTGCACCTGGTGTCCAGGAACACTCCCTCAGCTCACAGACGTGCGCTGTGTGCACACAGTACCACGCAGTGTCCACGAGCACACTTTTGTGTTCGTGTTCACAGAACCCGTGTGCGCACACATGCACAGTCCTGGGCTGCAGAGAACCCCAGCCAGCGGGGCGGTGGGGGAAGGGGAGGGCACGCCTCCTTCCCAGGAGCTCAGCAAGGCTGTCCGCGGGAGCCCAGGGCTGCCCGCAGGGCTTTGGCGTAGGCCTCGCAAGCACAGCAAGCATCACAGAGTGAGGGCGGCGGGAGAACCTCCGCTTGCCGGAGAAGGTGCAGCGGACTCATCACTCTTGCTCTCCTGCCTTGGGTGTGACTCTTGGTTCACCTCTGGGGAAACAGGCTGAAAGGTGACCCTGGCGGCCCAAGGACACACACCCATTGTCCGCAGGTTCCTCCCAGGTGTCTTCTCCAGCAGGTCACCGGGAGAGCGAGGGGCTGGAGTCTTTCGGGAGCTCAGTGCCCGCAGGCAGAGCAGGGAAAGGGAGGCGCCCCAGGCCCCTGCGGAAGGAGGTCCCAGGAGGGTCTCCGCAAGGGGCTCCCTACTCTGCACTTCAGCTCCTCCAGGGAGGGGCTGCGACCTCGGGCAAAGGTCCCTCAGATGTCTTGAGACTCAGTTTCCTCGTTGGTGACACTGGGAGTCCGGAGTCCCCGCGGGGCCTGCCAGCCCCCGGCCGAGCACGGCCCCACGCGGAGCCCGTGCAGCCTGACTTGGGGCCCAACGCCCGTCCCCGCAGCGCGAGACGCGCAGGTGCCCGGCCCTGCCCTGGCCGAGACCCGCCGCCTGCGCAGCCCCGCAGAAGCTCCAGCTTTGGCCCGTGTGAGGTCCGGGCTCGGCCTGGGCTGGGCGGAGCCCGCTCCCGAAGCGCCTCAGCGCCGGGCCGCCGCCCTCCACGTGACCTCCACCTTCGCCGTCATCCCCATATGCAAAACGGGGAAACGGGGAAACGGAGGCCCACCACCAGGCAAGTGAGGACAGCCGACTCGCGCGCGCACCCGCAGAGGCCTCTTGGCCCAGCCGACCGCCGTCCGCGCCGCTTCCGGCTCCGCGCCGGGGCCTCTGGGGCGGGTAGTCCCCGCGCGCGTCCGGGACCGGCGGCCATTGGCTGGTGCGGGAGGGGGCGCGCACGCCGGCGGCGGGAGGGGCCGTCACGTGATGTTTGGGTGCCCGCCCCGCCCGCCTCGCCCGCCGTGAGCGCCCGGAGCGGTCCGCGAGCCACCGAGGCCCAGGTGAGGCGGCGGCGGTGGGGCTGGGGCCTGGCCGGGGCCGGGCGTGGGGCGGCGAGGGCGAGGCGGCCGGGGACCAGCGCGGGGCCCGGAGCCCGGCGGGGGCCGCGGCGTGGCGTGGTATGGGGCTTGCGGGAGGCCGGGCGGGGGGCGGGGCCGCGCCGGTGGGGAGGGGAGGGGGCGGGACCGTGCCGGGGGTGGACCCCAGGGGCGCCAGGGACCCTGAGCCGCAGCCCCGCGAGAGCGCCGCATTTCGGGGACCGGCCCGCGGGCACATGAGCCCCTCGGCGGGTCCTCGCGCGCTGTTCAGACCCCAGGTCGGTGGGCTCTGGGCCGGGCAGCCGGTGCCTGCGCCTGGAGGTCAGTGCCGTCCCGGGGAGCGCCCCAGCGCCTACTTGCTGGGTGCAAGGGTTGGTGCCCTGCAGCTCAACGAGCGGAGCCCGCCTTCGAGCCTGAGCTGGGGACCCCGTTCCTGTGTGCTTGCCTCTCCATGCCTTTCTGTCCCTTCTCCAAGTTGTAAGAAGGTGCTTCCTGGGTACTGGGGCCTGCGACATCCCCACCAGGGACTTTCAGGTGATGTTGATCTGTGCTGCCCCCGCAGAAACTCTCCAGGGACCTCGTGTTTGTTGCCTCATGGCGCACTCCTCCTGCTCTGGAAGCTCTGCCATGTCCAGTGTGGTAGCCCCTAGGCATGTGTGGCTGTTTACATTGTCCTTAACGTGAAGGATTCAGGTCCTCCGTGCCAGTGGTCACATGTCCGACACTCAGTAGCCACACGTGTCTGGTGGCGGCTGTGTGGGGCAGCGCGGGTAGGGAACACTGCTTATCACAGGAAGTTCTGTGAGCGGTGTGGTGCGGCTCAAAATGGGCCTCGCGCGTGCTGCTCCGCCGGTGCTTCTCCGCCCCTCATCCTGCCAGGTGCCTTTCCAGCCACACCTGGCGCCCTTTCTTTCCTCTGCTGCACACTTGCCTCTTCTTTTAGTTCCTGGCTCGCTCCTGGCTTGGGGGCAGCTCCGCTTCCGGTATGTCTGAGCTCACCTTTCTGACCGCTCTCCCTACAGTATTTCTTGTTTGTCATTGTCACTCATCTGCTTGTTTTCTGTTTTATCTTTAGTGCCTGTGAGACAGGGGTGGGGATTGTTGCTTAGGATACTCCCAGTGTGGACACAGTATTGAGTTGAAAGAAAGCTGAAGTTTGTTAGTACTGGAGTGCTTCCCCCGACTGAACCGCTGCTTTCATACCGTTCGACCCCATACATCACAGGACCGCAGCAGAAATCTGGTAGAACAAATGTTTGGACACAGCAGCACAGGCCGTGAATGCAGGTGGCTGTGGGAGGCTGGCAAATCCAAGACGACTTCCTGGAGGAGGTTGAGTTTTGGCTGGGTCACCTCTGTTTCTCTCCTCCTCTGCTGGCCTGGCCCCATGAACATCTGGCAGCCTCTGGCTGCTCTGACTCTATCCAGGAACCTTCCCTGGACACTTCCCCTGAGTCTGGCCTTCTGTAGATGCTGGGTCAAGAGCCTAGACCTAGGCACTCAGTCTAGGGGCTCATGGGCAGCCAGGTGTCCCTAAGTCTCTTCCACAGCTCCTCATGGCCTGCAGAGCGAGGTCCTGGGTTTGGCTCCTGCCAGCAGCTCCTGCCACATCTTCAGTCCCTGCTTTATGTCCCTGACAGTGCAGTCATTTTTCCTGCATAGTCTGTGGCTTTTCTCACTGGTGTGCCTGTCGATGCAGAGCCTTCTGCTTGGAATGCCCTGGCACTCCCGTGTTTGTCTCTCCTGTGTGCCTGGGAGCCTCTGTGGCATAGACCTCTGCTGTGTCACCCTTGTGTCCTGAGCACCCCACCCAGCACCGAGAGTAGGATAAGCACCTAGCAGGTTTTGATGAATAAATACACTGGACACGTAAGACTTTGAGGAGAATGTGGTGAGAAGTACAGCTAGGTCACGATGCTGGAGCTTGAGATGGAATCAGGGAGTCACCTTCCAGGTGGGCGGAGTTGGGGAGTCACCTTCCAGGTGGGGAGGAAAGACAAACATGCCTCGACCATGGCTGTACCAAGCCATTCGCGACACGGCGTGGGTGCATCCTTCCACGGTCCTGAAAAGGGGTGGTGAGTGTCTGCAGGTGGTGACACTAATGATACTGGTCACAGCACCTCCTGGTGCCAGGTGACCAGGGAACTGTGTTCATTACTCAGTTTACTCTCACAGTCACCCTGGGAGGAGGGTCTGTTGTCCCCATTTCCCAGATGGAGAGACTGAGACACAGAATGGTGATCTTGCCGTGAGTCCCTCAACTGTCGGGTTCTAGGACGTCATTTGTTCAGCCCAGACAGACACATTTCTTCCGAGGTTGTTGGGCGTTTTATCCCTCTGAGTGGTGTTTGGCCATAAGAACAGTTGGCTAGGGGTTAGGCTGTCTTCTTCTTATTTTTATTTTTTGACACGGAGTCCTGCCTCAGCCTCCCAAGTAGCTGGGACTACAGGTGCCTGCCACCACACCTGGCTAATTTTTTGTATTTTTAGTAGAGACGGGGTTTCATCATGTTGGCCAGGATGGTCTTGATTTCTTGACCTTGTGATCCACCCACCTCGGCCTCCCAAAGTGCTGGGATTACAGGCATGAGCCACCGTGCCCGGCCCTTTTAATTTTTTTTGAGAAGCTTCCCTCTTGTTGCCCAGGCTGGAGGGCGTTGGTGCAATCTTGGTTCACTGCAACCTCTGCCTCCTGGGTTCAAGTGATTTTCCTGCCTCAGCCTTCCGAGTAGCTGGGATTACAGGGGCCTGCCACCACGCCTGGCTAATGTTTTGTATTTTAAATAGAGACGGGGTTTCACCATGTTGGCTAGGCTGGACTCAAACTACTGACCTTTAGGTGATCAACCTGCCTCAGCCTCCCAAAGTGCTGGGATTACAGGCGTGAGCCACTGTGCCCAGCCACTTCTTCTTTTTGGCCAGGCTAGACTCAAGCTCCTGACCTTCAGGTGATCAACCTGCCTGAGCCACACACTGTAATCCCAGGTGTGAGCCACCGTGCCCAGCCACCTCTTTTTTTTTTTTTGAGATAGGCGTGTCTCACTGTGTTGCCCAGTTGCCCAGGCTGGTCTTGAACTCCTGGCCTTAAGCCATCCTCTGGCCTCAGCCTCCCGGAGTGCTGGGATTCCCAGCGTGAGTCATGGCGTCTGGCTCCAGGCTTTTTGTTTTAATGCACACGGGCGTTTCTGTGGCTACTGGGTTTGTTTGGATGGTGTTACTTGCTACAAGTAGACTTTGACCTTGTGGCCCAGTCCAGCTGTCATTCATTGTGTTCTTTAAAGTCTGATTTGTGCATCGTCCATAGTAGCAGACTCCTGAGCAGCCCTCCTCTCAGATTCCTCTGCTTTCTGCTGGGATGCTCAGCCCTGTCTAAACATTTGTGGCATCTGTGTGTGGAGCAGTGGTGACCAAAAGACTAAAGGCAAGAAGGAGTGAGTGAGAGAGTTGGAGAGCTCATGGCCGGCGCTGTCCCTCCAGAGGTGACAGTCAGTTGTTCAGTGTGGATGCTTATGTTTGGCTCTGCTCTCTGTACTGAGGGCATCCTCATCCTCTCCCTCTTGGGCGCATTGAGGCAGCTGGGGAAGATCATCATTCCTCCTGCCCCCACGGTCCCCAGCGCCAGTGGTGGACTCTGTACCTTTCCACACCTCCCTGTCTGCCACCCCACCCGCGGGGAGCTGTGCGTCTCTGAACGTCCATCCAGCTGTGGCCCAGGGCCTGGGGCCCAGTGAATGCCCGATGGGGATTTGCTGAAGACGTGAGGGGTTGTTTCACAGCTGATCTTGAGCCTGTGCTGTTCTTATTCCACTATCCTTCCTGTTAGTGCTGCATGGTGGAGCCATCTGGAAGCTTCCATAGGAAGAGTTTTCTTGGTCTGAGTTCCCTGGCAGAGAAGAAGGGCACTACCAACAATGACAAGCCAGGTGCCTTGAATAGGTTTCTGAAGATGCCTTATGGGCGGGGTGTCCTCACCTACGGAGCCCAGTTGGGCGGTGTCTCCTGCAGGGGCCTTGCTTCGGGGTGTCCTGCTTGCCATCCAGGGCTGTCCTCAGAAGCCAGCTGTGGCTGTCCTGCCTGGCCTTATCCAGGCTATGAGATTCTCTCGTCAACTTGCGGCTTGCTGAGTCTGGGATGGGGGTGAAGGTGGCTCCGTGTGGGCTTCAAATCCGGACTGTGCTGCACAGGGCCCTTCCTTTTTTGTCCTTGGGTAGGTCCTGTTAGGATGTGAACCCACTTGGGGGCCACTGCAGGCAAGCAGGACAGTCTACTGGGTGTTCCTGCCTGGACAGGGTCATTGGCAAGTCCCCAGCCCCTGCCCCTGCCATCAGGGCTGCTGTCTGAGATGTGTAATGTTCTGTGAGACTATGCTAAGGCCATGCCTGGCATGAGTCTTGGGATGGACACAGTGGCAAGCAGGATCAGGCTGTCCTGGCCTTGCTCCGGACACTGCTGTGCACCTTACAGAGCAAGGTCGAGGCAGTGGAGTGAGGAGGTGGAGAGGGCACCTTACAGAGCAAGGTTGAGGCGGTGGAGTGAGGAGGTGGAGAGGGCACCTTACAGAGCAAGGTTGAGGCGGTGGAGTGAGGAGGTGGAGAGGGGAGCTGACTCTGCTGGGGTTGTGCTTTGGCAGGGCTGGGGATGTGCTTTGGGAGGGTTTGGGGGCATATTTTGGGGCTGGAGGTGTGTTTTGGGTAGGGCCGGGGGCATGTTTTGGGCAGGGCTAGGGGTGTGTTTTGGGCAGGGCTGGGGGTGTGTTTTGGGCAGGGCTGGGGACATGTTTTGGGCAGGGCTAGGGGTGTGTTTTGGGCAGGGCTGGGGGTGCGCTTTGGGAGGGTTTGGGGGTGCGTTTTGGGCAGGGCTGGGTAGATACCTGGGAAGAATCCTGGATGCTGGTGAGGCCTGAGCTGTGTCTGGAGAGCTGAGTGGCCTTAGCTGGGGAGGGCAGGAGAGGCAGCTACTCCAGGCAGCGGGAGGCCCAAGGGAAGGCACAGCAGTGCTGGACTCCTAGTAGGCAGGTCTGACTCGGGTCAGCCTGTGAGGGTCTTGGGAGGCAGGGTGAGGCCTGGGCTTTTCTGATGGCTGTTGGTGCTGAGCAGGGAACCCGGGGCCCAGGCTGAGGTTTGCCGAAGAGGTCTGGAGACAGGGCTGGGTGGAGCAGTGCCACACCGAGGGCCTGTGTCTGGAGCCTGCAGGGGCCAGGCTCCATGCCTTGGCACTGTGTGCTGGGTGCCTTGTGGTGGCTGCGCTGTGGGCCCCCTCGATGGATTGGTGGGCTAGCCACGCAGCTGAGTGGACTGGCAGCAGCTGCTGCTCATTGTCCTGGCAACCCTGGGCTTCAGGCTGCAGGCTCGAGCCCTCCCCAGCATGGAAGCCAGTGAGCAGAGCCAGGCACTCACGCTGGCCTGGGAGCCTCTGGCCCAGTGCTGTGGCCAGATCAACTGTTGTTTTCTTCCACAGTGGAAGATTGCCTCGTTTTCTCCCTCTGATTTGCCCTGTGGGGAGGGCTACAACCCAGCCCTGACTTACGTAACATCCAGGTAGGGACACAGCATTGCCACATCTTAGCCGTGGGACCCTGGCCATGTCACTTGGCCCCTCCAGGAGCCCTGCCTTTCCATGTCATTAGTCTGATCCTGCAGCCTCCTGGGAGGTGGGCAGCATTGTGTCTGTCCCAGAGACTTGGAATCTCCGGGCGTCTTGGGGGACATCACCTGAGGGGTGTAGGGAAGAATTCCCAAGGTGCACAGAGGGGCTGTGGAAGGTCAGGGAGTGCAGCCCCAGGGTAGGCGGAGCTGCCTCTCTCCTGTGAGACCCTCGGGCTGCCTCGCCACTGCCACACAGAGGGGCTGTGGAAGGTCAGGGAGTGCAGCCCCAGGGCAGGCGGAGCTGCCTCTCTCCTGTGAGACCCTCGGGCTGCCTCGCCACTGCCACACATAGGGGCTGTGGAAGGTCAGGGAGTGCAGCCCCAGGGCAGGCGGAGCTGCCTCTCTCCTGTGAGACCCTCGGGCTGCCTCGCCACTGCCACACATAGGGGCTGTGGAAGGTCAGGGAGTGCAGCCCCAGGGCAGGTGGAGCTGCCTCTCTCCTGTGAGACCCTCGGGCTGCCTCGCCACTGCTACACACATCACAGAGCTTGCTCTACCTGGTCAGCCATGGCACGGCCAGCTCGCACAGTAGACCTGAGCGTCAGGCTGTCTTGGATTCTGATTATAACAACACCTCCTGCTTTTGACCACAGGGCATCTGTCAGGCACCTGCTAGGCTCTTCCTGCTCCTCAGATCAGGAAACTTCCCAGCCTTGGGAAACTTACCTGAAGTCACGGGGGTGGTAAATGCCCAGCCATGACTTGAGCCCTGGTGTTCTCACCAGGATTCTGATCAGAGGCAGAAATCAGAGGCATTGCTCACCGTTCTGCTGCCCGGCCCACCTGGCGATCCTGCCCTGCTGCTCTCCAGGGGGACCAGGCTGGAAGCAGCTTTACAAACAAAAATTCCCTGTTGAGTTAGAGGATGTTATTAATAATGGCAATTACTGCACTAATAAAGACCTAATCCTGTCCCTCCCTTCCATCTTGAGATGATGTTCCAGAGCAGAGTGTGGCAGGGGTTCACAGGCTTGAAGGAATCCAGGTATGGAGGTTGAGATTTCTGATGGAGAGGGGAGGTGGGCGGAGCTCAAGATTCTTGTTCCCATAAGGCTTGAGGCTAGGAGGTCGGGGTGGTGTGAGCCCCCAGAGGCTGTGGTTGCCTGTGGATGGTGTCTAGCTGAGTCAAGCGTTTCCAGGGCTTTGGGGCCAGGTGCGCGGGTGTGTGCGTGTGTGTGTGTGTGTTTGTGTTTATCGCCTGAGCCTGACCCTGGGTGTCATCTGAGGGGTGCACACTGAACCTGTACCAATGGGAAGCTGGGCATTGGAGGGGTGATGGTGAAGGAGTTGAGTGTGGCATGGTCTGGGGAAGATGAGGGCCAGTGTTCTGAGGGCATGGGTCATCAAGGGTCCTGTCAGAGAGCCACGGACAAAGAGAGCCACAGGCGTCTGCCCTGGACAGAGCCACGGACAAAGAGAGCCACAGGCGTCTGCCCTGGACAGAGCGGGCCACCTTGGCTGCCCTCCATCTGGACCCATGATCCATTCTAGCGAAGTATTTGGAAGGGGACATGTTTTTAAACCAGAGCCCAGAATCAGTCTCTCCCAACATTAGAAAGAAGCAACACAACACAGCAGCCTCCTTCCTGGGCTGGCTGCCCTCGGTGCTAATGAGGAGCTGGATTCCTTGCTGGGAGTCTGACCTCCTTCCCGCTGCTGCTCACTTGTGGGAAGGTGCTGATGAGCGTGGTGTGCTGGGAGTGGGCGCAGGAGGCGGAATTGCAAGTGGGGAGAACCGTTGCTTCTGCTGCTTCGTGGTACCTGGGCGTTTTCGCCGGTCACAGCCTCCAGCCTGGGCCCCTTAATTCTGCATCTTGCTGAGGGGTAGATCCGGCGGTGCCGCCCCCTGGCGACAGATCTTCCTGGCAGCTCCAGCCTCACTGTCACTTGGCATCTGCGGTGCTCCATGGGCTTTCCAGCCCCTGGGAAACCTGCTGCGCTGACTCCGCAGGCTGCCTGCAGCCTGCCCCCCGTGTCTTTGCTGGGGCCGCCCCTCTGCCTGGAGTGGCCCCGACTGGTGACCTCCTGGGCTGTTGAAGTCTCCGCTGGGGGACGCCGTCAGGAGTCAGCCCCATCCCCTCATCCTGAGGGCCTGGTGCCTCCCGGGGAGGGCAAGGTAGAGAGAGGGCTGCAGATTTTGGGAAGTGGCTCTGCGTGGCTTGGGCCTTGTTGCATTGCAGTCATTAGCTTTCCTCCTCCAGGGCCAGGACCTTGTCTTTTCTGTCTCTGTGGTCCCAGCACAGGAAAATGCCCACAGTGGGCACAAGATAACCATGGGAGGAGCTGAGCCTCACCTTTAGGCCGCTCAGCCTTTGATGCACGGGGCCGCCCCCCTTCCCTGCCAGGAGCAGGAAGTGGTGGGGGACAGGAACAGCGATGCTTCCTGCAGGCGGGCAGGTCCTGAATTCCCAGAGCAGCCTCCAAGGTGACACCATCACCCTATCTTACGGAAGGGAGACCGGGTCACCTGCTTGCATCTCTCCTTATGGAGACTTGGCTTCTAGGGCCCTGCACCCTTAGCGCACCTCACTGTCCCCAGGGCGCAGGCACAGCCTGGGATGCTGCCAGCAGAGGAGACTTGGCAGGGCACACAGGGACGTGGACAGGCACGCTGGCAGCTGGGGCGTGGGGAGTGCTGCGGTGACCCTGCGGACCATCCCACAGCTTAGAGCTCAATGGCATGGTGGCCCTGCTGCCCCTGGTTGGAGCAGGGAGGTGGGAGTTGTTTTCTGTCCAACCTGAGAGGTGATGTAGTTTCCCAAGACCATGAAGCAAGCACAGAGCAGAGCTGTGGGAGGAATCCCGTGGGGTCTGGCCGTAGAAACTGTGGCCTGTCATTCCCACACTGCGCCATGGGAAATGGGCCCAGGACTGTGGGGCACTTCCAGGTGAGTCGATTTGTGCCTTGGAACCCCGGAGGTTCTAGTCTTAGACCTGCTGCCATCATCGTCCCTCCCTTTACCCAGAGCAGCTCTGATGTGATCTGTTTCACTTGGTGTTTTCTGAGTACGGTTGTGTTTGGAGAAAAGATTCTGTAGCTACTGCTTTCACTCCCCAGTTTACAGATGGGGAGTAAGAGGTCCGAGCTGTCCGGTCCACCCGCCCTGCTGCTGTGGGGTGCCCACACCCTGGTTCCTTCAGTCTGGCAGGGTGGTCCGATGGGCAGAGCACCTCCCGTCTTTCTGCGTATCTGCCCCCAAAGCTGTTATCTTGACACCTTAACCGGTGTGAGAGGGTATGGAGGCCACTGGAGGCCGCAGGCATAAGCGTGGGGCCCACGGGCAGCCTGCAGGCTTCTGCCTTAGCCAGGGCAGGAGGGCCTCCCAGCCCAGCAAGGAGTGAAGACGGGCAGCCAGCGTGGGCAGAGCTGTGATTGGACGGGTGGAGAATGTAACCTGTATGGTTTTGCTTTCGTAATGAACATCCCTCAGGTTTTAGTAGCCTGAAGCAACAAAGGTGTGTGTTCATTGGGGATTCACAGTTCATTGGCCAGGAGGAACCACACGGCTGCAACCACAAGAGGCCAGGAAGTGCCCCACACTCCCCGAGGGAGGAGAACTGGAAGTCTCGGTTGAGCAGCACGAGGGATGCCACACCAGCACGTAGCCAGGCAGCTTGTGCTGTGAACCGGCCACCTTTGCTGCCCAGGCTTTCCCTCGATTTTCCTCCTGGGCTTCCCTATCTGCAGTAGGAGAGGGTGGGCTGTGTGACACTTCACCTCCCTCTAGGCCTCTGCTCCAGGAGGTGGTGGAGTGGACGGGGCAGGTGCTCGGGGAGTCAGACCAGGGAGAATGTGGCCTCTGCTCTCTCAGCACCTTCGGGCGTGGCGTTTGGCATCTCAGGATCTTTTTGTAAATTAAACTATTGTGACCATTGTAAATTCACATACAGTTGTGAGAAATAATACACAGATCCTGTGCACTCTTCACCCAGTTTTCCCCGTGGTAGCTTTGTGCAGAACGAGGACAGTAGCACAGCCAGCGGATTGGCCGACGCGGCCGCCATGCCAGAGGTTTCCGTCATCACTCAGAGGAGCCCTGTGTCGGTGCCCGTTTCAGCGAAGCCTACCTTGCTTCTGCCATGAACCCTTCCTTAACTCCTGGGAGCCACCAGTCTGCTCTCCATCTCCGTAATGTCGTCAGTTGAAGCGAGTCGTAGAAATGGAATCTTGCAGTGTGTGGCCGGGGATTGGCTTTTTCTATTCGCCATCGTTCCCCGGATGGTTCTCAGGGCTGCTGCAGGGGCCAGGAGTGGTTTCTTCCTGTTGCTGAGAGGCCTGTTCCACGGTGTGGATGGCCCACAGGTTATTCTAATGACCTTTTACTTTACTATTTTGAATAGTTTAGGTAGTTTGACAATTAAAACATGGCAGGAAGCATCCAGTAGAAAGTATCCCTATCCCTGGCCGGCCCAGCCGTCATCTCCACAGCAGCCACTCTTGTGAGTTTCTTTCTTTCTTTTTTTTTTTTTTTCTTTTTCTCCTTTTTTGAGACGGAGTTTCGCTCAGGCTGGAGTGCAGTGGTGCAATCTCGGCTCACCGCAACCTCCACCTCCCAGGTTCAAGCAATTCTCCTGCCTCAGCCTCTTTAGTAGCTGGGATTACAGGCATGTGTCACCATGCCCGGCTAATTTTGTATTTTTAGTAGAGACGGGGTTTCGCCATGTTGGCCCGCGTGGTCTCAAACTCAAACTCCCGACCTCAGGTGATCCGCCCACCTCGGCCTCCTGAAGTGCTGGGATTACAGGTGTGAGCCACCATGCCTGGCCTCTTGTGAGTTTCTCACACAGTCACGTGAAGCATAAGGACGTTTTGGTCAATGATGGATGGCATAGACGAGGGTGGACCTGTAAGATTATACTGGCGCCGAAAAATTCCCGTCACCTGGTGATGTCCTGATGGTCATGATGTAGTGCAGGGTATCACTCACGTGTGTGTGGAGAGCTGGTGCAAGCAGACCTGCTACACTGCCCGTCATCTAACAGTTCAGCACATACGCTACGTAAGACTTGATAATGAACACTATGTTACCGTTCTGTGTATACTATACTTTTTATCGTTATTTTAGAGTGTACTCCTTTTACTTATTAAAAAAAAGTTGGCTGGGTGTGGTGGCTCACGCCTGTAATCCCAGCACTTTGGGAGGCCGAGGTGGGTGGATCACCTGAGGTCAGGAGTTTGAGACCAGTCTGGCCGACATGGTGAAACCCTGTGTACTACAAATGCAAAAATTAGCCGGGCATGGTGGTGCGCCCCTGTAATCCCAGCCACTCGGGAGGCTGAAGCAGGATAATCACTTGAACCTGGGAGACGGAGGTTGCAGTAAACTGAGATCGCACCATTGCACTCCAACTTGGGCAACAAGAGCAAAACTCCGTCTCAAAAAAAGAAAAAAATGAACTGCAAAACAGCCTCAGGCAGGGCCTTCAGGAGGTGTTGTCACGGGATCCCTGGGGTGTCACTTAGACCGTTGGAAACCTCTGTGGCTGGCGGTGCCTCTGCCTGAGTGGTGCTTACACCCGCTAGGCTTGTTCCGCCCACTCAGCCCAGTAGGCTGTGCTCAGCTCGTGCTACCAGCCCAGATCCCACACATGCCAAGGGTGAGCCAGGCATGGAGCAGTGAGGGGCGTGTGGGTGAGCGAACATGGGTCTGGCCACTGTGCACAGCCAGGCATGCCGGCTGCTGCGGCAGGGCGGGCAGCCCTAGGTGCTGGCACAGGTGCTGGCTCCATGCAAGGCTGCGGCTGGACCAGATGTACTGCACACGGCTTCCACTGTGAGCACCCGCGTCTGGATGAGGGGAACGTGGTGGCGCTAGAAGCTTGGAGGCGCCAGGAACCGCAGAGCCCCAAAGAGGGTGCCAGAGCCCTGGCTCAAGGAGTTTCTAGGTCTGGGCTTGCTGAAGAGCTGAAGAGCTGCAGCTCTTCCTTCCTTCTTGTCACCTGCAATGTTGCAAGTGGGGACCGTGTCTATTTTAAAGTCCCCAGCAGTGTACAGCGTCTGTTACAGAGTCCCCAGCAGTGTACAGCATCTGTTACAGAGTCTCCCGCAGTGTACAGCGTCTGTTACAGAGTCCCCAGCAGTGTACAGCGTCTGTTACAGAGTCTCCAGCAGTGTACAGCGTCTGTTACAGAGTCCCCAGCAGTGTACAGCGTCTGTTATAGAGTCCCCAGCAGTGTACAGCGTCTGCTATAGAGTCCCCTGCAGTGTACAGCGTCTGTTACAGAGTCCCCAGCAGTGTACAGCGTCTGTTACAGAGTCCCCAGCAGTGTACAGCGTCTGTTACAGAGTCCCCAGCAGTGTACAGCGTCTGTTAGAGTCCCCAGCAGTGTACAGCGTCTGTTAGAGTCCCCCGCAGTGTACAGCGTCTGTTACAGAGTCCCCCGCAGTGTACAGCGTCTGTTACAGAGTCCCCCGCAGTGTACAGCGTCTGCTATAGAGTCCCCAGCAGTGTACAGCGTCTGCTATAGAGTCCCCTGCAGTGTACAGCGTCTGTTACAGAGTCCCCAGCAGTGTACAGCGTCTGTTACAGAGTCCCCAGCAGTGTACAGCGTCTGTTACGGAGTCCCCCGCAGTGTACAGCGTCTGTTACGGAGTCCCCCGCAGTGTACAGCGTCTGTTACGGAGTCCCCCGCAGTGTACAGCGTCTGTTACGGAGTCCCCCGCAGTGTACAGCGTCTGTTACGGAGTCCCCCGCAGTGTACAGCTTCTGTTACGGAGTCCCCCGCAGTGTACAGCGTCTGTTACGGAGTCCCCCGCAGTGTACAGCTTCTGTTACAGAGTCCCCCGCAGTGTACAGCGTCTGCTATGGAGTCCCCAGCAGTGTACAGCGTCTGCTATAGAGTCCCCTGCAGTGTACAGCGTCTGTTACAGAGTCCCCAGCAGTGTACAGCGTCTGTTACAGAGTCCCCAGCAGTGTACAGCGTCTGTTACGGAGTCCCCCGCAGTGTACAGCGTCTGTTACGGAGTCCCCCGCAGTGTACAGCTTCTGTTACGGAGTCCCCCGCAGTGTACAGCGTCTGTTACGGAGTCCCCCGCAGTGTACAGCTTCTGTTACGGAGTCCCCCGCAGTGTACAGCGTCTGTTACGGAGTCCCCCGCAGTGTACAGCGTCTGTTACGGAGTCCCCCGCAGTGTACAGCGTCTGTTACGGAGTCCCCAGCAGTGTACAGCGTCTGTTATAAAGTCCCCCAAAGTGTACAGTAATGTCCCAGGCCTTCACATTCACTTGCCACTCACTCCCTGACGCACGCAGGCAACTTCTAGTCCTGCAAGCCCCGTTCATGGTAAGTGCCCTATACAGTTGTATCATTTAAAAAAATCCTTAAAACTGTATTTCTGCCGTACCTTTTCTATGTTTAGATATGTATAGATATGCAGATTCTTACCACTCTGTTACAGTTGCCTACAGCATTTAGTACATTTGCCTGCTGTCCAGGTTTATAGCCTGGAGCAATAGATTTTACCACATGGCCTGGGTGTGTATTGGGCTCCAGCATTTGGTGTGTGAAGATATACTCTGTGATGTTTGCACAGTGAGGAAATCATCTAATGATACAGTCCTCAGATTGTATCCCTATGGTTAAGCAAAGAATGACTGTTTGTCCTTCCAGAGCTTCATTATACATTCCAAGCAAACATAAACATTTCTTTTTTGCTTTTTCTTTCACAAGTCATGATATGACACATTCCTGCACCTTGGATCCCTCCCTCCCTTGACGAAGTGTTAATATGGTAAGTGATGTGGAGATCTTTTGGAATCAGTCCAGGGTTCCTTTCTTGTCTCTGACAGTCACAGAGGATTCCATGGTGTGGATATGCTCAGACTGATTTCATAGGCCTTTGGGGCTGGACATTTAGGTGACTTTCGATCTTTTCCTATTACAAAATGGGTGGTCTAGTTCATATGCTGCTTTGCACATGTTTAAGTGTGATATATGTGCAGGATAAATGTTCAGAACAAGTGCTGGGTCAATAAGGGTACACACTTTTGTAATTTTGATGTACATTGCCAAATTATCCTGTAACCCCATTTATTTCCACTTTTATTGCCTTTGCTTTTGGGGTCATATTAAAAAAATCATTGCCCAGACTGACGTTGTGGAGCTTTTGCTCCCTTTTCTTCTAGTTGTTTTATGGTTTTAGGACTAAATGGTTGTCTTTAATCCATTTTGAGTTGATTCTTGTATATGGTGTGAGATGTGTCCACTGTTATTCTTCTGTATCTAGAGAAGCAGTTTTCCCAGCATCATTTATTGAGAGACTGTCCTTTTCTCATTGTGAATTCTTGGAACCATTGTCTAAAATCATTTGACCATGAATGAGTGGATTTATTTCTGGGCTCTCTATCCTGTTTCGTTAGGCTGTTTGTCTGTTTTTATGTCATCACCATGCTGTTTTGATTACTGTAGCTTTGTGGTATGTTTTGAGTCAGGTGTTCTTTATCCTCAGAAATTTTATCCCTTTTATTGTTGTTCCAAGGAATATTTTCTTCTTTATTTATCACATATGTGTGTGAATACTATTGCATTCTAAATATTAATTTTGGGCCAGGCACAGTGGCTCATGCCTGTAATCCCAGCACTTTGGGAGGCCGGGGCAGACAGATCACCTGGCTGAGGTCAGGCGTTTGAGACCAGGAGTTTGAGACCAGCCTGGCCAACATGGCAAAACCCCGTCTCTACTAAAAATACAAAAACTAGCTGGGCATGGTGGCGTGTGCCTGTAATCCCAGCTACTCAGGAGGCTGAGTCAAGAGAATGATTTGAACCTGCGAGGTGGAGGTTGCAGTGAGCTGAGATCCTCCCACTGCATTCCAGCTTGGGTGACAGAGCGAGACTCTGTCTCAAAAAAAAAAAAAAAAAAAAAAAAAGATTTTGTTTTTTGCTAACTTACTGATTTCTTCTTTTTTTTTTTTTTTTAGTTCATTATCTTGGGTTTTCAAGGTATCCATTCATGTGAACTGCAAATAGTGATGGTTAACCTTATCCTTTCCAATTTTATACTCTAGTTTCTTTCTCTTACCTATTTTTGTGGACTAGATCCTTCAGCATGATGGTAGCTAATGGTGTTTTTAGTAGACACCTATTAGGAATGTCTCTGCTGTTAACTCCATAAAGCAGAGTATGGCTTTGGATTGAGAAAGGTATGTTAATGAAAAACCTGTACTTTCTATTTTATTTCATGTTTTCTTTTTTAAAAAATCAAGAATCATTATTGAATTTTGTCAGTTGCTTTTTTAAAAAATCATCTATGGGGTGATCATATGATTTTTTTCTTAAGACATATTAATATAGTGAATTATACAAACGAAGTTGCTAATAATGAAAGATTCTTAAATTCCTTGATTATACTTCACTTGCTCTGATACATAATTCTTTTAAGGTGCTGGTGAATGTACTTTTTGCTGATATTTAATTGATTTTTATGTATTGCTCTTCATAATTAAGGTTGGTCTGTAGTTTTCTTTTGTATGTACACTGTTTTTGGTTGTGATATCAACATTATAGTTGCTTCATAAACATAATATAGAAGTTATATTTCTTATGCCATTCTCTGGAATAGTTTAATAGCACTGAATTGCCTGGTCTCTAAAGAGTGGTTAGATTCCTTTGTGAAATTGTTGGGACCTGGTGCTTTTTTGTTTTGTTTTCGTTTTGAGGATGAAAGTTCTTTTATGATTTTGTCTTTATTATTTTCCCTATGGAAATTACTCTGTTTGAACTTTCTGGGATCAGTTTTGTAAATATTTTCCCAAATGATTATCAATTTCATCCTGTTTGTCAAATTTATTCATGTAGGCTTGAGTAAAATGATCTTCTGTGACTCTTTTAATATCTTTGGTTTCTGCGGTTATTTCCGTCTCGGTTGCTTCTCTTGTTTTTCTTGGTTAGGTTAGTGAATAGTTTCCATTTTATTGTTTTATTTTTTCTTCCAAGATTCAGCTTTTGAATTTTTAAATTAAATTAATTGCCTTATTTCTCTGCTTTTTAAACTCCCTTGTTTTTGCTAATAATAATCCCTTCTGATTTTCCTCAGTTTATCTTATCGTTTTTCTAAATGTCTGGTGTGAATGCTTGATTCATTTTTTATTATTCTTTTCAAACTTATTTTGTATTCGAGGGCTGATGCCTAAGTTTTGATGAGACATATTTTCCTTATCATTGCTGTTTAGAAGTTCTGCAATTTTGGTTTGTATTTTCTTTTTGGTTCGAGAGTTTTTCAGGAGCAAGTTTTAAAATTTCCAAGTAACAAGTCTTTTAATTTCCTGATTTTGTTACTATTCCAGTTTTAATTGCATTTTGGTGAGAGAATATTGACTATTCCCTCTTGAACTTCTGGGTTTCGGGAGGTTTCTTATGTTCCTAATTTGGAGTCAGTTTTCATCATTGTTCCACTGAGGCTGGAAAAGAGGATTGAGTTTTTGTTTTGGGTTACGGAAGTTTGATGTGTATATCAATCACTTTTACCGCCTTAGTTGTGTTATTTAGGTCATGTATAATCCTTACTTAGTTTCTGTCTCTTGCTCTGTTGTGGACTGAGAGGAGTGAATTAATGTCTACCATTGATATGTTTCTGTCTGTTTCTCCTTGTGGCTCCTGTGAGTGTTGGCTGCTATGTGATTTGTTGCGTAGCTATTTATAACTATTACATTTTTATTCTCAAGTGCATTCATTAGGATCAAAGTGCCCTTCTTTGTCTCATTTCTACTTGTCTGACTATAAGGTCATAACTAGTGCTTTCTTGAGTTTGTATCTGCTTGGCATACCTTTGCCCATTACAAAATTTTAACTCTACCGAATTATTTTAAATGTGTCTCTTATACCATGTGAAGTTAGATTTTGCCTTGTAATTCAATTGGGGAATCTTTTTTTTTTCTTGCCTAGTGAAGTTAAACTAATGTACATTTATTGATAGGTAACCTACATTTGACCTGAGTGGTGGTGTGCTTTGTGTGTGCATGTATTGTTAAGTCTTTTACTCTGTGGTCCATTTTCTTTCCTTTTTAAAAATTTTAAAGAGTTCTTATATTGAAGAGAGTCTATACTTTTGTCTATATGAGATATTATAGTATCTTATGTAATTCATAAATGCCTCTAATACTTCATGTTGAGAGGGACCATTTATTAAGTACCTTCTGTGATAGCCAGAATAATGTTCTCCCATTTCCCCAGATAGCCACACTCTAATCCCTAACACCTGTGATCATGTCATGTTACATGGCAAAAGGGTCTTTGCAGATGTGATTAAAGGGTATGGATCTCAAAGTAGATTGATTATCCTGGATTACCTGGGAAGGCTGAATTATCTGAGTCCTGAAAAGCAGAGAGCATTCTCTGGCAAGAAATGAGAGCTATGTGGTGAAGGAGGATGTTAGAGAGGTCCCAAGAGTGAGAAGGATTTGCTGGCCCCTAGATGCAAGGACTCTAGGGGCTAAGAGTGGTCCCCTGCCAGGAAGGAAACAGGGCCTCAGTCCTGTAGCCACAGGGACCTGGATTCTTCCTGCAATCCGAGTTATTTTCCCAGTCTCCAAGTAGGAACATGGCCCAGCTGGACTTCTGACCTACAGAAGCTGTGAAAGAGCAAATTTGTCTGTTTTAAGCAGCTACATTTGTGGTGATTTGATATGGCAGTCATTGGAAACTAGTACACCTTCTATGAGTAATTACAAAATGAATGTATTTTGTTTTCTTCCTCCCATCACCAATTTTTGATGACAATAGTACCTTTCTCAGTGTTTGCCTTTATACTATTAAATCTACTTGTATTTCTGTTACTGAAATGTCAGCTTTAAATGATATCCTTTGACTCCAGTTCTTACTAATAAGGTGAGGAGCTAATTGTTCTACCTCACTCCCTCTTGTCGTATTCCCCTCCCAGGTGTCATCAGTTGAGTCATTACTCCATAGTCAGGGCTTATCTGCATTCTGTTCTGTCACCCCAAGCTCACATTTGTTTTAGTCTTAAATCTACTGGTAAATATATTAATAGTTCATGCTCATTGACAGTCGTTTTGACGGCATCTCCTCTGTCAGCTTTTGATTGGCTGAGGTTTGTTTTGAAGGTGTTTTTTTCAGAATGGTGGGTGGGAACAGTCCCTAAGTGCTGCATATTCAAAGCTGTGGCTTCTTGGCTTGCGGGGTGGTTTGAATGTTGCTGGAGCCCTTGGTTTGGGCTGCCATCCTTTCAGGGTCTTGGAGGTGTCACTGTATTGTCTTTTGACCTCGAGTGTTGTTTCAGAGGAATCTGTGGCCTGGCTGGTTTTTCCTCCCTTTATAAGTGCCTGCCTGCCTGCCTTCCTCCCTCCCTCCCTCTCTTCCTTCCTTTCTCTCTCTCTCTTTCTCTCACCTCATTTCATTCGCTTTTCTCTCACCTCATTTAATTCGCTTTTCTTGTCTCTATCATGTGTGATACTTTTAAAATCAGATTTTTTGTTGTTGTTGAGTTGTAGGAATTCTTTACTTATTGTGGATGTTAATCCCTCAAGAGACACGTGACTGGCACATATTTTCTCCCATGTTGTGAGTGGCCTTTGCAGTCTGTTGATAGTGTACTTTCATGTACAAAAGTTTTTAATTTTGATAAAATCCCATCTATTTTTTTCTTTTCTTGTCTGTGCTTTTGGTGTCTGTCATAGCTAAGAAATCATTGCCAAATCCAACATCATGCATGTTTTCCTTTATGTTTTCTTGTAAGAGTTTTAATAATTTTAGCTTTTACTTTTAGGCTTTTGATACATTTCACGATAATTTTTGTGTGTGGTTTAAGGTGAGGATCCAACTTCATTCTTTTGCGTGGGGCTATCCAGTCTTTCCAGCACCATTTGTTGAAAAGATGATCCTTTTCTCACTGAATAGTCTTAGCATGCTTGTTGATGATCATATCACCATGTATACACCAGGGCTTATTTCTGGGCTCTTTATTCTATTCTTTGGGTCTATATATCTGATTTCATGCCCTACCATACTGTTTTGATTACTGTAGCTTTGTAGCGTGTTTTGAAATCAGGAAGAATGTGGCCTCCAAATTTTTCTTTTTCAAGATTATTTTGGCTATTGGGTTTTATTTCATTTTAGAATGTGTTAGTTTTTTTCTGGGCCAGCTTCTTGTAAGAGTCCTTGCAGCTTCCTTCTCAGAGAGGCAGGGGATGGGGATGTAGGGGATACAGTAGCTTTCCAGAGGCCCTTTCCTTCTCCTGCAGCCCTGCCACGGAGGCAGACTGCACATGTGGCTCTCTTAGTGACTCCGTGTATGGTCCCTACTCTGCTGCTTGGGTCTGTCGACTGTTCAGGAGGCTCCTGACGCCAGCCCTTCTCACCCGGTTCTGTTGCTGGTGGTGTGACAAAGAAAGGCGTTTGAGTTCTGGGTCAGTGGCCATGCTCAGGGAACATGTTTCTGCAGGTGCTGCACTGCACCCCTTCTACCGCCAGTGCTGCTTCACTCCCTCCTGTGTGGGCCCTGCCTGCCCTCTCTGTTCTTGGTCATAGCCCTCACTTGTGCTTTAGGGCCTATAGATTGTATTTATTTCCTGTTTTTTCTAAACGTGAAGCTTGGATTTTCAAACTTTTTGTTAATTTGGTAGCAGTGGTGGGGGCATTCTCCTTGTTGTTTTAAGGTGAGTTCTAGAAGGAAATAGGAAAAATATGTACGTAGCCATACTTAACACTCGAGGTCAGTTTCCTCACCTTGATAACCTCCTAGGGTTGTGAACATTGAAAAAGGAAATGTTCCAGTGCCTCTTTTGGTGGCTGCACACAGTAGGCACTTAGCAAATACGTGTCCACACTCCTGCCCCCTGCCGTGACAGTAGGGCCTCCAGCTCTGGCAGGTGCTGAGCTTGAGGCTGGGAGAGGGAAGACCCCATGAGGCTTTAGTGGGTGTGGACTAGGCTGGTGGGGGCAGCTTGCCGTCTGTGGCTCTCAGCACCACGGACAGCGCCTGGCCAGCTGTGCTTGGGGCCTCCCACAGAGGATGGCTGTCTGGCATTTGCACTCTGTCCTGGGTGTGCTTGGGGCCTCCCACAGAGGATGGCTGTCTGGCATTTGCACTCTGTACTGGGTGGTGCCTTGTCTCTGGGCCCTGAAGTGGCAGCATCCTGTTCTCTGACCACACGTCTTACCCAGCCTCTGTGCCCTGCCCTGGCCTGTCTTTCTCCAGCTCTCTCTCAGCTGCTGCTGACCAGCCTGACCCTGGGTTGTTCTCCACGCACACTGACCCCTGGTTCTCCTGTCTCCCCTCCCTTAGGTCCTGTGGCCTATGACTCCACCCCTGTTTCTGAGGCTGCCTGTAGGAAAACCACCTGCATGACGGGGCTCTTCTTGGTCCCAGGCAGGGCTAGGGCCAGCCTTTCCCTGTCCTGTTGTGGGTCCCTGTGCCCTTCTCCAGAGAGGGTCCCCACCTTCTCTTGAGGCCCCTTTCCTGCCCCCCTGCCCTCCTTTCCCCCCAGACCCTGCTCGGCTGGGGCTGTGCTTCCAGCACAGTGGTGAAGAGCCTGCACTTCGGGCCCTCACCGCCTGCTGCCTGCTGCCTCCACCCTGGACGAGGGCCGGGCCCACTCCGTGGTTGATCTCCAACTCTGTGATCTGTGGAAGGACAGAAAAGTGCCTTCCGCACAGACCTGGGAGCTCACTGAAGTGACGGCCACTGGCCCTAGGCAGGGCCTACCGGGCCCCTTCTCTCCTGGAAAGCTGGCCTCTGGTGAAGTGAACAGCTTTCCTCTGGAGTGAAATGTGCCTGAGTGGATGGGGCCCA
Source organism: Homo sapiens (assembly GCF_000001405.40). Lineage (NCBI taxonomy): Eukaryota > Metazoa > Chordata > Mammalia > Primates > Hominidae > Homo > Homo sapiens. Next base: position 142,382,671 of record NC_000008.11, on the reverse strand, counting down.
TGGGTCCCCTCCTCCTTATGGCCTGAAGGTGACAGTGGGTGGCTCTGCTTCTCCTGGCCACCCCATGGCCAGACCTTCTCTCTGCCAGGAGGTCCCTGCCTGAGGGCACAGCATGACTCTTGGGCTGTGTGCAGCTGCGTGCAGGGGTGCTCCCTGCCCCCTGCCCGCATGACTCAGGCGCTGGCATCTTGCTGTTTGTTGCTGCCATCCCGAGCAGAAGGGACTGGCGGGCAGTGCCGGCAGCTGGTCAGTGGGCAGAGGCCGGCCTCCCGGGGAATGATGGAGGTTGGGAGGGAGAAAGAGGATGTGTGTTGCTGGTGTTCTGACCGCCCATTTGTGCCGTTAGCGATCGGTGCTTCTCCACCGCTGATTCTGGGCGTGGTCTACGAGGTGCCTGGGGGTGCCCGGCTGGCATTCTGCTTGACGTGGAGTTGAAGTTGCTATAACAACACTGATTCATGTAACTGCAGCTCCCCAGCTGGGCCCTCCTCCTCCTCTGGCTCTCTGTCGCACACATGAGCACACACGCTCACACATGCCACTCGGATGCCCATGCGCAGGGGCCCCATTCCACACGGAGGCTGCACAGGGCTGATGCTGGCAGGGGCGCGTGGGCCTGGGAACGGCCAGGCCTCCTCCACCGAGCATCTGGCCTGTGTGTAGGGGGGGTGTCAGGTACCCGTCAGAGGAGGAGGTGGCGGCCTGCTCACCGAGGGGAGGACTGGGCAGCGTCTGAGAGTGGGTGCGGGCATGAGCCGTGGCTGTGACTCAGTGTCTCCCACACGCAGGATGAGCTGCGGCACCCGCGGGCGCTGCCTGTTCCCAATGCCAAGGCAGGCAGGGCTTGTCTTCTGCTCCATTAGGGGCTGGCCCAGGACGCCGAGCTGCGGGGAGGTGACGATGCTTGCCCAGGTCATCTGGGGTTGGGGACTTGCTTACAGCCTGGGGCTGACACTCCCACTGAAGGAAACTGGAAGACTCTGTGGTTTGCCCCACGTGGCTCCTCCTCGTTTAGGTGTGTGGCTCCCCTGGGTGCTGCCCTTCTCCTGCCTCACTCCAGACCCCTCAGCACTGCTGGGCGCCTGCCTCTGCTTCTGGGGTCTCCCAGAAAGGGCGCTGAGCTCCAAGACACACTCCTGCCTGTGCCACCGTCCCTGAGCCCACCCTGACCTCCACCCTTGTGCTTGGTGGGGTGGGGGGGGGCGCTGATAGGTTTTAGCAAGGGGAGAGCCCATTGGGTGCTGGAAGGGGGAGGCCGGAGGCTCCCCCAGCACTGACAGGAGTGCGTTGGGCAGCTCACTTCCCTGGACACCTGCTGCCCGGCCGTGGGGTTTAGCCATTCATCCTGGGACCATCACAGAGTGGGCAGGTGCTGGCCATATGGAGGTGGCTGAGACATGGCCTTGGGCTGCCCATGGCCCGACAGGGACCTGGGCTGGGTGGATGCTGTGGAGACAGGAGTTTCCCTGGTGCTCCAAGGTCAAGGGACAAGGGTGGGCAGGATTCCCAGGGGAGCAGCTTCTGGCACTGATTCTGAAGATGATTTGGAGCCCAGCAGTTGGGCCAGGGCAAGGCCCTGACGGCCCTGATTGGCTGCTGAGGCCTGGGAAGCTGTGTGCCTGCTTTGAGTCTGCAGTGCTGGGACTGAGGCTGGAGCCAGGGACTTGCTGTGGGTGATGCTGGGAGGCCAGCTGTGCAGGTGTGTGTGCAGGTGCATGTGTGTGTGGGGGGTGAGGGCGAGGAGAGAAGGGCAATGGAAGATTTTGCAGCATTCCCCCCCCTTTATTATTTCTTAAAAGGACTTTATCTCACTTTCCTAAGATAGTACTCGTTCCTTGTAGAAAACTCAGACCACGCCTGTCAGCAGGTGGTGTCGGTGGCATCCGCCGTGGGCCGTCCCTGGTGGCCACTCAGACTTTCCTGGAGCGTTTTCTCCTTGCAGTCTTTTTTCCGTTACGGGTATTTTACCAACTTTCAGCCTCACCACACAGCTTGTTTCCACACTTGCTGTTTCCCCGTGAGGGAGGCAGGACTGTCCTCTGGGCAGGGGACAGAGGGAGGGGCTCTGCAGGGAGCCTACAGTCTGGCTGGGGAGCCCCATGGAGGGGCTGCTGTGAGAAGTGGGGTGGCCTGGGCTAGATGAGTGCAGGGGTGGGGGCGGGGTCAGGATGCAGCGTGATAGGGGCACATTGCCTCAGGGTCTGTCCCCTCTGCCCTCCATGCAGTTCAGCCCGCAGGAGGCTCCACGATGCCATGAGCCTGTCCTGGGCCCACAGAGCCCCAGGTGAGTGTCCCAGCTGCGTCCTCCCTGCTCTGTGGCCTGCTGCTGCTGTGTCCGGTGGTGCCCGGAAGGAGGAAGGGGCCGTTGGCCATGGGTGGGACCCCGGGCTCTGCATCCATCTGCGGAGGGCAAGGCCCGGCCTCCCCATGGACGTGCTGCAGGCTCTCCTTGTTCTTTCATCTGTGTCTCCGTTTCTGTCCTGTGGAGTTGTTGGGAGGTGGGAATGAGTTCAGTGCTTAGGACAGTGCCTGGTGACGTGGTACGCCCTGGACAAAGCTTGGCCTTGGTGTCCACCCACCTCCCCACTCTTATTGTTGTTGTTGTGACCTGGAACTCCCAGCGCAGATTTGGCAGTGGGGAGTGTGCGAGACCCACATGTTCTCCTGCCCTCTCCCTCCAGTGTCAGTTCTCTCCTCTGCTGGGGGCAGCGGCACAAGAAGGCCCTTCAGACCCTGGGGAGAGGGGGATTAGATGCTTCCTTTCCCTCAGGGACCACAGAACCCTGCTTGGGATAAGAGCCTGCTGAAGGCTGTAGATCTAGGCAGATTTGGGTGGGTGGCACTGGGGCATCCCCTGGCCCTGCCAGGCCTATGTCAGCAGCCTGGAGCCCTGGAGGCTGAGGCAGCCCTGGCCCCACCCGTAAAGCTGGAGCCCTGAGCTGGGGCCCTACACCTGACTTGGGGGCTTGGGCGGAGCACTGGGGGCTGCGTCTGTCTGGTGGGGTCTCTCTTCTCCTTTGTGTGGTCTCGCGCCTCCCCGTCAGGCAGAGAAGGGCTTTCAAGGGTGTGGAAGTACCTGTGGCACGTTGAACCCTGAAAACTGAATTAGGAAACGAAGGTGTAAGGACAAGTGGGCCTCCCCGCCCCGTTCCCCATCGTGCCCCTGGCAGGAGTGGTGTTGGCCGTGTTTGTTTTAGAAGTTGTGAAACCACTCTCCCTTTTCCCAGACAAGCACCTCTGGGCAAGCGTAGCCCCTCGGCCAGCGTGCGGCTCATCCCCCTGCTGGCTGGCCCCAGACATGAGCGCAGCACGAGTGCAGAGCTGCTGCTCACTGGGAGGGCGAGGTTGGGGGCATTTGAGTCTGGGGGTTAGGAGGAGAGGCAGCCCCTGGAGGCTTACTCAGAGGTGTGGTGCCTACTCCGTGACGGACGGTCTGTCCTTGCTGGCAGCGGCCCGCTGAGGCATGCCCACTATACAGATGAGGAGACTGACGCATTTGAGGCCGCATCTGCTGCTGAGGCGCTGACGTGGGGTGGGAGGACATGTGTGAGCTGCTCTGATCCGTGCTGATCTGCTGCGGGCTTGGTCCTCTGCTCTGAGAGTCCTCTGCAAAGGGATGCTGCTAGCCTAGTCCTCCCAAGGCTGGCATGATAGCCGCATCCAGGGAGCTATGAGAGTGCCCTGTGAGCTTGGCGACCACAGAGCCTGCTGGTGGGAAGGGTGTCTGCCTGGGCCAGCCCTGGGTGTTGAAGGGTGCGCCACCCGGGGCCTCAGAGGAGCTCACACTCAGAGGCTGCCGTGGAACCAAGGGTGCTGGGCCTGCGGTGGGCTGTTGGCAACACACCCGTGCCCGTTGGAGCACCTAACACGCCCGTGCGCCTTGAAGGACCTCTGGGCGGTAGCTTACTGGCTCCCTGAGGCCCACCAGGAGCAGCTACTGAGGTTGTCTCCTTGTTACCTCTGGGCAACCCCTAATCTATCTTCTGGCTCTGTGGATTTGTGGGTTCTGAGCGTTTCCTGTAAATGACCTTGGATGACACGTGGTGCTTTGGGACTGGCTTCTTACCCTGAGCGGTGGATTCAAGGCTCATGCCTGCTGTCACATCTGGGAGAACTTTACTCTCGGCTTTGTAATAGATCTCCTTCTGGTCTTTTTGCTGTGCAAGTGCGCAAACTTCAAGCGTGTATAATTAACACACAGTAGGACACACAGCTCCCCAGTGTTCCGTGTGATGAGTTTTGATGGCTGTCTTTGCTCGTGCCACGAAGGTGATCTTCCACCCCAAGAGAGTCCCTTGTGCCCCTCCCATGCCTTTCTGAGTTCTGTCACCACATGCGACTTTTGCCTGTTCTAGAATTTTCTGTAAATGGTATCACACAGCATGACTCTCTTTGGCCTGGCTGCTTTTGCTTTCCTGAACTGTGGGTGTGGCGTCCGCGCCTTCTCCCTTGTGATGCTGAGCGGTGTTCCCGTGTGTGGACAGACCAGGGTTTGTCCTGTGTCCTGGGCTGTTTGGGGCAATCGGCACAAGGCTGCTCTGACCATGGTGTACGGGGTCTTGGGGCTGCGCCTTTCCAGCATGTAAGTGCTTGGGGGTGTCAGTGGCTGGATCAGGGACTGCTGCGTCTTGATATCAGAAAGGACCGCATAGTTCACCGCGCGGATCCCTGTGTGGGATGGCTGTGTGACGCATGCACATGCAGCCCATCCACTTCGGCATCTCTGAGCACTTACCCACATCACTAAAGACACGTGTATAGACCCTGGTTAGAGATGCTGCATATTATATAAATGAGTAGCATGGTTTGTTATTTATTTATTACTGAGTCTTTAGGACGTTTCCAGCTACTTGATTTTTGTTTCCAGTGCTTCCAGCTTCTGGTAGTTTCTGTCTGGATTCCTTGGAGCAGAGCTCTGGGGGTGCAGTGAAGAGGGGTCCCTCTGCATGATCATTTTGCAGGGGCCTGTGCTGCTTCGCACCCCCACAAGCTGTGTCTGAGGCTGGGGTCCCTGCCGTTCCCCCAGTTATGCACCAGCACTAACCCGATGGCAGGTGCTGGCATCCTCTGGCTGGGAGCAGCCTTCCTGCGATTCTTGGGTTATTTGTCATGCTGCTGGGGCGCTCGCCTGCCTTCCTGCACGCTGCCCTGACTTAGTTCATGTTATGTCTGAATGTTTTAAAAATGAATTTGTAGGAGGGCCTTATTTATTGAGGGTAGCAGCCTTTGTCATGTTTGTTGCAAATATGTTGTCACTTTATCTTTTGCCTTTTAATTTTGCCTATGTTGCATTTTAACTTATAGAAGCTTTTTTTTTTTTAGTATGCTGCCAAGTCTGTGTTCGTGTGTGTGGATAACGTTGCTTTTGTATTTGGTAGATGTTTTCTTTGGGGCTGTCTTAATGTTTTACTTTTGATTTGTAAGTGATGTAGCCCTTTAGTCTATCTGGGATAGATCTTGGGTAATTGATGAGATGAAGAGCTGGAGTATGTTTTGTCCCAAGTCACCTGCTGGTTTCTGGGCTGCTGGATGAGGAGTGTCTGCGGAGAACATGAGGGGACGTGCTCTTGGAGGGATGGGCTCTGAGGGTGCTGCCATGTCCCCCGTTGACGGGGGGAGGTGGCAGGGTGGGCACAGCAGAGAGATGGGACAGGAGGGCAGGCCTGAGGTGTGGGGCTCTGCCAGTAGCTGCCCTCTGCTTCCTGTGTGACTCAGGAGTGCTTCCCTCTCTTCCTGAGCCCAGGGTCCTGTGTGGCTCTCCCTGCTCTGCCCAGGTTCTGCTGATCAGCCTGAAGCTGTTGGCCTAGGGGAAGGGCAAGGAAGGGCTGGCCTCTCTGCGGGGTGTCCACTGATGGCTCGGCACACGCTTCCCTGGCACTCCAGGCCCCGGGTCTGCCACTCGGGGTTACAGCCCCCATGCCCGGGCCCTGGGAGTCCCGTGTCTGGGTGGGCTCTCCAGCTGGCCTTGTCTCTCTGCCTGACACCTTCTCCAGGCCATGGAGCTTCTCAGTCCATTCAGGCTGGTGAACAAATACCATGAACTGGCTGGTGACAGACACTCATTTCCCATCACTCTGAAGGCTACAAGTCTGAGATCAGAGTGCCAGCAGGGGTGGTTCTGGGGGGCCCTCTTCTGGGTTGCAGGCCGCTGACGTCTTGCTGTGCCCACACATGGTGGAAAGACGGCCGGAGCTCTCTCAGGGGTCCATTTGACAAGGGCACTCATCCCACTGATGAGGGCTTTGTCTCATGACCTGTTCACCACCCAAATGCCTCACCTGCTAACGCCATCGCCTTAGAGGCAGGATTTCAAAGTGGGAACTTGCAGAGGACACGAACATTCAGACCACAGCAGGGTTCACTGGGCCCCAGGGTCGCCCTTGCGGTTCTCAAGTTCCCCTCAGGGGAAAACAGGGCACCAAGACACATGTGGAGTCTCACTGCGTGAGACACACCCTTGTCCCTTTCTCACCCGTTCAGTAGCCCTGCGGGGTGCAAATTGCTCCTGCACTTTGGATTATGTGGATAGACTCAGAGAGATGGAGCGATTCTCTGAAGGTTGCACGCAGGTCAGGGAGGCGCGGACTCTGCAGTCTGCAGTGTCCACCGACTCTGCTGGGACCATGTTTTCCGTATGTTTATAGCGGCTGGTCCGACTTGTGAAGTGTCCAGCACAGGGGCCTCTGTTGTACCCATGGACCTGGAGGGGCAGCCAGATCTAGGAGGCCCTGCCCGCTGCTTTTGCCCACCCTCTTCCTCTCTCCTTACACCCTGCAGGCGTCCACACATCTCTATCAGTTGGAACCCCAGCCTGGGCCTGTGCTGGAAGCTGGAGCCTCATGGGAGCCAGCCAGGCCTGGGAGCAAGCAGGCTCTTGCTGCTAGGAAGCCGCATCTTCTGGGCCTCAGTTGCCATGACTGGGGGTCTCTGTGCGGGGAGTTTGGCCCAGCAGCTGAGTGCTGGTGGCATCACAGGCAGGATTTCATTTTCATTGAACCACTTGCTTTGCTAATTGAAGGGTCAGACCTTTGAGAGAGCATGCAGTGTGCACTGTGGTGAGCTGGATGGCGGACTTCACCGGGAGGTGCACCGAAGGCTGCCCAGTGGGCTGAGCATTCAGGAAGCTGCTGCCAGGCCTGCCTGGCGGGTCCCCTTGGAGCCGAGGAAGCTGGCGCCCAGCCCCAGGGCATGTCCTGCCAGTGCCTGCCCTGCCAGGGCCTGCGCCATCCTCTGCCAGCCCAGCTTCCTTTCCCTGCAGAGACTTAGGGACACACCCGCACTGCTCTGACCACCACGTGTGGCGCTCCTCACCTGCTACCCGCCCTCCCCCGGGGCACCGCTCCACTGCTGCTCTCTGTCCAGCACAGGCCAGGCCCTGGGTGTGCACCCCTGTCCTCAAGGGGCCACATGCAGTTGTCCGCTGTGGGTGCCGGGAGCAGCTGGGAGACTGCCCCATTCTCACGGGCACCCAGAAGCAGATGTGTGGCTTGTCCCTTGCTGTACCCCAGTGTTTAGGACAGGACCGGCACGTGGCAGGCTTGGAGTGTACTGTGACCAATGGGGCCACCCCTGTGTGAGACCCACTTCTGTTTCTTCTGGTTGGGTACTGTGGTCGAGTACTGTGGTTGAGGTGTGGTGACCCTAAATTTGGGTCTTTCCAGCAAGCCTGTCTCCTCCCTGGGGAAAGGGGACAGGAACTAATGGTGCTTGGGCACCTGCCTGGCGCCGGGTCCCTGGCGGGTTCTGTCAAATGTGGATTGGTTTGGTAGCAGCAGTTGGATGTGTGTGGGGTCTTCCCAGGGCAGCCCGAGGCCAGCGCCTGTTCCCCAGGCTGAGCTGAGTCTCTCCTTCCTCCGCCCCAGCCCCTCCCTGCCCCCACTAGTTTCCAGAGCCTTCTCAGAGCCTCCTTCCCCTTTTCAGATGGTCTTTGTTTGAGAAAACTCTCCAGGGGCCATAATTCATGCATTTCCCACTTTTTTTTTTTTTTTTTTTGAGACAGCGTCTCACTCTGTCGCCCAGGCTGGAATGCAGTGGCCCAATCTTGGCTCACTGCAACCTCCGCCTCTGGGTTTCATGCCATTCTCCTAACTCAGCTTCCCGAGTAGCCTGGGACTACAGGCGCCCGCCATCACGCCTGGCTAATTTTTTTGTATTTTTAGTAGAGACGGGGTTTCACCATGTTAGCCAGGATGGTGTCAATCTCCTGACCTCGTGATCCGCCTACCTCGGCCTCCCAAAGTGCTGGGATTACAGGCGTGAGCCACCGCACCCAGCCGCATTTCCCACTTCTAAAGTGATTTGCCTGGAAGCCAAGTCCCCAGTGAGTGAACTGAAGTCTTTTTTTTTTTCTTTTTCTTTTGTTTTTTTGAGACTAGGTCTCGCTCTGTCTCCCATGCTGTAGTGCAATGGCATAATCTCGGCTCACTGCAACCTCCGCCTCCCTGGGTTCAAGCGATTCTCCTGCCTCAGCCTCCCCAGTAGCTGGGATTACAGGTGTGGGCCACCACGCCTGGCTAACTTTTGTATTTTTAGTAGAGACGGGGTTTCACCATGTTGCCCAGGCTGGTCTCGAACTCCTGACCTCAAGTGATCTGGCTGCTTCAGCCTCTCAAAGTGCTGAGATTACAGGCATGAGCCATGTCGCCTGGCCTGAACTTTAGTCTTTTAATTTTTTTCCTCACTGACGCCTCCTGGAGACTTCCCCTTTGCTCCACACACACAGTGTATTACCTGGAGCCTGAGGTGTTTCTTCTTGTTGATGTTTTAATCCCCTGGGTGTGCCGCTGGCTGTGCTCTGAGCCCTTCCTCCCTGGCCGTCCCTCTCCCCGCTTCCCCGCTCCCCTGCCTAGCTCCCTCTCCTGTGTGTGCCTGCTTGCCTCTGCCTGGAGTGGGTAAGGCTGTCTTCTTGGATCCCGGAGGTCTAGGTCTCGCCCTGATGGGCAGCAGGCAGGTCTCTGGTGGTTTTCTGTGCTCGGCCCTTCCTTGCCTGACTCACTTTCTCTCTCCTGTGGCAGGTCCCTGTGTCAGAGGTAGAAGGAGGGGTGGGGGTGGGGGCGTCACAGAGAGCAGGGGCCAGCGTCCATCAGCTGTAGGATGGTGGTGTGGTCTCAGGGTCCCATGGAGCTCGTGGGCCTGCCGGGCTTTCTTCCTGAAGGATGGCAGTGAACCCCTCTTGATGTTGTCTTTGATGCCTGTGTCCTGGTTTCTTGGGCCAGGTGGGGTATTGGCGGGAGTCTGGATTGGCCCTGCCATCCCGCTGCTGGCCTTCCCTGTGGGTGTTTTCCCAGCCTCCTCTCTCCCAGCCGCCAGTCAGGGTGAGACCTGGCTGGACCTTTGAGATCACCCAGCTGTCCTTTGAGGGTGGCAGCATGGCCGGGCCTGAACCCACTCCCATGGCCGTAGCCCAGGTTGCACCCTGCAGTACCTTCACAGACCAGATGGTTTTCTTCCTAAGGGAGTTGTGCCCAGCTCCAGGCTGGGCTCACATGCCTGCTGCCTGGTCCTGTGAGGCCTCCCTTCCTCTCTTTCTTCTCATGACACCCAGAGACAGAGGCTGAGGGAGACACAGACACAGTCCGAGAGAGAGACCCACTCAGGGGTCTCAGCAGACAGGTGACGGGGGAGGCCTAGGACAGGCTGAGGGGTAGGATGGAGGGACAGAGGGAGGGAGTGGAGCAAGAAAAAGCGTCCAGAAATCAGGGGCAGGGGCTTGGCCAAGAGGCCACAGAGGAGGCCTGTGGGAGTCTGCTGGGAGAGGCACAGCAGGGAAGGAAACAGCACTGGTGGGGTGGCCTTCTCAGGAGGAGGCCTGGGGGAGTCTGCTGGGAGAGGCACAGCAGGGAAGGAAACAACACTGGTGGGGTGACCTTCTCAAGAGGAGGCCTGGGGGAGTCTGCTGGGAGAGGCACAGCAGGGAAGGAAATGGCACTGGTGGGGTGGCCTTCTCAGGAGGAGGCCCTTGGGGATGTTCCGGGTCCTTCTGCGTATGTGAGCTCAGCTCATCCTCCAGCATTGCTAAGACCATTTCATGGAGGAGGGGCACAGAGGCTCGGGAATGTGCCAGGGGTGCCCCCAGGCAGGAGCCCCTTTGCCCCTGCTGCTCACATGAGGGGTGAGGGAAGCCAGCACCCCCGCTCCACCCCGCAGCCTCTGTCTGTCCCTGGGGCCCAGTTTCTCTTCTCATCCTTCCAAAGCCAGTGTGCCCACTCTTAAAGAGGGGGTCCATCCTGTGGCTGCTGTAAGGCTGACATTCATGGTTGTACTCCGTGTCCCAGCCTCTCCAGCTCTTCCCTTCCCTTCTCCCTCCCACTCATCCTTCGCTGGTTTTCTCTCATTCTTTCAGCAAATGGTTGTGGGGCTCCTCCCACTCTGCTGCCAGATGCCAGGTCCCAGGAGCTGAGGCTGCAGTGAACATGCCCAGGGCCCATCCTCTGTCTGTCGTGCTGCGGACCTGCGGGGTCAGGCTCCCGTGGTGGGTCTTTCAGTCCTAGCCTCTCCCCTGAGATCAGATCCTGTGTTCAGTTGCCCATACTGTGTTTTCAGTGAGGTGGCTTCTCAAGGTTAATGTCTGCCAAGCAGAATTCAGAATCCACCACCTCCTCTCACAGCCTTCGTCTCCTTGGTTGATGGCAACCCTGTTCTTCCATTTGCTTAAACCAGAATCACCACACATTTCCTGGAAAGGGCCAGACTGTAAATATGTTGGTGTTCTCCGGCTTTAGAGTGTCTGTTGCAGCTACCCAGCTCTGCCCCATGGTACAAAAGCAGCCCATAGACAACTCATGGATGAATGGGCGTGGCTGTGTGCCAGCAAAGCTTTACTGCAGATGAGGCAGAGTGCCTGTGGGTTGTTGTTTGCCAACCCTCAGCTTAGGCTAAAAATTTGTATTCATACTCTTTTTTTTAAGAGTTGGCGTTTAGCTCACGTATGGTAAGAGACACATACCTTAAGTATACAGCCTGACAAATTGTTGCAGGTGTATCCACCCCTGGAACCACCACCTCGATACAGAAACAGAGTGTTTCCAACGCCTGCAAGTTGCCTTTGTGCTCCTTTACAGCCCGATACCTCCTCACAAGGGTGACTGTGATCCTGGTTGCTGTCATGATTAATGAGTGTTGTCTGGTTGTTTTTGTGATGTCAGCCTTATTGAAGTATAATTTATATACAATAAAATTTACTCTTTTAAGTGTGCAGTGAATTTTGATGAATTTGTACAGTCGTGCATCACCACTGTCGTCAAGACACCGGACATTTTCACCGCCCAGGATGTTTTCTCCTGCCCCCTGCAGTCCATCCCTATGGCCGACCCCTAGCCCCTGGCAGCCATTCACCCGACTTTGCTTCCTGCAGGGTTTTTTTTCCCCCTTCATGGAAGAGTTTATGTATTTGGTATTCTTTAAATGTTTGATAGAATTTGCTCTGAAGCCTCTAGGCCTGGAGTTTTTGTTAATGGAAGGTTTTTAACTATCAGTTCAATGTGTATTTAATAGATACAAGGCTGTTCAGGGTTGCGTCCTTCAAGGAATTTGTTGATTTCATCTAGGTTGTTGAATTTATGGGCATAAAGTTGTTAGTAATATTCCCTCCTTATTCTTTGAATGTCTGTAGGATCTGAAATGATGTCCTCTTGTACCTGTGAGAAACAGCCTTGGCAGCTGAAGTGTAGTGTTTTTATACAGTCCCTTTTGCTTTAGTCTGACATTTCCAGTCAGAATGCTGTTTTCCGAAGGTAGTTAGGTCAGCAGCTTTTTTTCTCTACTTCATTTTTGAAGATATTTTCACTGGGTATAGAATTCTGGCTTGCAGGTTTTTTTTTTTTTGTTTTTTGTTTTCCCTCCCAGCACTTTAAAGATGTCACTCCATTGTCTTCTGGCTTGCATGATTTCTGAAGGAAAGTCAGCTGTAATTCTTTTCTTCATTTCTTTGCATGCAGTCTGTATTCTTTCTTTGTCAGCTTCAAGATTTTTTAACCTTTGGTTTTCATCAGGTTGAGTATGATATTTCTATGTGCTTTTCACCTTCTTTTTTATTTAGTATTTATTTTCTGTAGTGTTCTCTGAGCTTTTTGTTGTTGTTGGGTTTTGTTGTTGCTGTTGTTTTTGAGACAGGATCTCACTCTGTCCCCCAGGCTGGAGTGCGGTGGTGCTTGGCTCACTGTGATCTCAAACTCCTGGGCGCAAGTGATCCTCCCACCTCAGCCTGCCGAGTAGCTGGGCACATATCATTGTGCCCAACGAATGTTTAAATTTATTTTTTATTTTTTGTAGAGATGGAGTCTCACTTTGTTGGCCAGGCTGGTCTTGAACTTCTGGCCTCAAGTGATGTTCCTGCCTTGGCCTTCCAAAGTGCTGGGATTACAGGCATGAGCCACCATACCTGGCCTCTCTGGGCCTTTTGGGTCTGTGGGATGATACTGTCTCAGTTTGTTGAGGCTGCTATAGCAGAATACCATAGATGGCAGAAATGTATTTCTCACAGTTCTCAAGGCTGCAAGTCCAGGATCAAGGTGCCAGCAGATTTGGTGTCCTGTGATGGCCTATGTCCTAGTTCCTAGATGGGGCCTTCTATCTGTGTCCTCACGTGGCAGAAGGGTGAAGGGTCTTTCTGGGGTCTTATTTATAAGGGCACTGATCCAATTCATGAGCGCTCCACCTCCATGATCTCATTACCTCCTAAAAGGCCCTCCTCCTAACACCATCATGTTGGGGGTTAGATTCCAACCTTGGAAAACACATTCAGTCTAGAGTGAATGCCTTTCATTCTTTCTGGAAAATTCTCTGCCACTGTTCTCTCTCTCTTCACCTTCTGGGATTCCAGTTAAACATTTGCTGGGACGTTTGATAACGTCTGGTAGGTGCTTGTCTTTTGTTTTCTTTTTTCACTTTTTTCTCTGTGTTTTGGTTTGGGTAATTTCAGGTTGACTGACTTTTCCCTCCTGGCTGTGTTGAGTGTATGGCAGAGCTCCAGAAGCTTCTTCATTTCCATCTGGTGTTTCTAATTGTTGGCATTTCCCTGCGACCTCCTGTTAGTTTCCATTTCTCTGCTGAGCTTCCCCACTGCTCATGCATTTTGTCCATCTTTTCTACTGGGACCTTTCACATAGAAGCCATAGTTATTTTAAATTCCTTGATGGTTCTGACCTCTCCTCAGTCTGGCTCTGCTGATTGTCTTGTTACTTGACAGTGGTTTGCTTTTTCTAATGTTCTTGTGTGTCTTGTACTTTTTGATTGATTTGATTGATTTTGACTTCAATTATAGGACTGCAGACTGAGATAAATAATATTTATGCTCAGAAATGGGCATGCCCCTTATGCTAGGCCATTTATGTGGGGTTGAGTCCAGCTGGTCAGGGGTTGCCCTGGATTCGGGTTTTGTTGCTGCTGTTTTTACCCTCAGTATATGACCTGGCTGCAGATTCCTCTGGAGCTACTTTGGGTTCAAGGTGGGTGGGTGTTCCTGCCCTACCCCCGGCAGTGTTGGGCTTCCTCCTGTGCTCATGCTGCAGATACAGAGGTGGTCTCTCCCCACACTGTTTCCCCTCCTGCAGCAGTAGCTGCGTCTGCTGGCTGTTGGAAGCCTGGCAGCCGGGTGGCGGTTGTCTCATTGCAGCCTCAGTCTCAGGCAGGCCTGGTCTGGGGAGCGGGGGTTTCACAGTGACCCTTCCCTCTCCCTGCGACAGTCAAACTCTGCTTGAGTCCTTTGCTGCTCTTTAGAGGAGAGTGTTTTCTGCCTCTCTTGCACTCCTGCAGTGGGCCCAGGAAGGTGCTCTGCCCCTTTTCCAGAGACATAAGGTGTTTTTTGACCCTTCCTTAGCCACTGTGGGTGTTCACAAATGCCCTGGGGCCACAGCACTCAGCCATTGCGGCCCTTATCCCATAGGCTTGGACTTTTATTCTTCAGGGGAGAGGGGCTTCCTGTCTTTGAGCTGCAGGGCCGCCCGTCTGCCGTCTGCTGGCACCTGCACCCCAGGGGTCCTGGCTTGTCCTGTGCTAGGCTTTCTCTTGAGCCCATGGAGAAGAGCTTGTGAGTGGATGTGGCCGCCCAGGTGGCTTCATTCTTCTTGTCTGCCTGGGTGGCCCCTGGGGTCTCCCGTCCTTTCTCTGCTGCAGAGACCAGTGCTCCCATCTTCTCTCCTGGGACTCTCTTGTCTTTCTTTAGGTTTCAGGCTACTCCATGGCCCTGACGCTTCAGCTGTCTGATGAGACAGGCCTTTTCGTATTGTTAGGTTCGGGCAGCACTCTCTCCAGCTTCCTAGTCATGGGCAGAAGGGGAACTCTCCGAACCAGTATAAATTTCACTTCTCTAGTTATGAGTCAGCTTGAACAATCTTTTCACATGTTTAAGCACCAGTTTTATATCCTGTGTGTGTAAATTTTCTGTTTGTGTCTTTTGCCTGTTTTTTTTGTTTGTTTCCCTGTAGTTTTTATGAGCTCTTTATATGTTAAGGATAATATTCGTCCTTTGGCATATGTTGCAAATCTTTTCTCCCTGCTTGTCTGTTGTCTTTCTGCGTTGCTTAGGGTACTTTTTTTTTTTAACCATGCAGAAGTTTTTTTTGTTTGTTCACTTGCTTTTATAAAAGCTGTGACATGTGTCAGTCTTCCCTTTTATAGTATTTTGATTTTGAGTCCTGCTTGGGAAACTTTTCCCTACATAGAGGTTAAAGGGGAATTCATTTTTTCTGCACATACTTTGATTGTTTTATCTTTTTTGTATTGATAGCCATGATCCATTTGGAGTGTATTCTTTTTATTATGTGAGGTATGAACCAATTTTTTTCCAAATGTCTAAGCAGGTGTCTCAGCACCATTTATGAACAAGTCCTTCTTTGATTTGTGATGCCGCATTTATCATAGACTAAATTTCCATGTGTACGTGGCTCTATTTTTAGACTTTCTTCCTCATTCCATTGGTCTATTTATATTTTCATGCACAGTTGTAGTTATAGAGGCTTTCTAGCATTTTTATAATAGCATTGTAATTCACATATCCTAAAGTTCACCGTTTTGAAGTGTATAATTAAGTGAATTTTAGTCTACTTACAGTGTTGTACATTCATTACTATCAAATGCCAGAATATCTCCATCACCCTGAAAAGAAAGCCCACATATATTAGCAGTCACTCCCTAGTCCCCCTCCCCCTCCCCCGCCCCGGCGTCCATCTGTCTGCTTTCTGTTTCTGTAGATTTGCGTCTTGCGGACCTCTCATGACAGTGGAATCAAACATGTGTGGTCTTTGGTGTCTGGCTCCTCTCTCCTAGCACGGTGCTTTCAGGATCCGTCCCTGTTGTAACGCACATCAGGACTTCACTCTCTAGGGTTCTGAAAGTCTGCAAGTGCGAGCCCATTTTGTTTAGCGTTTTCCCAGTTATTCTTGTGTCTTTGTTTTCTTAGATGAACTGCCTGTTGTTTTCCCATATGAACTGTCTGCCAACTTGTCCAGCTCCATAAAAACGCATGATGGTATTTTTATTGCGATAGGAAAACTGACGTCTTTGTGATACAGTCATTCTATTCAAGAACAAGGGATAGCTTTCTGTTTGATCACTTCTAGTTTTGTGAACTTTAAAATACTTTAAAGTCCCCTTGTAGAGATTTTTCCCATTTCATGTTAAATTTATTCCTAGGTATACTATATTTTTCGTTGCTATTGTAAATGGGTTTTTTCCTACCATGGCAGCCTCAGACTGGTTTCTGTATATGTGAAGGCTGTGGATTTCTGTATGTTAATTTTATATCCTGATACTTTACCAGAGTCTTTTATTGTTCAGATTTTAACATTGTTTTGCTAGGGTTTTCCAAGTATACTGTCATATCATTTACAAGGAGAGAGAATTTTGTTTCATTTCTTTTTTTGTTTTTAATGTCTTGTTGATTTCTTGTTTTAACTGCATTGGCTGACACCACCATAACAGTGTTGAATAGGACTGGAGATAGCTGGCACCTTTGTTTTCTTCTTGATCTTCGGGAATTGTTCCTAGTGTGATTTATTAAATAAGGTGCTCGTTTAGGATGAAAGGTTCTTTATTTTATCATTATAAGACAGCTTCTTGTGTTTTCATCAGGAATGAGCGTTCAACTCTGTTGATGCTGTTTTTAACATCTGTAGAGAAACTCACCAGCTTTTCCCTGTAGGTCTCTTAGGTTAATATGGTGTAGTGCACTGGTGAGTGTCCTCGTGTTGAGCTAGCCTTGCATTCCTGGGAAAAACAAGCAGAGGGGGTTTTGGATTTTATTTATTAGTGTTTTATTTAGTATTTTTGCATCAATATTTATAACATTCATTTGTAATTTTTTCTTTTTCTTGTTTTTAGACTAGGTTTATTAGGTTTTGGTGACATGGTTATACATGCTTCATAAAAGCAATCAGATTGGGAGGCCGAGACAGGCAGATCATGAGGTCAGGAGATCGAGACCATCTTGGCTAACATGGTGAAACCCCATCTCTACTAAAAATACAAAAAATTAGCCGGGCGTGGTGGTGGGTGCCTGTAGTCCCAGCTACTCGGGAGGCTGAGGCTGGAGAGTGGCATGAACCTGGGAGGCGGAGCTTACAGTGAGCTGAGATTGTGCCACTGCACTCCAGCCTGGTCAACAGCCTTCTCAAAAAAAAAAGAAAAAAAAGCAATCAGAAAAATCCTTCATTTTCAGTGTCCTGGGACAATTTTTGGCACATTGGAAATGTTCAGCCAAATTCCTCTACAAAACCATCAGCTGCTGTAGCTGCACAGTCTTGAGTGTTCCTGTCCATGAACATGGTAGGTCTCTTCACTCATTTACATGTTCTTCACTTTCTTTTAGTAATGTTTTGCACTTTTCAGTGCTTGCACCTTTTACAATTTATTCCTATGATTAAAAAATAATTTCCAGTGAGTTTTTATTTTAGGTTTAATTTAGGACTTTTGGACATAATTTTAGTTTTAAAGAAAAGTTGCCAGATTAACAGGAAAACTTGTTGTGTATATTTTGCCCAAATATCCCAAATGTTAACATGTCCCCTCATTTGGTTTATTCTTTGTTCCCCTCTCTCTCTCTGTGTGTGTGTGTGTGTGTGTGTGTGTGTGTGCGTGTGCATGTGTTTATGGATGGTTTTTCTCAGAACTACTTGATAGTGAGTTGCAGATGTGATGCTCCTTGATCCCCAAATACACAATGTGTATAGCTACACCACAGTGATCAAGATCAGGACATTGACATGGATACAATAGCTTCTCCATTCTAAAGGTTGTGTTCATATTCACAGGACAGACCTTTTGAGTTGTGTTCTTTTTAGCAAAACGTCCTTTTTAGTAACATGAAATCCCAGATCCTGTGTTGGTTTTAGTGATTGTCTCTTTAGCCTCCTTTTATTTCAGACAACACCTCAGTCTGCCTGTCTTTGATAACATTGACATTTTGAAGATGGCCGGTGAGTTCTTCTCAGTCTGAGTGTCTCTGCTGTTTCTCACAGTCACACACTTTGGGCAGGGAGATCATGGAAGTGGTGTTCTTCTCTGTGCATCGTGTCAGAGGGGTATGTGGTGCTGGCTTGTCCCATGGCTGATGATGCTGACTTAGATCATTTGATTAAGATGATGCCTACCAGACTTCTCTTATGTAAAGTTATTTTCTTACATTTTTAATTTATAAGTATCTCAGGGAAGATCCTTTGCAATTATGTAAATATCCTGTTATTCATCAAGCCTTCACACACTAGCTTTAACATCTGTTGGACATTCTTACCAGAATGAATGATTATCCTGTTGGTTGCTGGTTCCATCATTCCTTCCACAGTTATTAGCTGGCTTTCTACTCTAAAGAAAAGCTCTTCTTGTTTTTTTCTACTTATTCATCTATAACAGTGTGGACTCATAAATTTTTATTTTATTCAATGAATTACACAATTCTTATCATTATTTATTTTCATGCTCAGATTGTCCAGATTTGGCCAGGGACAGCCTTTTCAAGCTGGTTCTTGTGTCCTTTTTAGATGCCCCACCTTTATTTGAGCTCTTCCGTACTCTTTTGCATAACAGCATGCTCCATGATCCAGACTTATCTTTTACTTTCCTGGGTATAGTCCTGGAATCAGCCATTTCTCTAAGACATGTTAATATCTCTTGCTTGCTTTCGGTGAAGAGTGGTATTTAGGAAGCAAGAGCTCTGTGCTGGGTGTGCCCATTGCTGTGGGGGTGTGTAGTGTCTCAGCCCTCTCAGTGGACAAAGCTAGGGAGTAGATGTCTGTCATGTACACACTCAGCTATGTAAATGAGTGTGCCTGTGTGATTATATATACCCACACACATCTATATCTGTATTTCTCTGTGCATCTTAAAAACTATGAATTCACGCTGACTCCTCCAAGTTCTAATCGAGTACCACTGCTTGGTGAGTGAGCGCGGGAGTGCTTAGTGTGGCGGGTAGGATGACGAGGACATGCTTCTCTTCCTCCGTAGCTCATGGTCCAGCAGGGAGACTGCCATGAGGGCAGACCTCAGGCCTTAGTGCCAGTGCAGGGAGAGCGCCGAGGAACCCTGAGTGTGGAAGCTGGGGCAGGTAGAAGGCACTGCAGCCATGGGGCGCCAGGTACCTTATTCTAGATCCGCTGTGTCCCTGTGACCTTGATAAGTGATTTTCCCTCCCCAGGTTTTGTTTTCTCCTTTTAAAAATTGAGGTTTCAGTTAGAGAATTCCTGGTACAGGTGACTCTTCTTCCTCACCTGGAACCATGCTGTCTGCCGTCACTCATCATCCCCTTTGACCCCCAGACAGGTCCTACACATCTCCACATGAGACTATGGTCTTGTGAGCAGGTGTGACCAGACGCAAGGCACCATCTATTGGGTATCCCGGTCTCTTGCGAGGGCGTGCGTGGTCTTCACCCTGAGATCTCTGGGTCGGTTGACTTCCAAAGCACCCTGAGGGCACATTCATGGGTGGGAGCCGTTTTGGTGGGTTCTGTGGGCAGTGGGCAGTAGAGGGGAGGGTGGTCCAGGGGACATCAGTCACAGCTTGAAGGCTCCTGTGGGGACCAGTTCGTGGTGTCTGTCTGGCCCTCAGGGTGAGTGGCAGGCTGGGCAGCTCAGGATTCCCTGGGAACGCCGTCTTCAGGTTGTGTTTTTGTGTTCCTGCAGGGACCAGTGGACCAAGAGGCCACCTTGAAGGGGCTCTGTGGGGGCTGGTGAGAAGCCCCGGGTGGCCTAGGGAATGGGTGCAGTGGAGCCAGGCTCATGGGGCTGGGGAGGGGCACGAGGCCCCTGTGCACCTTGAATCGGGGCTTTAACCCACATCTCTTCTCCCTCTCCCCCTGGTTCCCACTGAAAAGGCCACGTCTCCCCAGGCCACCTCCACCGGTGATGGATCTGTATGACATTTTCTTACAGAGGGCAGGGCCAGCAGCCTCCATACTGAGCTAGAGGAACCAGGAAACAGGATCCAGAGGCTCCCCGCTTTCCTCACCAGGCCCTGCTGCTTCCTCTGGGCCACATGGTCTTGGGATGGCTCTACCCGTAGGGCCATCCCCAGTAGATACCAGTGCACAGGCAGCCACAGCCCTCACACAGCCACGTGGGGAGATGACAGAAGATCCTCTTCCGTGCTGGCGGCTTGGAGACTGGTCTGTTTGAGTGTAGCATGGTGGCTGTGGGCTTCTGGGGGGTCAGGAACCCTTCTAGATGTCTATGAGTTAGGATGGGGCCAGGACCCGAGCGTCCAGGGATTTGGAAGTTGGGCTTTGAGCTCCTGCCTGGACCTAAGTGTGGCTCACATGTTTCATCTCACTGGTCTTCACACCCACCCTCTGAGATTTCCCTTCTTGGTCCCATGTTACAGAGAAAGAAACAGATTCAAGGGCCAGGACTTGCTGGGACACAGCAGGCTAGAGAGAGATCCAGCTAGAGGTTGAGCTGGGACTTTGCCAGGTCTTCTGCTCCTGGACTGGGACTGTGCTGTGGTGTGAATGTCCCCTCCAAAACTCATTGAAATCCAGTCACCATTGTGACGGTATGAAGAGTGGGACCCGTGAGAGGTGATTGGGTCGTGGTCACTGCCGTATCTGGGGGTGATCTCCTGATGAGAGGAAGCGCTGGCCCCCACTTGATCTCGGCCTAGTGTGCTTGTATGCTCTTCCACCGGAGGCCCCTCTGTCTTGGACTTCCCAGCCCCCAGAACCACGAGCTGAGGAAATCTCTTTCCTTACAGACTCCCCTGTGAGTGACATTCTGTTACAGCAGCAGAAAGTGGGCTCAGACTGTGTTCTCTGCCTTACGCTGAATGCTTTTAGGGATTATACAGAGAAGTCTAAAGAGGCCGATAATGTCCAGGGCAGGGAGGTGACCTACTGCTGTCAACGTGGGTCTGTTGAGGCCAGGTAAGGGAGTCAGCTAATTCACGGTGGGAAGACAGCTCCAGCAGCAACCCCTGAGGCCACAGCTCCGCTGGGGTCCTGGTTCTGTCTCTTCCCGCCTGGGAGTAGGATGCCAGACAAGGTGCTCACTTTTCCTGGGACTGCCCCTTCCTGTGCCGCTGTCTGATTCCTGCCTGTGGAGAGGCTGTGTTAGGGGTGTGGTGAAAGCTGCGCACCCGGCAGAGGAGCTGCAGCGTGGCCATCCATGGGGGCTCCTGGTGGGCAGCTGCCCTGCTGACAGCAAGCCCTCCTGCTGCAGGCCATCGGGGCGCCTCATCCATCATTCAGTTTCTCCTCTTGAACTTTGCAGTTTCATTTTGCCCTGGAAACTGGTTTCCCCCAAAGGGTAGGCTTTGGAGAGCAGAAATTTGTGTTGTGGTTTCTCCCTGTGGTGGGGCGCGGCTGAGGGCTCCCGGCGGTCTGCAGCGGGGTCTGGCTGTGGTCTGGCCACTGATCTAGGCCTCTGCTCCCTGTGTGTGTGCACCCGTCCCTGTGAACTGACAGCTCCCTCTGTCTTTTCCGGCCTTGCCTGTGGAGCTCGCCTGAGGTTCATTTAGGGAGTGTGAAGGTAGCATGTGTTCCACTGGCCAAGGGCAAGCCTGAGCCTGAGCTCCCTGGGAGTGAGTTCAGCTCCACCTCGGTCACCATGTTTTTCCCCAGGGGACAGGGGAGGCTGGGGGCTGCAGAAAGCCCATGCGTGAGCTCAGCCACACTGGGTCCGCAGGTGGGCACCGTGGAGGCCACAGGTCGCCCGTGCCCTGGCCCCTCGTCTGGGTGTGGGCCCTGGGCTGCTTTCTGTGCCCTCGCTCCTGGGAGGCAGCGCCGCTTCTTGCCATTGCCTCTGCTGCCGTGTGTCCTGGTTGGCGGCTCAGCCCTGGGCTCGCCCGAGGAGCCCGTCCCTGCGCTCATGTCCTGCAGCCCAAGTTGTCGGGGCCTCTGGTGCCCTCACTGACCCGGCACATCCAATCAGCTGCCCTTGTCGTTTCCTCCCCCATGGGACAAGCACGATGCCGCTTTCCCGTCTGTCCCCATCTGGAGCACAGAGTCTCCGAGAGCAGGCCAGGCCTGTCTGGAGCTGCTGTGTCCCCACCACGGTGCCCGGGTCAGAGGTACAGAGAACGCGTGCCCGAAGGTGAGGGAGGGACTGCTGTCCATTTGACAGATGAGAAAACCAGGGGCGGGAGAGCTGGTGCGACCTGTGTGGGGCCTGGCCCTGTGGGCGACCTGCTCTCAAGCCAGGCTGAGGGGCTGGAGCTGTTCTGGAAGCCCCGGCCCGGGGAACGCTGTTCCCATCTGCTGGGGGAAGGGTGGCCCAGCCTGGGTGTCCTCTGCCTGTGTGGGGGCCTGGCCCCCTGCCTCAGAGGCCCTACTGGGGAGTCTGACTGAAGGGCTCAAGACCCCCACACTGGCCCCACAGCCCAGGAGTTGGGGACTGAGCCCCAGAGCTGGAGCCGGGAGCCCGGTGGGCAGTGGGTGTGGCCTGCTGCCAGGCCTCCCTCCTCCTGGGCCGGGGCGCTTTGTCCCAGGGGCAGGCTGAGTTGCCAGGGTGGTGGCACGCCTGAGGTGGGTGTTCCCTGGCACCGCCGCTTCCCCCGGCGCCCTGCAAACAGGATCTGGGCAGTGCAAGGACAGACGGCTCCCTTCAGGCTGGTGGGGGGCGGGGGCCCTGGGGAGGGCCGGCGCCAGCCTGAGGGGCTGGTGGCTGGCCTCGGCGGGCACGGAAGCAGCTCGGTAGGAAGCCTCCTTGGGAGCAAGTGGGGCATTGTCCCTGGCCTCCGTCCGGCCTCATTGAGGCAGCCCTGGAGCTCGGGCTATTCTTGGGCAAAACAGCCTGGCAGCCTCTGCCCACCCCTCCGTCCTGGCCCCGCTGCCAGCTTCCGCTCAGCGGGGCTGCGAATGGCTTCTGCGGCCCTGGCCCAGGCCCTCAGCCACATGTGGCTCAGCCAGTGCCCGCTCTGCCCTTGCCACACTCCCCCAAGGGACTCCGTGTCCCCCTCATGCCTCGTCCCTGTCCTCTGCCACATCCCCTCCTGGCCATGCCTCTGCCTGCCCAGCCCTCCCTCCTCTGAGTGCTAGCCTTGGCTGGGTCCCCTGCCCATGTGCAGCCCCTTATGCTGGCCTGCCTTCTCCTGGAGTTCTTGGGGGCGCCACCGCGTCCTGAACTCAGCAGAGTGCTTTGGTTGGGAAGGCCTGGCTCCCTCTCTTGCTGTGCCCAGGCCTTCAAGGCCGCACCCCACAGTGCCCGGCTGCCTTCCTGGCTTCTGTGGCACAGCCCTTCCCTGCACCCAGCTCACTTCTGAGAGGCTCTCATGGTGTCCGGGTGAAGTCCCATCCGAGCGAGCCAGCATGC